>NC_000003.12:68797878-69100909 GCF_000001405.40 Homo sapiens | reverse complement strand
TCTCATTCAGACAGAATAAACAGTCTCCATTGAGCTCCAGTCCACACTGCTCTCTACTGCATCATGGACACATAGGCCCAAAGTGAGGTGCTATTAATCACTGTTTTTCTTTTTTTTTTTTTTTTATTTGAGACAGAGTCTTGCTCTGTCACCCAGGCTGGAGTGCAGTGGCGCAATCTTGGCTCACTGCAACCTCTGCCTCCTGGGTTCAAGCAATTCTTGTGCCTCAGCCTCCCGAGTAACTGGGATTACAGGTACATGCCACCACGCCCAGCTAATTTTTTGTATTTTCAGTACAGGTGGGATTTTGCCATGTTGGCCAGGCTGGTCTTGAACTCCTGGCGTCAAGTGATCTGCCCAGCTCGGCCTCCCAAAGTGCTAGGATTACAGGCATGAGCCACACCATGCCCAGTCTAATCATTGTTTTTCTAATAGCTGGCCTGAATCGCTCTCTTACATAACCTGCCTGCCCCATGGAGGCATTTGAGTTTATGACTCCTCACATAGAGAGTTCATTATAAGTGTTTTAAAATGCCCAAAGTATCATTAGGAGATGAGTTACCAATGCAGATTTTCAAGCACACAGTTCCAGATTCATTCTTATATAAGCCAAATGTTTAGTATGTAATAGCAATTACACTACTATTGATAATGGAGGAAACACATTATGTAGAAGAAATTTATGCCAGGCATGGTGGCACACACCTGTAATCCTAGCACTTTGGGAGGCCTAGGTGGGTGGATCACCTGAGGTCAAGAGTTCAAGGCCAGCCTGGCCAACATGGTGGCACCTCATCTCTACTAAAAATACAAAAATTAGCTGGGCGTGGTGGTACATGCCTGTAATCCCAGCTACTTGGGAGGCTGAGGCAGGAGAATCACTTGAACTCAGAAGGTGGAGGTTGCAGTGAGCTGAGATCACGCCATTGCACTCCAGCCTGGGCAACAAGAGCAAAACTCTGTCTCAATAATGATAATAAGAAGAAGAAATTTAGACAAAGTTTTGGGCATTATAGTCGCCCACCCCAATCCACTGTGTATACAAAACCCTTAACAAGACGTCTGTGGTGGGCTGGTACAATGAGTTACTTAACTTTTTACCCTAGAGGCTAATGAGGACTTTACTTGGGAAGGACACAGACGATAGTGTGTTCTCCTCATGCCCTGAATAGTAACATTGCTGATTTGAAATGAGGGAAGGGGGAAGACAGGATAAGGGAGGGTGATGCCAAGAGCTTACTTTCTCTGAAATGGAAGAGATGAAGAACTCATGCTCATATTGGGATTCGTATTCAGGATAAATACAATTCTTTTTCAAAAATCCCTTTAAATTTTAGCTCTGTTTCTGCCTACTGAAACATAAAAGGAATTTTGAACATTTTAAAATTAAGAGTAAAAGCTTTTCACACCTGAATGGGTGAAATTAAGGGATAAAATCAATGTCAAACTGCTTTGAAAAAGCTAAAAATTTCTATTAAGATGCACAAAGCTAAACAGTGGTAAGAGTAGTTGCATATAATTTTTTTTTGTTTGTTTTTTTGAGATGGAGTTTCACTCATTGCCCAGGCTGGAGTACAATGGCGCGATCTCGGCTCACTGCAACCTCTGCCTCCCAGGTTCAAGCAATTCTCCTGCCTCAGCCTCCCTACTAGCTGGGATTACAGGCACCCGCCAACATGCCCAGCTAATTTTTGTATTTTTAGTAAAGACGGGGTTTCACCATGTTGGCCAGGCTGGTCTCGAACTCCTGACCTCATGTGATCCACCCCCCACCCCCCCCGCCCCTCAGCCTCCCAAAGTGCTATTACAGGCATGAGCCACCGCACCCAGCCAGTTGTACATAATTTAAAACTAAACTCTACAATAATAAGTTGCTAATTTCATTCAAAATCCTTGCAAATACTTGTATCCTTCAAGCCAATAAATCCCCTCCTCAGAATATAGTCTAAGGAATTAAACAAAAACGCAAAGATTGAGTTGTAACAGTATTGATATTAGTGGTATTTATGATTAAAAACTTTCAGAAACGACCTATATGGCCAACAATACCAATAGCTGTGGTATTGTATACACAGCTATTTTTAAAACATTGAAGTGCATTTAATAATATGGGAAGACATTATATATTGAGTGGGTAAAAGCAATTGTAATACATAATGCATTGTCTGTTAGGTAGATTTATCATATAAGTTAGATAGCTCAGAAGTAGAAGTTTCTAGGCTGAGTACAGTGGCTCAAGCCTGTAATCCCAGCACTTTGTGGGGGCCAAGGTGGGTGGATCTTTTGAAGTCAGGAGTTTGAGACCAGCCTGGCCAACGTGGTGAAACCCCACCTCTACTAAAAATACAAAAATTAGCTGGGCCTGGGCTGGGCATGGTGGCTCATGTCTGTAATCCCAGCACTTTGGGAGGCTGAGGCGGGCAGATCACCTGAGGTCAGGAGTTCAAGACCAGCCTGGCCTACATGGTAAAACCCTGTCTCTACTAAAAATACAAAAAATTAGTTGGGCTCGGTGGCGGGAGCCTGTAATCTCAGCTACTCGGAGGCTGAGGCAGGAGAATTGCTTGAACCTGGGAGGCGGAGGTTGTAGTGAGCCGAGATGGTGCCATTGCACTCCAGCCTGGGCAACAAGAGCAAAACTATGTCTCAAAAAAAAAAAAAAAAAAAAAGCCAGGTATGGTGGCAGGCACCTGTAGTCCCAGTTACTTGGTAGGCTGAGGCAGGAGAATCACTTGAACCCGGGAGGCAGAGGGTGCAGTGAGCCGAGATTGCGCCACTGCACTCCAGCCTGGGTGACAGAGTGAGACTCTGTTTCCAAAAAAAAAAGAAATAGAAATTTCTATAATTAGTATATTATTTCATAATCAGAAATAAAATGAATATATAAAAAAGGAAATACAAAAACATAAAAGCAGCTGCTCTCCAACCCACAACCGCCGCTTGGCACAGACCAACCACAAAAGTCCATCTCTACTTGTCCCATCTCGCCAACAACATTAATGGAATTTCAGTTCATGAACCACAGCGAAGCTGTTCCTTCTCCAATCCAAATCCTGGTTTTCTGCTCATCCTCCAGATCCTCTTGTGCCAGTCTATAGCACCCCAGTGCCCCAACCTTCCCCAATACCCAGCACATGTGCTATTCTCTCTGCCCTCTTCCCCTCCCTCTTGGTTCTGTGTTACCTGGGTCTACTTGGCCTCTCTGCACTTTCTTTCTGTTTTATTTTATCTGGATTATGCCCTGTCTTCTGAGACAACCCCGGAATTGGTCTGGGAAAGAAAAAATTCCCTTATACGCCTGAGGAAGGAAAGAATCTGATGAATCAAAACCACAATCCCCTTCAGCAGGTTGTAGAGAGTGGAGAGTGAATGAAGAGGCCTTGAAACTCTTATAGATTAATATTATCTAATTCCCAGCATCACAAAAGATTCTAAGCCAGTGTGGTAGCTCATGTCTGTAATCCCAGCACTCTGGGAAGCCGAGGTGGCGGATGCATCGCTTGAGCCCAGGAGTTTGAGGCCATCCTAGGCAACATGGCGAAACCCCATCTCTCCAAAAAAAAAAAAAAACACCCCACAAAAATTAGCCAGGTGTGGCAGCACACACCTATAGTCCCCACTACTTGGAAAGCTGAGGTAGGAGGATCATCTGAGCTCAGAGGTCAAGGCTGCAGGGAGCTGTGATGGTGCCACTATACTCTAGCCTGGGTAACAGAGTGAGATCCTGTCTCAATTAAAAAATAAAAAGATACTTAGAGAAACTGAAAAATTATACCAAAGACTACAGTATAGTAGGATAAGGGGAGTTTATTTCCATTTGCTTATTTTTATTTTCATATTTTTTTCAATGGCCATGTATTCCTTGATGAATAAAAAAAATTGGTATTTAAAAATGAACAAATGAAATTGGGGAAAGGCTCCTGAATGTAAAAAACCCTTTACAAAGCCTTGACTTTGACCTATAACCTACCCAAATGTTTCTTCTGAGCCGTAAAGAAAAACAAAGATCGCCAGGTACAGTGGCTCACACCTGTAATCCCAGCACTTTGGGAGGCTGAGGCAGGTGGATCACAAGGTCAGGAGATCAAGACCATCCTGGTCAACATGGTGAAACCCCGTCTCTACTAAAAGTACAAAACTAAGCCTGGCTTGGTGGCATGTGCCTGTAATCCCAACTACTTGGGAGGCTGAGGCAGGAGAATTGCTTGAACCCGGGAGGCGGAGGCTGCAGTGAGCCGAGATTGTGCCACTGCACTCCAGCCTGGGTGACAGAGCGAGATTCCGTCTCAAAAAAAAAAAAAAAAAAAAAAAAGCAAAGCAAAACAAAGATCAAATCAACACAAAGAACTCAAATGGAGGATTGAAATTCAAGGAAATTCCTTTGCATACCCTGCAAGTAGGAGTGGGTTGGCTGGCAGCAAAGCATCAAAGGGCTCCTACTCAGTTCATTCTGGAATACTTATTAAAATAATAATTCATGAAGTGAAGCATATAACAAAATTCATGTCAAGCTGTTTTTATTTTCCTCTAGACAAGTAAAATACATATTTAGGTTGAGTGCCTAAAGTCCAGGACAAGGAACAATGAAAAATCCAGGCCTAACTCAAGCAATTCCAAATTTGTTTCACCTGTTCTGGTTGCTCATGTCCAAGAGAAAAGAACAGAGCCTGAAGTTCTATAGAACTGGTTTTAGTTCATAACCTGCCCAACAACAGTCTATAATTAGAAAGCAAGCAAGTTTCCAAGCTGGAAAAAAACTAACGAAGTTACTCTGAGCAGAAATTATTTTCTTCTGTATCTGATAAAATGTATACCACTCCAATGCCCTGGCACTTACCTGTATTTGGAACAAAAGACAGACAGACAGACAGACAGACACACACACACACACCCTCTACAGATTAACAGAAATTCTCAGAAATCTGGGAACCAGTTCTTGCCTGAGATGCTTTTTAGTCAACAGTTGGGCTGTTTATCACAGCAATCACGACAAACCCCAAAGACTTTTAGGACAAAACTTTCCATAAACATGCCACCCATCTTTCATGTAGACAGCTGCCTCTGTGGTCTGCTGGGTGGAGTTTCACTTACTGATAGTCCTAGAGTAAGAAAGAGGGCTGGGTGCGGTGGATCATAACTGTAATCCCAGAACTTTGGGAGGCTGAGGTGGGTGGATCAGCTGAAGCTAGGAGTTTGAGACCAGCCTGGCCAACATGGCGAAACCCCATCTCTACTAAAAACATAAAAATTAGCTGGGCGTGGTGGCGCATGCCTGTAATCCCAGCTGTTCAGGAGGCTGAGACACGAGAATCACTTGAACCTGGGAGGTGGAGGTTGAAGTGAGCTGAGATTGTGCCACTCCAGCGTGGGTGACAGAGCCAGACTCCGTCTCAAAAAAAAAAAAAAGAACGAGGGATGGTGAGAAAGAAGGGAGAAACAGCAGGACCTAGTTTTGCAACTCAAAAACCGTTATGTTTTTCTATTGTGAAATTAAAAATATATTAATACATATGTTTGTATATATTTTAATTATATATATTTAAAATATGAACATGTATTACCCAATTCCAATAAATAATTAATAAATCTTTCCCTATAATAGTTACACATTCTAGAGCAGTCATTTATGGTTATAAAAAGGTTTAGAATCCCATCACAGAAATTTTGTAGCAGTCTTCAAAGATGAATCAGTCTAGTCCAATTATACAGATAACTAAACTGAGGCCCAGAGAAGAAACATATCCAAAGGGATCCAGGAGAGAAACAAGAAAACAAGGGTGCCAGTTGTGGCAGCAACTCACAGTAGAACCCATTCTGTCATGTTAACCGGCTTTAAGGATTTCCCCCACACTCTAAGTAACCTACTATAACCAAGGATCATCCTGGAAAATCCCTCTGCACTCTCATTTCTCTCTGAAACAAGGTGGCTATTAGTGGGTGTGGATACAGGTCCTAAACTTCCCAACGTGATTCAGTAGCTATGTCTATAGTTTTACCACAAGTTACTGAAAGGGGAAAAAAAAATCTCACAAAATTTTAGAGCTAGGAAGGATCTTGCTAACCCACCTCATTTTACACGTAAGCAAGCTAAAGAATATACAAGTTAATAAATTTGTCCAAGGCCACCAATTGCAAAGTTGGCAATAAAAGTTTGCCATAACAGAAATCCTCGGATCAACTCAAGGCCACATTTGGTGACTCCTGTCAGGCTGCAAGGCCAAAAAGAACCACCAAAGAGGCAGCAAAATATTTCCTGAGGAGTACAGGCAGCTTTGCACTGAGTTCCAATTTTCTAGCCGAAAAAGCTATTTTTGAAGTGTGGTTTCTGAGGAAGGCTGACTCACCGAAAAAGTGGGGAACAATATACTCACGGTGGACTTCTCTAAATTGGCGATGTTTCTCTGTGGTCCTTAATCAGCCAGAGGGATCACTGCAAATATGAACCCACCCAACCATTTTCTTTTCATTGTTCTTAAACTAAAAACAGAATTCTTTAAACATTCTACAAGGCTTCGCAGGGTCTGGCCCCTGCCTGCCTCTGCAGCCAGGGCCACTGTATATAGGTGTGGAGTTGGTGCCTGGCTGAGGGGGTAAGTGGGGCCTGGAATCCAGGTCACACACTCCACAAGCCAAGGCCAAAATTTGGCTTTGGCTGTAACTGCTAGGAGAGGAAGAAGTGCCTTAGTAATTAGCATGAGGGAACTCTCAGGGCTAGCAGCTGGCCTACCTGCCAGGTTTGTCACACCATCTCCTGATTGCACCCCCATCCACTCAGGGTTTCTATCTACCCCAGAACTCACCTTGCCTTTTGCCATCTCAGGGTGAGGTGAATCAGGCAGAGAGGATACTTTGCACACAGGCCTCACTCCACCCTCCTTCAAGTCTCAGCTCAGCCAGCCTTTCCTCAGTCTCTCTGACCAGAGCACAGCTCCATATGCCTTTTCTTTTCTTTCCTCAAGAAAGGTTCTTCCTCTGTCACTCAAGCTGGAGTATGATGGCATGGTCATAGCTCACTGCAGCCTCTTTCTCCCACACTCAAGTGACCTTCCTCAGCCTTCTGAGTAGCTGAAACTACAGACTACAGGTGAGTGCCAGCTTGCCTGGCTAATTTTTAATTTTTTTCTTTTCTTTTCTTTTTTTTTTTTTTTTGAGACAGAATCTCCCTCTGTCGGCAGGCTGAAGTGCAGTGACACAATCTTGGCTCGCTGCAACCTCTGACTCCCTGGTTCAAACAATTCTCCTGCCTCAGCCTCTCCAGTAGCTGGGATTAAAGCATGCGCCACCACACCCAGCTAATTTTTACATTTTTAGTAGAGACGATGTTTCACCATGTTGGCCAGGCTGGTCTCGAACTCCTGACCTCAAGTGATCTGCCTGCCTCAGCCTCCCAAAGTGGAGAGCTATTTTTGACTATAGGCATAAATGTGGGCTTTGGACACAAATTCGTCTTGAGTAAATGAGAACAGTGTCTCCTTGGCCTAAGGATCATGGAATAAAGGAGACTGTACAGTAGGTAAAACTGAACAGGAGCCTGTCTCTTTTGTTACAGAAAGGTCATAGTGAGATTTTCCTAACCAACTGAATTAGGAAGGCCTAGAGGATTTATTGTATTCTTGCCATTCCCTAAATATTTACTGTATCCTGTGTAATTTGGCACAAATTAAACACTCGCATCCAAACCAACCATTGTCTTTTTAACAGTTGGCATGTTAAAAGTGTTCATACTAAGACATGCCTTAGGAACCTCCAGATTTTCTTTTGTTTTTAATAAACAACAGGTTGGACTCGGATTAGAAACCATAAATCTGACGCTTCCCACAGTGACGGAGCTTCAAATAATAGTTGTGTACAAAGCTCTGATTAGACTTCATAAAACCCTTTTTAACTTTTCATTATGGAAAACTAACATATACATAGGTAGAGAGAATAATGTATAATGAATCTTCATGTATGCTCATCACTGCTTTCACAATTAGCAACCCATGGTTACTCTTAACAACCAATACTTTTTGGGGAACAGAAGTGGAAAGATATTTGTTTACAAACTGTTCTTCTTGAATGATTTTAGAAAATTAAAAAAAAAAAAAAAAGGCTGGGTACAGTGGCTCACACCTGTAATCCCAGCACTTTGGGAGGCTGAGGTGGGGGGATAACTTGAGGCTAGGAGTTCGACACCAGCCTGGCCAACATGGTGAAACCCCGTCTCTACTTAAAAATACAAAAATTAGCCAGGCATAATTGTGTGTGCCTGTAATCACTTAAAAATACAAAAATTAGCCAGGCATAGTTGTGCGTGCCTGTAATCCCAGCTACTTGGAGGCTAAGGCAGGAGAATCGCTTGAACCTGGGAGGCAGAGGTTGTAGTGAGCCAAGATCCTGCCATGGCATCCAGCTTGGGCGATGCAGAGAGACTCTGTCTTAACAAAACAAAACAAACAAAAGCTACTGAGAACTGTCACATGGCAAATTCTTACAGAGCTGTGGAGAGAAGACAGGGGCTGGACAAATGCTAACGAGCTTGGTAACACAGACTTCCTTCTCACAAGTTTCCTGTCTATTTACCCCTCACTAACCCCCAATTTCTGCATTCTTTTTCCTCTGAGACAAGGAGAAGCTGCACCAATGAGATATGAAGCAGATTAGAAGAAGCAGGGCTTTCTGCCTTCCAGGTGTCTCCTTTAGCAAATTGCATAACGAGAAGGAAGGCCAGGAAATCCTATCATATATCAATGATGAATGCTTGCAAACCTGAAGTTGTTAGCCTGAAGGTTTTGCCTAAAATTACAGGGCTTGAAGGCATTCTCAGAAACAGGAAGCCACGCTCATTTCAAGAGACAGAGGATGGTATTAAGGGTGAAGGCATTCTCAGAAACAGGAAGCCACGCTCATTTCAAGAGACAGAGGATGGTATTAAGGGTTAAGTTTTCTGAAGCTGAGTGATAAGGATAGAATTCATTTGTCCAAAAAATAAAAAATACAAAATTTCCAATATTGATGCTTAATTAGATATTAAGTGGGTAGGTCAAGAATGGGTCTTGACCTTTTTGAACTGGATTTCCTGTACAGAGCTCTCTGTCCCTAAGCTGATGGAGAGCTTCTCCTTTCTAAGACAGGGGGCCAGGAATCCAAAATACACTCATTTATTTGCACACTTACCTAGAATCATTGTAAATCCTTACCTAGGGAAAGGAAACAGAAACTACCAACCAAAGGCCAAAAGTAGCAGGCAACATTGAAAAAAAAAAAAAAAAAAAAGCTGGACGGAGAGGGGAGAGAAGTTCAGATAAACAAAGTTACATAAATAGTATCAAAGGTGTGCCAGCCATACCTCTCGCCTGTCATCCCAGCACTTTCGGAGACCAAGGCAGGAGGATTGCTTGAGCCCAGGAGTTCGAAACCAGCCTGGGCAACATGGCAAAAACCCTTCTCTACAAAAAAAAATACAACAATTAGCCAGGCTGGTGGCACATGCCTATAGTCCCAGCTACTTAAGATGCTGAGGCAGGAGGATCACCTGAGCCCAGGGAGGTAGAGGCTGTAGTGAGCCATGACTGCGCCACCATACTCCAGCCTGGGCAATAGAGTGAAACCCTGTCTCAAAATATATATATATGTATGTATATACACACACATATACACACATACACTGTCAGAGGTTATTTAATGAAAAGCAATCCTTATTAAAGATTTATATTTACTTATTTATTTTTTACACGGCGTCTCACTCTGTTACCCAGGCTGTAGTGCAGTGGCGTGCGTTCTTGGCTCATTGCAACCTCCGCCTCCCACGCTCAAAAGATCCTCCCACCTCAGCCTCCCAAGTAGCTGGGACCACAGATGCATGCCACCACGCCAGGCTAATTTTTTCTATTTTTGGTAGAGATGGGGTTTCGCCATGTTGCCCGGGCTGGTCTTAAACTCCTGAGCTTAGGTGATCTACCCGCCTCGGCCTCCCAAAGGGCTGGGATCACAGGCGTGAGCCATCATGTCCAGCCTAGATAAAGATTTTGAGATTAAAATGTTACTGTGTGTTGACAGACCTCTTAAAGTTCTGTATTCAGAAGAAACACATAAGCCATCAGAGGAAGACAGGTGCCAGCCTCAAATGCAAATAAATGGGCATCGAAGGGCAGGAGAATTCTGGGAGGATTTGGGAAGGCTGGTGGAGTTGTACTCCTGACTGTATCCTCAGGGCCTAGACAGTGTCTACCACATGGTAGGTGCTCAGTATTTGTTCAATGGAATAGAAGGATCTGAGCTGTGGGTTAGGATAGTAAAATTTAAAAAAACCTTTTTCCTGTCTACATACTCAATGCCTCCCCTATTCCCAACACCTGAGAGATTTGGAATTTGGAGTAATAATGTACAGGGGAGATCAGGTAAGTCAGGTTGAGAAGGATGTGTTTATGTAGGTGTGTATTTCTGTACACTTGCTATACTTGTATACAAATTAGTTATCATGTGTTCAGTGTGGTCTTGCTGCCTTTCCGTGAAGGCAGGAATCACAGCTGTCCTATTCTTCACTATCTCCTAGCAGTGTCTGAGAAGTTGGTAAGTGCTTCATACTCTTTGTTAATTGAATGAATGAAGCAACACAAATAAGAGTAATGTTGTAGAACTGGTGTTGAAGCTGACTAATCTCAAAAACATTTCCACTTGCTTTAGTATAAACAGACTGCAACTCATTCTATCTGCAATCATTTCAATAGATTCTGATCCAGAGCCTCCCAGGGTTGCCTTACGCTTTTTTTCCTCTACCAACTGGAAACTTGGTTCTTCATCTTTACAGCATTTAAAGGTACAAACAATACGAACATTTCATAATACCAGATGCTGGGAGCCACAGGCCTAGAACATATTACAGAGCCACCAAGCCACGTTCATTTTGAAAAGATTACATTAATGCTGTTTTCAAACTTATAATTACCAGCCTTCTAGAAACTCCTTACCATCTTGAGTAACTGAAAGCATAAAGTGGCAGCTGTCAATTCCACCCTCCTGCAACATCTCCATAGGCCAAATGATCAGGCCACATGGTGAGGAGTTACTTCAGCTGAGAAATCATGGGCTCATTCCTTCAGCAGCTACATGGTTCTATCTAAAGGGGGAGGCACAAATGTATATACATAAGAATACATGCAGCTCTCTTGCTGGAGAAGCAGCAGAGGCATTTTTATATGTTGCAAATTCTGTGTGTGGTTGGTGATTCTGAGGCCATACCAGAAAATATGAGTTCTAATGGCAGAAAATAATTTTTTTTTTTTTTTTTTTTAGACAGGGTTTCACTATGTTGCCCAGGCTAGTCTTAAACTCCTGGCCTTGAGCAATCCTCCCATCTCTGCCTCCCGAAGTGTTGGGATTACAGGTGTGAGCCACTATACCCATCCAGGAAAGAACTTTTCAGAATAAGACAGCAATAGCATTGCAAATATTGTAAGAGTCAGGGATGCAGTTGAATTTGGTTAATCAAGAGCTTTAGAAAATTTGCAATATGGCTTAATGGAAAAAATATTTCACTTCCTATTATTAGCAGCTTTAGTTCCAATTAGCCTGTGACCTCGAGCTTTTACATTTCAGAAGTTACGGGGTTCAAGAGGATCAGTATTTCTCCTAGGGGTGTATAATCACAATCACTTAGGAAGTTAGAGAAAAAGAAAAAAACAACAGATGCCTGGACCCTGCCAAGAACTATACATTTTGAATCACGGAAGGTGACACCTGGGCATATAGGTATATTTATTTAAATTTTCTTTTGAGCCAGACCAATCCAGTGCCTCTCAGATTTTAATGTACCTATGAATCATCTGAGACTTTTGTTAAAATGTAGATTCTAACCCAGTAGGTCTGAAATGGGGCCTGAGATGCTTCACTTCTGACAAGCTCTCAGGCGAAAGATGCTGCTGTTCCATGGCTCACACACTGAACAGAGTTCTCCAGCTCAAATCATTTGGCATTCCATTAAGCACAAAGAAGTTTTCATCCACAACTAGAATGTATCACACGCTTAGTACTTAAATTGCAAGTGTCATTAGGTGTTGCCTTTGTTTTTCACTTTGAAGATCAAGGTAGAGACTTCTATTGTTGTGTGTGATGTGAAAAGAATATCTTAATCCCAAAACGTCTCACATCAAGGATGCAGAAGGTAAGCTATGGCAACTTCGATCTTAGACACTTTTCCTTCTTGATGTAAAGGATCCAAAGGCATTTCCAGCAAAACGCAAGTTTCCTAGCCTGTTATTCATGCTATTCCTTTTAAATAATTCAATCTCTTCTGATCAGAAGTTTAAACACAGATTTATCTCTATCCTAATCCCTCTTAATCTCCGTCTTGGTATGGGCAGTTTTTTCCAGTGTTTCTGGATCTAGATAGTATTTGCTATGTTCTTCCCTCACCCTTCCTGAAATCTTGAAGAGGAGGCCCTCTCTATCCTCATCTAAGCCAGTTTCCAACATTGGAGAGCTGAGGCTAGAGCACTCCTACAATGCCCTTGAGGCTCTCCTCACCAGCAGGGGATGGAACCATTGTTGAACACTCTTTTATCCAGGTCACATTTTCACATATACTCTACCAAGATATTCTGAGAAACTAGAGAGAAGTCTGTGGAGGATCCAGATGAACAGCTGCCAGCACTGCTCTGACCTACCCATCTACTAGCATCACCGAAAGAGGATAGTTCTCTTTAGAATGAGAAGTGTTCTGGAATCAAGGACGCTCCCTAACTCTGAAGATGTTTGGTTTCTTCCTTGTGACTCATAGTAAGACAGAACAGTAGTTAAGAGCACAAGCCTAAGTTTGTGACTTTGAGTAAATCATTTAACCTCTCTGAGCCTCAGGTTTAATGATAAAAAAAAAGTAACAGTTTTTTAAAATTGGGTTCTATGACATAATGCAGGTAAAATACTTTGCAAGGTACCTGACACACAGAGCACTCAATAAATATTTATATTATTAAATGATAAAGAAAGAAAAGAGAACAACTGGTGGAAAAAACTACTGACTGTGCTTATAGTTGCATAGAAAACAGTTAGGGGTTATATACCAAACTTTTACTGAAGTATGAAGGAAATTTCACATTTTATCCACATAATTTTCAAATCAACCTTTACTACTAGCCTGTATCTTTTGTAAGTTTTTAAAAATAAGGATAAGTTTTAAAAACTTCATGGCTACTTTTCACTTTTTCACTTCAAAATTTTCATTGACAACCAACAACTCTTATTTGAAAGGAAAATGAGGAGGGCCAACACCCCTAAACTACCTGAGTTAGTGGCCTAAGGCACAATACTGACGGAGCTATATTTAGTCAAAGGGCTGGCCCCTGGCCTTCACAGTGAAAAATGGATTCTATCAAAAGCAGCAAGGCTGTCTGAGCTTGTGCCTGGTCTGGGCAGCACACATGTCTGAAGAAAATAGACTTTTTTTTTTTTTTAATTATTGGTCTGTGTCAAACTTTGCCCCACATCTAAGTTACCTCAAGAAAATACCTCCATAACTAGATCACCAGATAAGATGCCCTCCTGCTTCTTTGCAAAGAGAAAGAAAAAAACAAAAATTGATGCAAACCTATTTACTACTTATTTTGTTTTAAAGACTTTTTTGGCCAGGCACAGTAGCCCCCGCCTGCAATCTCAGTGCTTTGGGAGCCAAGGTGGAAGGATGGCTTGAGCCCAGAAGTCAAGACCAGCCTGGGCAACATAGTGAGACCCCATCTCTAAAAAAAATTAGCCAGGCTTTGTGGCACGCACCTGGGGTCCCAGTCACTTGGGAGACTGAGGTAGGTGGATTGCTTGAGCCCAGGAGGTTGAGGCTGTAGTGAGCTGTGATCACAATACTGCACTCCAGCCTGGGCAACAGAACAAGACCTTGTCTCAAAAGTAAATAAATAATAAAAATTTTTAAAAAGAAATTTTTGGCCAGGCACAGAGGCTCACGCCTGTAATCCCAGCACTTTGGGAGGCTGAGGCGGGCAGATCACCTGGCCAACATGGTGAAACCTTGTCTCTACTAAAAATACAAAAATTAGCTAGGCATGGTGGTACGTGCCTGTAATCCCAGCTACTCTGGAGGCTGAGGCACGAGAATTACTTGAATCCGGGAGGCAAAGGTTGTAGTGAGACGAGATCACGCCACTGCACTCCAGCCTGGGCGACAGAACGAGGCTCAGTCTCAAAAAAAAAAAAAAAAAAGAAATTTTTTAGTGTTCCAGGAAAGCAGCCTGAAGCACAGAGCTGAGGGAAGGTTCAGAAGGCAGCTGCCTCAGGCCTTGGGCCTGCCCCACCCTGCCCTGACTAACTTGTACCTTGGCTGCCACACTAGTTCCGAGTCCACTCAGAGCCTGTGCCCTCTATACACCAAGCCATTCCCAGAATGCAATTCCTTAAGAATTCCTTAAGCAATGCAGAAGAAGGATCTGTGCGATTGTGTATAGAGTCCCACATGTGGGCTTCCACCTCTGCATGGGGGTGATTGCTGTGAACCATACTCGGAAACTGTGAAGTCTCCCCCTCTCCTCTGTGCTGTGTGTTTGCTCCTTTAGCTTCTCAACAACTGCCAGGAGCCCCTGGGCCAGAATTCAAGTCTGATTCATCTTGGTGTGCTTGGAGCTTGGCATGGGGCCAGGCACAGAGAGGTGGCTCAATGTATAAGCCAATTAACTGCGAGCCAACTGAAGAAGCCACCCTGTTCACCCTTTCCCACACCCTTCAAGTGCAAATTTCTCCCTTTTCTCCCAAGCCAGCTTGCTGCTTCTTCCCTCTACGTCTGCCCTGAAATAGAAATGTCAGACATTTAAGTGCAAGTGAGTCCTTTATAAAGTCTGAGGGTGGCTTTTTCTTTAAAGATGTGTAGGAGATAATCAGCAAGATTGAGAATATCACCACCCATCCTGCATAAGCGAGAGAAGCATTTCTTAAAGGGTGAACTAGAAGGAAAGGTGGTTTCTAGGAAAGCAGGTGTACATGCAGTCTCAACACAGGATACTTTGTTAAGTATCAGGTATTGAAAAGGCCTTCTGATACATTGAAACCTCAGGCTAGGAAGCGAAGACAGAGAAAGTGACCACGCCTGGCCACTGCTGGAAGAAAATGCCAGAAGGCCATCTTCCCACAGTCATGGCAGCCTTTACCCCACAATGGGAGATGCGCCACCAGGAGACACCCCCCCTTTTGATCCCAAGCTCAGCTTTACTGTACAGTGTGGCAGGCATTAGGCAGAGAAAGCAGCAAAGTGCGTCGCCACTTGGTTGCCCTTTTTACACTAGCCCGGGTCCACACCCTGCCGCCCCAGCCAGCTCCAGGGTAGGGTTACACCACTTTCCTTTTTCTTCTTATTTTTAAAAGACGAGGGCGCTACAAATATCTTTCCAGCAAGAGCCCGATCCTGGCACGCGGGCGGGGGCAGGGGGGTGGGGGAACTCTCATTTTTCTTCCCTGCGGCTGGCAAATTTTCCCCGTCCTCTTTCCCCTAGGGCCCCCCTCAAGTCTCAGCCCTTGGTGCAGAAAATGGGGCCCCAGGTTACTGCGGCCTCGCCCTGCAAACAAGTTTCCACTGGCTTGGCCGCTTGCAGAATTGCCAGGGCAGGCGCTGAGCGTGGTCAGAGAGCGTCTCTACATCCCGGGATCTTGCACCCCGAGGCCCCTCCGTGCTCGCCCCGGATCGGTGTCCCGGGTAGGGGGACCCCACTTACCCCACAATGGAAATCATCATGGCAGCCACCACCAGGTAGTTGGTCTGGTAATAGAGCAGGTTGCTCACTACGCGGTTGTTCCATTTGGAAATGTCCCTGAAGTCCGGCCGGGCAAAGCGATCGGAACCCGGGAAGAAATCGTCCCAGGCGCGGAGTGGGGCGATATTAACGTCCATGTTCTCAGCTTTGCGTTCTTCGCCTCCAGAATCTGGCGGCGGCGGCGGCGGCAACCGATCAGCTGAGCTGAGTTGGAGAGTTGACAGCGGCTCCGTCTCGGTCGGCTTTGCGGTTGGCAGACAGCAGAGCAAAGGAAATTGGGAGTGGGCGGGCGTGTTTGCTCCTCTTTACTTCTTCATTGGCTCTTGGTTGGGTACAGGAAAACAGGAACCTCCAGACAGAACAAGGGACTGAGTGCAGAATAGAGACGAAATGACAGAAAGCAACTAGCGGAAATCCCCTGTCTGAAGGGAGGTGGCAATGCCTTCTCTAGCAGCAGAGAAGCTGCCTCCTTCGAAATACCTTTTTTGAAGGTTTACCTAGGAGTGTGTTCTCTGACTTAGAGAAAAATTTTGGCAGCTGTGCAGATGCCAATCTAAGTGAAATGAAATGGAAGGCGACTACAGTGTTAATGGAGAATGAGCTGCTTTTGAAAACTAAGTCTTACTAACCTCTACACATCTGAATGCAATTCCCATGTTTTCTCTGTTTCACCATGAGTCACTATGTGTGAAATCAGATTGGCAAAACGGGAAAGAAGGTCATGTAGAACAGAAGGGCTGGTCTGTTTTTTTCACTTCTCTTCTTTGTTCTCCACCTCTGTTCTCTCTAGGCTAAATTGTTGGACTGCTATGCCATTCTGATAAAGTAGGCACTCTGGCCACTTCAGTCCTGAGCTGGGCATGTTGCTTACATTTTAAAGCAAACAGTTGTCTGCAGTGAACTAGTTGTTCTGCATCCAGCATTTTCTGGGCAGAAATATGCATTCCACTTCAAAAGTTTTCTTAGTTTTATTGCAATATTTGGTGACAGCTTTCACTGAGGGACCACAATATATTCATAGATAACGTGATGTTTTGTATCCCAGCCCAAAGACCTGGCAAAAGAAGTATTCGTTGTCAATTCTCTTCTAAGCTTCCAAGGGTCATCTTTTTTCAGTTAAGGGGCTGATTGGTACAATGCATGAGAAAAAAAGTAGTTTGTTTAATTGTATAATGTAATAGGTAGAATTCTAAGGTGAAGAT
This sequence comes from Homo sapiens, assembly GCF_000001405.40. Classification (NCBI taxonomy): domain Eukaryota; kingdom Metazoa; phylum Chordata; class Mammalia; order Primates; family Hominidae; genus Homo; species Homo sapiens. Next base: position 69,083,982 of record NC_000003.12, on the reverse strand, counting down.
TTCTAAGATAACAGAGTCTCTAAGCCCCTAAGTGGCTTAGACAAGGTGAATTCACTCTACTCAGATCACCAATTTTTGAAAACTTGGAAAGTAATGAAATATACTAATGCAAAGTCTAGAAAACATAATTTAATTTTCCTTATTAATTCAGAAGACAGTTAAGGAGCTTACAGCGACTCTAAGAAATTACTACTACTACTGTTGTTTAGGAAAATTTGGTGATTGCATGGAATTAGTGCTAAGATATATCTTATGTGCTGCTTTTTGAATAAAGTTTAAAATGTGAAAATATTCCTGAGTGCTCATGTTTTCTTGATTCTGGAAAAATGGGATGGTGTGAAGTCAGAGAAAGCAAAATTAGAGTCGCAGCTCCTTCCTCTCTGGCAGGTGACTTTGGAGAAACTACTTAATCTCTCCCAGCCTCGGTGTCTTCATGTGTAAAGTGGGGATAATGGAACATCTGCCATATAGACGAGGCTAAGTGAAGGAATGTATAGGAAATGCTTAGTGTATAATAAAGGTTCACAGTTATATGTTACTATTATTGTTATTAGCAATAGGATAGCCCACGATTCTTGTTTGCTATTAATAGTGCTTTAATCTGATTTGTTTTCTATGCTTTCATTATAAACATCTACTAACTTTTCTCTACCTTGCTCCAACTTTATTGTTGTGGATGTATCTGGGTAGGGGGAAAAGGTTGAGAATATTCAGTACAATGCCAGCAAGTATTTCGAGTTCTTTTGAGGCTCTGTGAAAGCACTGTGGGTTTTTTTTCTTTTCTTTTCTTTTTTTTTTTAAAGAGGAGAAAAATGTAATCCTGCTCTGCCTTCAAAACTTCTGCAATCCAGTGGAAACACTAGTTAAATATGAGACAGTAAGAGGAGTGCTAAATAGAGATGCACTGAGCCTCAGTGCTCAGTTACAGGAAGTCAGAGGGTGTGGAGGAATTCCCCAGGGCTTCAGAATGTCAAGAGGCAGCACTGTGGGCAAGCTGAGTAAATCATCTTGGTCAAGATGAGAGTGGGAACTCCAGTGGGGCCCCACACTGTTGGTGAGATTTATGAGTATTAGAAGCTGTAACTAAGAACTTTATCTTCCAACTGCTCAGAACTGCATGACCAAAAGCTGTCAAGAGTGTATTAGTAACAATATGATTACTCCTTGATCACAGGCAATTGATACCCAAGAAAGAATTAAACCTCTTTAGAGGTTTAAACATAAATAAATAAATTCTGAAAAGACAGAGAAAGCTGTTTATAGCATGATTCCCTTCTGTCTCCCTCCCAAAATGTTAACCCTGTCTCTCTCTTTGGGGTATGGGAGATTTTTTTTTTCTCTAAATATTTCTACCTTTGTTAAATTATTTTAAATAAAAATGAACATGTAATGAGTCATTACTTTTTTCCAGTAACTGTTTGAAATGCTATTAGTAGCAGCTCTTTGTTAGTGTTCATTCCGGGGAGGGAGGGGTCAGATTCACTGTAGAGGTCTTTCTGGAGCTTTAATTTATTATTATTTTTAGAGACAGGGTCTCACTATGTTGCCCAGGCTGGTTTTAAACTCCTGGGCTCAAACAGTCCTCCCACCTCAGCCTCCCAAGTAGCCGGGACTACAGGTGTGGGAAGCCGAGCCCTGCTTGATGGGGCTTTTATAATGGGACTGGTGTGTCTAGATAGGACCATTCAGACTATCTGTCTGTTTAAAAACCATAGCAGATAGTCTAATTGTTTATGATATGTTCCATTTGAAGTAAAATAAATCTGTTGAAGGTTTTGCTTGCATGTCTCTGTTGCTTTCATTCCTGGCAAGGGCAGATGGCTATTTCTAATCCGTCAATCAATCTAAGCCAGTGAGAGTGCCTGGTGTCGTTTATCAAAATACCACCATGGTGAGTCAGGCTGTTAGTCTCAAAGCAAGCAGATGCAGGGCCAGATACCTTTGCAGACTTCTTCATCGGCTAGCTGTACTCTATCCCTAGGCCTCAGTTTCCTCCCCTGTGAAATGGGTGAGACTGGACTAGGTGGCCTTTAAGGTGACTGCTGCTTTTCACTATCTGAGAGGGTTGCAATGCTCACTACCACTAATCAAAGGGTATCCAGTATTGTTGGGGGTTCAGGCTACAGGAGCCCATTTTGATAAGCACTGAGGTTAAATCCTCAGTGAAACCATCTGTGGAGTTGTCTGGGCAAGAAAAAGTAGTTTCATAGTTGACGCTGAGACATGTGATGCAGAAGGAGGCTGGTATCTCTTGATAGGGACTGTGAACTCTATTCCCACGCTCACTGCCTGGCATTGACTTTCAGCTCAGTGAATGCTATTGAACTGAACCTAATTGGGGGACCATAAAGGACAAGCTTTCCTTAAGGTTCACTGAAAACTAGGACAAGAGGAGGTTAAATATCACAGTGTAGTAACAGCAGCTACATTTACTGAGTACCCATCAGGCTTTATGTACTCCATTTCAGTGGCCCTCAAACTTTACCAGTGGAGAATCACCCCAGGCTTTGCAGAAGGCTGAAGGGTGGGGTGGCGGGGGGGCGGTGGGGAGCGTGGTGGGGGCGGTGAGGGGTGAAAATTTGTGTTAAAAAAAACTTCCCAAGTGATGTTGATCAGGAACTGTATTTTGAGAGCCACTCTGGATTTTACTTAATTATCAGTCTTACAAGGTGAATAGTGTTATGCCCACTTTATAAATGAAGAAATAGAAGTGTCTAAGGGTTTCGTAGCTCACAACTGAGAAGAATTTAAAATCAGTTACTTTTGATTCCAAATATCATTCTTGTCCCACTCCATAGAAGGAGATGTGTGTGTACGTGTATATACATACATTTTTGAACATGATCATTTCCCTCTATCCAGCCATCCAGATTCACAGTGTATATTTGTATTTCTGACTCTAGAAGAAAATAATTGAAACTTTTATCACAATTTATCTTTAGGTGATAGGATTATGGGTGTTCTCAGTTATTCTTTGATTTTTGTGATTGTTTTCCTTTATACTTTTTTCTTTGTATCTAAATATACACATTTATCTCAGGAAAAGTTTTAATCATTTTGTTTCCGCTGAACTTATCTAACAGAATGTGACATGAAAATATTAATGCTGATTTGTTCAAAGAAAATAATAATCTCCCACCCCACCAATGTAAACGGATTTAGATAAATTTATTATTCAAGTGAGTACTTATAAAGGCAAAGACTTTGGAACCATCCTGAAAAGCAGAAAGTGAAAATTTCCTTGATCTTTGCCCCCAGAGGAAAGCTCTGGCATACTGGGAGGGTTCTTCACGAATTTTTCATAGAATATACCAATATTTTGTATAATTACGTATTAACATATAGTTTGTGTAAACGCATAATGTATTGTCTACATTTTCACGCTGCAGAGCAACATTATGCACGGTATAAGATTCACCTAATTAAGCGTAGGTAATTAAGATTATAATTACAGGGCAAGACTTTAAAGCCCATGGGAGCCCAGCCGCAGTCAACCTCGCACCTCCCTGCCGGTTGTGTTTCTGGCCTCGCCCCTCCCCGCTTCGCCAGCCCCGCCCCTCCCCGCTTTGCCAGTCCCGCTCCTCCCCGCCCTGCCGCGCGTGGGCACCTGGGAAGAGGCGGAGAACAATATGGCGGATGGCGAGGAGCCGTAAGTACCGGGGCTCTGCAGACGCGCCGGGCTGGGCTGGGTTGTGAGAGAGCGCGGCGGTGGGCGGTTGCCGCCGCCACCCGGGGTCCCCACACCCCCCGCCCCGTCCCCTCGCCCCCCTCCCCTCGCGGCGCCCAGTGTGTAGCGCGATGCTGACCCTTCTTTTATTCTCTCTTTTAGGGAGAAGAAAAGAAGGAGAATAGAGGAGCTGCTGGCTGAGAAGTTAGTGCTGCCGGGAGGCCGGGGCCCTCTCCGGGGACCCCCGCCTCCCCCCACCCCAGGCCTAGGGGACCAGCCGCAGCGGGCCCGGGGGGCTGGGAGGGGGACACCCGGAGCGCAGGCCGCGCTGCCTCATCCCCTGATCCCCGCCCCGCAGCCCCGGGGGCCTGGCGGGCCGCTCCCGGTATCTGCCCGGTGCGGGCGTCGGGGCCAGGCTGTACTGCCCCAGCTCCTGCAGGGGCCCTCCGGGGTGCTTGACGTAAAGGTCTTGAGGAAGGACCCTTGTGCACTCCTCTTCCTCCATCCCAAATTGTCAGAGCAGTGACCCTGTGAAAAGGCAATCTACCTTAAACACACAGGAAAAGGACACAAGACCGTTTTGTGGCCTTTTGCAAACACTGAGACAGTAGTACTAATTGCAAACTTTTAATGATAACTCTACATGTCAGGTATTGTACTAAGCACTCCAGTCATTTTGGCAGAATAATTGGCTCTTAAAAGATCTGGAAAGAGGTTGTTGACTTCAAACAGCCTATTTATCCCTTTTACTACACACCCTATTTCTTATCAGATGCTTAATTCTATGCTGGTGAGACAGATTTAATCGAAGTGTTTTCTAACCTGGCCAGCGCCACATAATTTACTCCCCTCCCTGCCTGGGCAGGGAAAAAATACTCTTGCATTGGTTATGGTGAGTTTGTAAATTTCCGTGCCGATTCCCAGTAGCAGTGCTTTGATCTTTATGTGTGTCCCTCAGTTGAATTTCAGCTGCAAGAGGACCGGGATGACAAACTTAATTTCACATTCTTTCCTGCCTTTTATTTCCCTCCCACTTTTACATGAAATCACAATTAAACATTGCTTACCATATCCCACGTACTGTACTGAGTCTTCTGTGTGATTATCTATATCCTCATGGCTGAAAGAAGTAGCTATGAACGGCCTGCAGATGAGGTTTATGTCTATTAAGTAATCTGCTCAAGGTCACAGTGCTGTTAATTGTGGAACCCAACACAACTCTGACATCAAAACGTATGGTTTTTATTGCTAGGCAATACTTCTTGGTCCCTTTTGTAAAAATTGGATATTACTAATATATTTGACGGTAGAAACTGTGGAGTTATAGGAAATTAGAAAATTAAAAATAATCACAACCAAACGTGAATCTTAACTAAGTATAAAATAGATGAATTTTGTAGAGGAGTCCCACCTTATTCTGTTGTATGTTCTAAAAGGTTTGTAGATGTCTATCTGTGGCGTAATTGTAATCTGAAACTTTGTGTTTAGTGGCAAGAAAAGCCGTCCCACAGCATTAAGAGATTCTTTAAAAAATTAAGACCTCTGCCAGGTTCGGTGGCTCATGCCTGTAATCCCAGCACTTTGGGAGGCCGAGGTGGACGGATTACTTGAGCTCAGGAGTTTCAGACCAGCCTGTGCAACATGGCGAAACCCGTCTCTACTAAAAATACAAAAATTGGCTGGGTATGGTGGCATGTACCTGTAGGCACAGCTACTTGGGAGGCTGAGGCAGGAGAATCACTTGAGCCCAGGAGGGCAAGGCTGCAGTGAGCTGCAGTCACACCACTGCACTCCAGCCTGGGCAACACAGTGAGACTCTGTCACAAAAAAAGAAAAAGAAAAAGAAAAAATAACCTTATTTCTGAGAAAAGTGTGTGAAAATTCCTCTCATCAAAGTGATTTTTAGATTACACCTTTGGAAAGGACACATAAATATTAAATTTGCATCAGACATATAAGCATCAGAATTCTGAAAGTGTGACTTTTTTTCTCTGTTGTATCTCATATTTCCTAATGCAAGTGTGATGAAACAACAGATTGAGGAAGCTTGCAGTGTTTTTTTTGTAAATACCAAATGTAGAGAAGTCAATTTCTCACATAATAGACCAATATCCTAAGTTGAACCTTGGATTGCTTTAGGAAACCAAAAACATGTAGACTGATTTATTTCATCCATTGGGTGAAATAAAAATAGAAACGTGCAGTTCTTAACTTTAAATGAATTGTATAATAGGCAAGAAAAAATTTCAAAGCATAAACATAATCACATTGAATATTTTCCTTTTTATTTGAGCAGGTCTGGTGTGGTTACCTTTTCATTTGGGGATACCATAATAGTTGTAGGTGTGGTTTTTTTCATACTGATCTTTGCAGCTGAATTTACTGTGTTCTGTGCAGAATGGCTGTTGATGGTGGGTGTGGGGACACTGGAGACTGGGAAGGTCGCTGGAACCATGTAAAGAAGTTCCTCGAGCGATCTGGACCCTTCACACACCCTGATTTCGAACCGAGCACTGAAGTGAGAAACGTTTATTTTTAAATAACTGCTCTAATAGTTTTATGTTTCAAAACTAATAGAATGCTTCTTTTTTAATTTGCTCTTACAATGAAAATACTAATAAAATTGTTTTGTGAAACTAAATTTTTCTTAAAATATGAGATTGAATATTCACAACTGATTTTGTTTGAATATTTGAGTCTTAACATTTCTCATGTAATATAAGTTGAAAATTTTTGTGAGAAAAATCTAACTTCATGACCTCATGTAAAAATTTAAAATGCTTTCTGAAACATACTCCCCTTTTGTAGTGCTACTGTGAGAAATTAATTTTGATAGGAGTATAGGTGTGCTTACTTAAATTTTGAAATTTAGTTGGAATGAACATCTTAGCTTTGAGTATAATTAATTGCATGTTAAGAATTATGTAAGTACTAAATAATAGAGGCGTAGAATTTTGGACTGATAGTGTCTATCTTAAGGCAAGTGTTCACTTATATGTCACTTTTTTTTATTACAGGGTAGGGAAAAGTATAGCACATCTTTATGTGCTTTTGTATTTATAAAAAGATAGTATTTTGAAATAGAAATATTGTGTTACTCCCATAAATTAACGTGCAAACTCTTGGTTTGGCCCAGTGTCTCATGTGAATAACTTTCTCCTTTAATGCTGGGCAGAACTGAAAGCATTAAAAATAAAAAAAAAAAAAAGAAAAAGAATTGAAAGTATTAATTCTGTCTTTCTTTAGATAACACACCATATTTTCTTGTGCTTCTAAATTTTTTTTTTTGCCTGATAATTTAAGATTGTTACTTCTGTTAAATGATTGTATTTCTGCTGATAAGGAATTTTCTAAGAGTTTTATATGTTTTCGTGTTATCTCATGTTTTGTGAGTTTCGCTCACTTTATTCAAAAGGAGATGTTGGCCAGGTAAGGTGGCTCACGCCTGTAATCCCAGCACTTTGGGAGGTCAAGGCGGGAGGATCACTTGAGCCCAAGAGTTCCAGACCACCCTGGGCAACATAGAGAGAACCCATCTCTAAAAAAAAAAAGAAAGAAAAAAAGAAAAGAAAAAAAAATTAGCTGTGCATGATGATACATGTCTTTGGTTTCAGCTACTCAGGAGGTTGAGGTGGGAGGATTGCTTGACTGCACCTGGAGGTGGAGGCTGCAGGGAGCTCTGATCATGCCACTGCACTCCAGCCTGGGTGACACAGTGAGACCCTGTCTCAAAAAGGAAAAAAAAAAGCAGCTGTTACTCTTTCCCCTTCCATCTGCCGCAGATGGAGTTTTGCTTTTGTTGCCCAGGCTGGAATGCAATGGTGTGATCTTGGCTCATGGTAACCTCTGCCTCCCAGGATCAAGTGATTCTCCTGCCTCAGCCTCCCAAGTAGCTGGGATGACAGGCGCCCACCACCACACCTGGCTAATTTTTTATATTTTTAGTAGAGACAGGGTTTCACCATGTTGGTCAGGCTGGTCTTTCCTGACCTCAGGTGATCCACCCACCTCAGCCTCCCAAAGTGCTGGGATTACAGGTGTGAGCCACAGTGCCCAGCCCTGTTACTCTTTTTACCTTATTGTTTTACTCCTTTAAACACTTTGGGCAGTGCTTGATCCTCTGTTTTTTAAATTTTTAAACTTTTATATTTTTAGGAAGTCAGTTAACTGAATTTGATGTTCTCTATCCCTTTGCAAAAATTAAAAAACAAATTAGAGATAGTTTTCCTTGTTAAAAATACCCTTTAACTTTCATACAATAAAAGGCAATTTAAAAACATTAATGGCCGGACGCGGCACCTCATGCCTGTAATCCAAGAAACTTTGGGAGGCTGAGGCGGGCGGATCACTTGAGGTCAGGAGTTCAAGGCCAGTCTGGCCCACATGGTGAAACCCTGTATCTACTAAAAATAAAAAATTAGCCAGGTGTGGTAGTGCACACCTATAATCCCAGCTACTCGAGAAGCTGAGGCAGGAGAATCACCTGAATCTGGGAGGCGGAGGTTGCAGTGAGCCGAGATCCCATCAGTCACTCCAGCCTGTGTGACAAGAGCGAGACTCCGTCTCAAAAAAAAGAAAAAAAAAAGAAAAATTAACATTGAAACTTCCTGAAATCATTAGAGTTTTAGAATTCCTGGTTCAATAGAATTCACAAATTTCAAATAATTGAGCAAATACAAAGTCTCCTCTTTATCCTAGTGGCATTTTTTCCTGGAAACATCAGAAACTATTTTAAAGTTTGTTGCTTTATTTATAGTCTTTGCGGTTATCACCCAGCTTTTAATATGCCTTTCCATTCTTTACAGTCTCTCCAGTTCTTGTTAGATACATGTAAAGTTCTAGTCATTGGAGCTGGCGGCTTAGGATGTGAGCTCCTGAAAAATCTGGTAATATATATACATATATATATAAATATTTTTTTCTTCTTTGTGATAAGTAAACCTTACTTATCTGTCATACTAGGGAATTTCTCGTGATTCTTAACCTTTTCTCTTGAGCCTTTGTTAGATAAGTTTAGCATGCCAAATTCCAAACAGTAATTAAAATGGTAGAACTTTGGAACTTTTTAAATTCTAAAGCTCTCAGCTATAAAGTTATTGATAAAATTTCATACTTCAGTTTTCTTCTCTGATCTTTAACAAACAACTTTTGGTGCTTCCTCTGGCAAAACGCTCCTAACTTCAATGAAGTAAATAACAAAACTGGCAATTCATATTTTAATGTATAGTTTCAAATAATTTATTATTTCTTTTGCTTCCCCAAATAACCCAGCTAGGTGGGTAAGGCATTACCCCATTTTATATAGAGGGAGACATTGAGGTTTAGAGATGTTGACTGAGTTGCTGAAGTTTTTGTGGATTATAGCGATTTGCCTGGAATTGAATCCAGGTCATCAGTTCTTAGTTAAGTGTTCTTTTTCAGTGAACCATTAGGTCATTTTATGACCTAATAAGACGATTGTGGACACCTAAGGTTTGGGAAAGCTAAACCTTTACTGAACTTATTTGCATATATTTAGAAATAAATTAAGTATATAATTTGATTTAATTAATTGGTTTCCTTGACTTTTTCTAATCACAAAGTCGCTTTCTATAAATTTTAATGAGTTTATGTAACAAATGAGTAGAGGCAGAATTGGTTTAGAGTTGTATGCTAGGCTTCTCACTGCTGTGTAGAAAAGTGGAAATGCTGGAATAGACTCTTTAGAAAATAAAGCAGGTCACAGCCAGATGGAGGACCCAAATAATTGGCCAAGGGGGTTAAAGTTTAAATATAAACATAGCCACATTAATTTTGTTAAGAAACACTAATGTCGCTTGAGTGAAGTTGTAAAAACTTAAATATACTTCACTGTATTTAATGTCTTGCTGGGTTCTGTGGGGATTATATGTCATCGTGGTCTCTGTCTTCAATCAATCTGAAGTTTCATTGGGGAGATAAATCTCACATGAAATAAATAGCAGTATGCATGATATACTCTGTGGTGGAATGCCAAAATGACAGTACCGTATCAAACATAAATACTCTAGCAGTGTGAGAACCAAAGACTTAGAGAAGGAAAGGGTTTATGGAGGATGGGCATTGGTTTTTGTTAGGTATTATAAATGTACAAGTTTCCTAAAGCTTATTAAATTTTGAAGCCATTATTTGCAAATGTGACATTTACTAATTTTAAGTGTAAAATAATTGAAGATTAGATCTGAAGATTAGTCACCAAGCAACTTTAAGGAGTGACCTCTTCTTTATTGCATTATAGTAATCTTTTACACAAAAGAAGAAAACTAAGGGTTTTCAATTTTACTCCTTGTTTTGCTTATTTAATTCATTGTAAGCCCCCTAAAGGCTCATTCTAACAAAAAAGAATATGATACTAGACTGGGCATGGTGGCTCACACCTGTAATCCCAGCACTTTGGGAGGCCGAGGCAGGCGGATCACAAGGTCAGGAGATCGAGACTATCCTGACTAACACAGTGAAACCCCGTCTCTACTAAAAAATACAGAAAACAAAAAATTAGCCGGGCGTGGTGGCAGGTGCCTGTAGTCCCAGCTACTCGGGAGGCTGAGGCGAGAGAGTGGCGTGAACCCGGGAGGCAGAGCTTGCAGTGAGCCGAGATCACACCACTGCACTCCAGCCTGGGCAACAGAGCGAGACTCCGTCTCAAAAAAAAAAAAAAAAAGATACTAATATTACTGATTGAGCAAATATTTATTGAGCCTCCATCCCATATGCCAAGCACCATTTTAGATGCTGAAGATACAGCATTGAACAAATACAGAAAGGTGTTTGCATTGGTGGGACTCACATTTTAGTTGAATGAAAAAGTAAGTATATAGTATGTCAAATGGTGTGAAGGGAAAAGGTTTACAAAAAGGTGCTATTGAGTACAAAGGTGAGCAAATGAGCCATACAGTTATCTGTAGGAAGAATATTCTAGTTAGAGAGAATAACAGGTACAAAGCTGTGAAGTGGAGCACTCCTGTTTGTTCAAGGACTGCAAGGAGGCTATCATCGCTAGAGCAGAAGTGGGTTGGGGGAGCATTTTTGGAGACCATATCAGACAGATAATGGGAGATGGAGGGGCTTGGAGTGGATATCACAAAAGACTTTGGAGGTTACTGTAAGTGCTGTCGCTTTTACTCTGAGTCATGAAGTCATTGGAGAGATTTATGCAATGAGAGACTTGATTGGCTTTTCACCTAGGTTACTGAGGCTGATGCATTGAGAATAGACTAAGGGAAGAGCAGAGAGGGGGAAGAAACAGAGAGACTAATTAGATTATTATAGTCCTCTAGACAAGAGACAACGTGACTTGAAACAGGATGGTAGCATTGGATGTGGTGACAGGTGGTCAGATTATGGATATATTTTGAAGATGGAATCAACAGGATTAGCTGATGGATTGGTGGTGTGCTGTGAGAGAAAGGAATCGAGGATGATACAACAAGGTTTTTGCTCTAGGGGCGGGCACCTGGAAAGATGGAGTTACTGCAATGAGGAAGTTACTGCAATGAGGAAGATCTGGAAAAGAACAGATTTGGTTGTTGTGAGCAAGGGTGATCAAGTTTGGTTTTGGAAACTGTTAAGTCTGAGATGTCTGCTAGATGGTCTATATCTTACAAGATGGTCTGAGATCACCAGAACAAAGCACAAGGCTACTCCGAATTCTGGCCAGTAAAGTAGGAAGAAAACTGAATGAACTGGAAACCAATTTTTAAAAAGTGTTTAAATTCTCATGAGTGTGGTGACCAACTGAAGAACATGTTTTAGGGTGGAGGAAGTGACCCACCCAGCCTAATACCTCAGAAAGGTAAGGTCAGATAGATTGAGAATTGGTCATTGGAGTTAGCAACACGGAGGTTATTGGTGAACTTGACAAGTACAGTTTCTGTGGAGTTTGAGAACAGTCAGGACTTTGAAAGCACAAATATGGATAAGTCTTGAAGATCTCTTGGTATATAGGGGGACAGAAAAATGAGGAAATTATTGTCAAGTTATTTGATCATCGAAGTAAACTGACCAAGACCAGAAAAGTTAGTTATTGAGACTTATTTTTTTCAGTTTTTTGCATCTGCTGCTAAATTTGAATGTGGTTGTACTGTTCAGAATGCATGGCATTATTATGGAAACCTAACAGGTTTTTTGTTTTTTGCCTTTCCCTGCTTTTTAAATTGCATGCTCTTGATTCAATATCTTTTAAGATACTCCTTTTACAAATACAGCCTACCCATGTGTGTGTTTTTATAATATATGTCTTATAATAGTTACCATTTCTGAATTGTGGCATGCTTAATATTAAGTAAACTAAAATAAAGCTTGTAGAATTGCTTTTAACAATATTTTGAAAAAATAATAGCAAGCATAGTAAAATTAAAGTATCCATCAATAGCAGCAAAGCAACAAATTTTACAAATGTGTTTATGGAATTATATATATATGTAAAATAGTTTCAATCCGTAGAAATTTTGAGTTGTTCTCTTTTGGTTATAGATTATTTGAAACTGAGTGATTGTACACTTTTGACCTGTTCAAGAACTCTGAATTTTATATACCTTGCAAGAGTCTTTCAGCCATTGAATACAAATTACACAGAATTTATTACTGAGAATTTGTAGACTTAAGACTACATTGAAAACAAATGTTACGTTTTTAAATGTGAGGAAACTTCTGCTTAATTGGATTGTTTTTATTCCCACAGGCCTTGTCTGGTTTTAGACAGATTCATGTTATAGATATGGACACTATAGATGTTTCCAATCTAAATAGGCAGTTTTTATTTAGGTAAGTTTTAATATCTTAGCGGTTTTCTTTTTTTAAGCTCTGATAATCATTTGAACTTGTACATTGCAGTTTAATAATTTTTAAAAATGACTTGAGAGGATAATACTAATTTTATTTTAAAAAACAAAAACTACCATTCCCATTGTAGGTAAAGTTTTGTAAGAAAATTTTGGGCATCTTGGTGATAGTAGTTATGTAAACAAATACATGTTTTTGTTTTTTCGAAGAAGTCTCCTTCCAAAGGTTTATGTGATTTTTGGGAATATCCTCAGGTTAACTGTGCTCTGAAGAAAGGAAAGAACGGTAGCTCTTCCTCCAGTTGATGTCAGAAGAGAATACTCGCTGGAGTATTAGGCCCTAGTGAGAGATTGGCAGGGATTTGTGAGCCAAGGTTTGAATGGTGACTGGAGCAATAAAGTTGGGAAAGAGTTTGAGCTTTTCCTACAAGGGGAAAGAAAATGGAAAGTCGAGGAGAGAAAAACCAGAACCAATTGGAATGGAACAAAGAGGGATGGTTACCTTAGGCATATATGGAATATAGAGAACATCAAGGAGTGATTTGTTAAAGATGAGTTTAAGAAGAGAAGTAGAGGCCAGGCATGGTGGCTTACACCTGTAATCCCAACACTGGGAGGCTGAGGTGAGAAGATTGCTTGAGCCCAGGAGATCCAGACCAGCCTGGGCAACAAAGGGAGATTTCGTCTCTACAAAAAAATTAAAAAATTAGCCGGGTGTGCACCTGTGGTCCCTGCTGCATGGGAAGCTGAGGTAGGAGGATCGTTTGAGCTCAGGATCTGGAGGCTGCAGTGAACTGTGTTCATGCCACTGTACTCCAGCCTGGGCAACAGAGCGAGACCCTGTCTCAAAAACAAAAACAAAACAACCCAAAAAACAAAAACTGAAGTAGACCATGTATCCAGACATGAAGAAATGTTCATTCATGAATTTAGTATGTAATATTGAGGGGTTTGAGTAGTTTAGGTAAAAGTGTATATTTGTTAGTCAAAGATACACAGAGATAAGGACTTTTTTTTTCTCTCTCTATTTAGGAAGTTTGCATCTGTTACTGACAGTGCTCAAATTGTTCTGGGTATATAGGATAAAGTTGAGCTAGCAAAAAAGGTAACATTAAGTTTTTGGATAGGCATAAAACCTCTACATTATCTTTGTGGAAGATCTTAATGGGACTGAAGTATGGATTAAAATAAGTTAATGAAGTGTTGTAATTGCAGTGTGACCCTTAATGTTTAACTTTTAAGCTTTATTTTTTGTTTATTTTTTAACCTTTGAAATTTCCCTTCTCTATAGCAAAGTTTGTGGGCTCTGTCCAGCTTGTCAAATTTTGAGTTGTGAATTCTCTGAAAAAGATACCACTGAATTGATTTGTTATTGATACAGGCCATACCCTTTAATTTGTGGCTAAAATGGTTGAAGATGGTAATAACGATATGTAGCAAGTACTTCTAAACTATCCATATTATTCCATTTAATCTCAGCAACCTCAGGGTAGGTTCTTGTGTTCAAGGTTAAATAATTTGGGCAGAGTGTCCTGCAAGGATGATGTGTGTGAAAGGCCATTTTATTGAGGTGGAGCAATCTGATTGTTTCATCCTGGAATGGTAAATTAACAAACAGTTCCCAGAAACCATCTAGGAGTTCTTTTGTTTGGGCCGTGCCATAAAAGCACATAGAATATATTACTTAAAATAATCTTAGAAGTCTACTTTATCCCTTTTACAAACCAAAAGAGCTTTCTGTGTGTGGAGCCATTGAATGCAATACTGAAATTAAGTTCTTTGATTTATAACAGGGCCTTTTTTATGTAAGTTAGTACAAAGTGAAGATAAAACATTTACCAAAAGTTTTGAATCAAAAAAGAACAGTGCTTTATTGGAGAGAAAAAAAATTGGCCTGGCATGGTGGCTCATGCCTGTAATCACAGCACATTGGGAGGCTAAGGTGGGCGGATCACTTGAGGTCAGAAGTTCGAGACCAGCCCGGCCAACACGGTGAAACCCTGTGTCTACTAAAAATACAAAAATTAGCCAGGCGTAGTGACTCATGCCCGTAGTCCCAGCACTCTGGAGGCTGAGACAGGAGAATTGTTTGAATCTGGGAGGCAGAGGTTATAGTGAGCCGAGATTGTGCCACTGCACTCCAGCGTGGGTGACAGAGCGAGACTCTGTCTCAAACAAACAAAAAAAAAGAAAAGAAAAATTGACATGCTAAAGTGTTTTTCTTTGAAATTTCAGATTTTTTTCTAATAAGCACACGATTTATTATTTTCATTTATTTTAAAAGTATTTACTGTGTGCTAGGTAGGAAGGAATATGAAGAGAGTAAGAACATGGTCACTTTCATCCAAATAATAGTCTAGTGGGTATGATAGACGTGTATGTAGCAAATATGTTACGAAAAAAGTAATAATGTTCTTATTATATACATGGAGTGATTTCTCTGAGGAGAATATGGAAATATTAGGAAAGAAAATACCATTTGTATAGAACTTAGAGGAGGAAATTCATATCCTTTCCTATCTATATGTGTGGTTATTGTTTTAAGAGTGACCTTTTGAGGCCTTATATATTCAGCTTCTGTGATGTAATAGTAACATTTGCAATTTTAGCTGACACTTTTGGTATTATTCTTTCTTTAAAAACTTGGTGCCGGGCATGGTGGCTCATGCCTGTAATCCCAGCATTTTGGGAGGCTGAGGCGGGCAGATCACCTGAGGTCAGGAGTTCGAGACCAGCCTGACCAACATGGCAAAACTAAAAATACAAAAACTAGCTGGTTGTGGTGGCAGGCACCTGTAATCTCACCTCCCTAGAGACTGAGGCATGAGAATTGCTTGAACCTGGGAGGCGGAGGTTGCAGTGAGCCGAGATCGCACCACTGCACTCCAGCCTGGGTGACAGAGTGAGTGAGACTCCGTCTCAAAAAGAAAAAAGAAAAAAACGTGGTTACAGCCTCTTTTTTTTTTTTTTTTCCATTTTATATACGGTCCAGTGAAATTTTTTTTTTCTTTTTTTTTCTTTTTCATGCAGCTTCTTAGGGGACACAAAATTTGCTGCTTAATCAGCACACACAGGAAGAAGGGGTTAAATGAAGGTTCTTGCATCCCAAGGATGAATCTTATTGTGTATATTTCAGCCAAGACCTGTGGAGTAACACCATAAGGTTCTGAGCTCTAAGAGTGGGATAATTTTTTACAGTGGAAAGTGGCCAGGAATCATAGCATTATTATGCTTTATCTGGGAGGAAGAACACTGTTCAGATTTTCTCTTAATTAAAGCAATACTTAATTAGACTTATGTTAATTTGGACCATTAGCAAGGGTTGACATTTAAGGTTAAATGACCGTTTACCAAAAGTTATTACTGAAATCAAAATACTTAGGCAAAAATATTCCTTCTAAATTTCCTATAAGTAAACTTACTGTGAATTTACTTTTATGTTTGAAAATAAGTTATGTAGATCATATAGATTTATAATATGAATTATAATTTAAATATTTTTCCTGTAGGCCTAAAGATATTGGAAGACCTAAGGCTGAAGTTGCTGCAGAATTTCTAAATGACAGAGTTCCTAATTGCAATGTAGTTCCGTATCCTTTTGACAAAAAGAAAATTACTTAATTTTTAAAAGCTTTTTTCCTTTATTATAAGAGATATTTAACAGAGAATACAGATAAGCAAGAGGGAAAAAAAGTCAGCAGTAGTAACTTTATTACTGAGATAACTGCTGGTAACATTTTGCTATCTATTCTTCCAGTCTTTTCTGTATGGTTATATAAATATTTTTTGGGCCCTGATTTTTAACTTAAGTTTATAAAGCCTGTTTCATCATCTACTTTATTTTGCATTATTGCCCTTAATTTCAGTATCAATTACATATCTCCTTTACTAGAGTGTAAATTCCTAGGCTGGATCCAATTAATCTTTGTTTCTTTATAGTAGCAGACAGAGTAGACAGTCAATATAGTATTAGCCAAATGGAAGGTACATCACAGTAAATTTATTTTTACAAGAAATATGTTTTTAAAAAGGAGTATTTACACTGTAGTTTGAATTTAGATCTGGAGAACTTTTGGCATTTTATAGAAAGTCAGAAGATGTGATTTCTATGTAGAAAGTCCCACAGAATACAAAATCAACATACCGGTGAACTTGTGAAAGTTAATGTAAAATACAATGCCATTTACAACTGCTTAGAAAGAAAAATAAATACTTAGATGTAAACTACAAGATAAGTAAGAGATTTATATAGTGAAAAACTACAAAATGCTGATGAAAGAAACCAAAGAAAATCTAAATAAATGGAGAGATAGTCCATCTTCAAAGATTGGAAGATTAAATATAGTAAAGATGTCATTTCTCCCTAAATTTGTATACATATATACCATAGTTTCTATTAAAATCCCAGCAAAATTGTCGATATAGACGATCTTCTAAAATTTTATATAGAAAAGCAAAGGAATACCTACTACAAATCTGAAAAAGAAAGTGGGAGGAATCACTATCCAAATTCTAGACTTATATAGCTATAGTAATCCAGACTCAGTGGCGTTACCAGAGGGATATATAGATGACTAGAACAGAATAGGGAAGCCAGAAATAGCCCCATATAAGTATGGCCAATTTGTTTTTGATAAAGGTGCAAAACAGTTCCAATGGAAGAAGCATAGTCTTCAACAAATCGTACTGGAGCAATTTCATATCCATAGTTAAAAGATGAATTTTGACCTAAACATACAAAATTAACTCAAAATGGATTATAGGTGTAAATATAAAATATAAAATGAGCCAGGCGTGGTGGCTCATGCCTGTAATCCCAGCACTTTGGGAGGCCGAGGTGGGTGGATCACTTGAGGTCAGGAGTTCGAGACCAGCCTGGCCAACATGGTGAAACCCCGTCTCTACTAAGAATACAAAAATTAGCCGGGCACAGTGGCTCCCAGCTACTCAGGAGGCTGAGGTGGGAGAATCGCTTGACCCTAGGAGGCTGAGGTTGCAGTGAGCTGAAATTGCGCTACTGCACCCCAGCCTGGGCGACAGAGCAAGGCTCCATCTCAAAAAAACAAAAAAAAACACAAAAAACCATAAAACGATAGAACTTTAGGGTTTGGTGGAGAGTGCTTAGGCCACGTCAAAAGCAAGACCTGTAAAAGGTGGGGTATGGTGGTGCAGATCACTGAGGAAGCAGTGAGCTTTTATCATACCACTACAGAGTCCTGGCTGCTTGGGAGGCTAAGGTGGGAGGATTGCTTGAGACTAGGAGTTTGAAGCTATAGTAGGCTGTGGTCATACTGTGAATAGCCACTGCATTCCAGCCTGGGCAATGTAGTGAGACATCATCTCTAAAAAATTAAAATAATTTTTTGTAAAAGCATGAGCCATAAAAGGAAAAAATTGATACACTGAACTTCATCAAAATTAAAAACTTGCTGTGTGAAAGACCCTCTTAAACGGATGAAGAAAAGCCACAGACTGGAGAAAATACTTGTAAAGCATCTGATGGAGGACTCATATCTAGAGTATATAATGAACTCTAAAAACTCAACAGTAAAACAAAAAAAAATTCAATTAGAAAATAGACAAAAGATAGGAAGAGATATTTTACTAAAAAGGATGACGAAAAGCACATGAAAAGATGTTTCACATCAAACTAAGACCACCATGAGCGATACTGTTACACAACTATTAGACTAAAAAAAAAAAGCCAGTCTCAAAAGGTCATATACTGCATGATTCTGTTTATATAATACTCTTGAAATTACAGAATTATAGAGATGGCTGGGTGTGGTGGTTCAGGCCTGTAATTCCAGCACTTTGGGAGGCTGAGGCGGGAAGATCACTTGAGCCTGGTTGTTTGAGAACAGCCTAGGCAACAAATGAGACCCTATTTCTGTAAAAACTAGAAAAATTACCCGGGCATGGTGGCACATGCCTGTAGTCCCAGCTATGTGGGAGGCTGAGGCAGGAAGATCAGTTAAGCCCAGGATGTGGAGGCTGCAGAGAGATCTTTATTGTGGTCGAATAGTTATGTGTGTTGCCTGGGGTGGTGGTTACACAAATCTATGTGTGTTTAAATGACAGAATTATAAACACACATTGTACCAATGTTCTGTTCATGGTTTTGGTACTGTACTATAGTAAGATGTAACTGGGAAAGGTGCATGGTACCTACCTATACTATCTGTGCAACTTACTGCGAATCTATATTATTTCAAAATAAAGAGCTTAAAAATGCAAATACAGGCCCCTGTAGGGAAAAAGGAAGAGTTGGTGGGGGTGGGTTGGTTAGTGGGGGGCACTCAGTTTGTCTATCCCCATTATGTGGGTCTGGGAAACTTTGGGTATTTTCTAGAAATCCAGATTAGATTTCTTAGTCTGGCTCTTGGTTCCCTGATTGCCATTCCTCCACTGTTTGCTTTGTTTCTTTTTTGACCTCTTTCTAGCTGTAGCTTCGTTCTCCTGCTTGCCTAGCATTCAAAGGGAATAGAGGTCTGAATGACTGAGGGCTAGAATTGAAATTATTGTTCATAGCTTTATTTGTAGGCAAGAATTAAAAATCTAGAGGAAGCATGTATTGTCCCTTTTTTCTATGTATTGTCCCTTTTTTCTCTGTATTGCTTTTAAAAAATTTATAGTGGACTATTTATCTTAACTTTAGAGAAGTTGCATAATTTATAAATTATTAAACAATTGCTCCATTCATTAGAAAAATTAAAACAAGTTTTTGCACACATGTGCTATTAAAACATTAAGTGCTATATTGACTCACCCACAATCAGTTTTGAATGGAGTTTCCTTTTTAGCCTCCAGGGATGGGAAGACTGGTAATAGGATTTGGTAGGGTAACTTGAAAACTGAGTTAAATGAGAAAGGTAGAAAAAATTCGTACTTTTTCTCCTCCCCACAAAAAATAAAAACAGTAAAATCTTTACCAACTGAAAAAGCTGTTGAAATTTTCTGTATGTTAAAAAAATGAGCTTTGCAGTAACTCTTAAAATCACCTAGCAAAATAGGAACTATAATGTGCATCTTTCCTTCACTAAAACATTTATTGCATCTCTTCTTGATGCTGATGATTGAGGACACACATTCTGCTTTCCTGGGGCTTATGGTTTTATATAAAAACCAAAGCAAAGTAGAAAGTATACCTCCTACCAAGGGCATAAATATAATGATATAGGGGTTCAGGAATGAGAAAAAGTAAGTAGTTAGGGGAGGAATGGCAGAAAAGTTTTGTCAGAAAGGAGAGTTGTGTTCATTTAGTCAGATTCCTTGAATTCCACTGATGTGAACATTGATTACTTATTTCTTGTTGTAAATATATGCAGAGTGTGTTCCTTATGGCATTGTCAAATTCATTTTAGAAATTAAAACTTAGCTGCTTAAGTTCCTTTACTTGTATTCAGACATTTCAACAAGATTCAAGATTTTAACGACACTTTCTATCGACGTAAGTTTTTTACTTGAAATTAATGCTCACTAGATTCTTAGAATTTTTTAGTTGGTAGCTATTCAAATATTGCTAGCTATTTCAAGGCTATTTCTTCACTTGCTTTCCTCTCTCACTGTTGGCTTTTCAGTAATGTTGCTGATAGACTGAAAAGAGAATGCTAGTTTTAGCTGACATGACCAGCTACAAGTTTCTATGCTTACCTGAATGAGAGTTCACTCAAGGAATTGGAGCTCTGAGAACGTATGTGGGATTACAGTAAAAAGTGCTTGTGGTTTTTTTGTTGGTTTCTTAGAACGTGCAAATTGTTTTCTGCAAGTGCTTTTTTTTTTTAATTAGTAAACTTTATTTTTTAGGGCAGTTTTATGTTCACAACAAAATTGAACAGAAAATTTTTGAAAACTTGGGTTCTCATAGAGCTTCCTGTTCCCACAAACACACTACCTTCCTAATCAACATCTTGCACCAGAGTGGTACATTTGTTGCAGTTGATGAATCTACATTGAAAGATCATCATGCAACTACATATTTAAAAACTAAAGTTGCTTTTTTTTTTTTTTGTAGAATTTCATATTATTGTATGTGGACTGGACTCTATCATCGCCAGAAGATGGATAAATGGCATGCTGGTAAAGACTTTAGTATTGTTATAGTTCTCTGAAGTTCTTGCTGCTGTGCTTCACATCCCCAAAATTAGAATTGATATATTTTTGAAAAATCAGAGTTTAATTTTTAATTAAGTATATTTACTTCATTGTTTATTGCCAGTCATTGGTTTTCAGGTGAAGACACAAATTGTTATTATAATCCCTTGATTTGATACATTGGTATTCAATAGCACAACCGACTCATAGGATTACTTGAAAGCATACTTCTTCTTTTGAATTCTTATCCCCTTCTCCTTTAAAGCCCTTCAAATTGTTTTCCTAGATATCTCTTCTAAATTATGAAGATGGTGTCTTAGATCCAAGCTCCATTGTCCCTTTGATAGATGGGGGGACAGAAGGTTTTAAAGGAAATGCCCGGGTGATTCTGCCTGGAATGACTGCTTGTATCGAATGCACGCTGGAACTTTATCCACCACAGGTAATCAAAAAAGCACCTGCATTTCTTTTATAGTATCTTGGCATGGAATTAGGGATTAATTATTAAGTCTAGTTAATATTTAGGATTGTTAATTAGAAGTGGCCGTATTTTAAAAATTACACTAAGAAGAAAGATAAAATATGAAATTCTGCTCTATTTGAGGAAAGATATGAACCGAGTACATTGTTTTGATACTATTCTGCTTTCATAATTTATTTGTATTTTTTATTTGGGGAGTAGGTATCAAGTAGAATTACAAAGTTGTATATTGATGTCAAGCTGTAATCTATGTGGTTTTCACCTGTATTTATTTCAGGGAAATAAAGATACCAGGGATAAGAATGATCTTTCCAAGGATGGGGCTTTTTGGTTTACATATCCACTTTAAAGAACACTTGAAATTTTGAATAATAAATGTAAACAATTTTATGAGTATTCACTTGGGATTCACTTAACTCTGAACTTGCTTTTGTTTTGGTTTGCTTTATACTTAAATATTAGGTAAAAATAACAAGGTGTTCATATTTGAGAAAATCTGTTCAGTATTTTTCTTCTCATAGTCTAACAAAGCTTAAATTTTATACCTTGTAAATGTAGGGCAAACCTGTCTTTACAGGCAGTGCAGCCTAAGTGAAGTGACTCAGTTAATCTGTATTATAGTTTGAGAGGCATTTTTAATGGTATACAATATTTTGAGTTGAAACAAATTGTATGAAATTGTTAAGAACTAGATCATAACTGGAAGTTGCATTTTAAAATAATTCGTTTAAAATTCACTGAAAAGGACAAACTGTGGTTTTAGGTTAATTTTCCCATGTGCACCATTGCATCTATGCCCAGGCTACCAGAACACTGTATTGAGTATGTAAGGATGTTGCAGTGGCCTAAGGAGCAGCCTTTTGGAGGTAATAAACCTAATTTAATAATCTAGAATTACATAAAATACATATTTTTTCTATATTATTCCTTTGGATAATTTCATTAAAAACATTGTTTTGTGATTACGTATTCCTGTCTTCTCTCTCTCTCTCTCTCCCTTTTTTTTTTTAAACAGAAGGGGTTCCATTAGATGGAGATGATCCTGAACATATACAATGGATTTTCCAAAAATCCCTAGAGAGAGCATCACAATATAATATTAGGGGTGTTACGTATAGGCTCACTCAAGGTAAGTCAGCAAATTGTCATGAATTATGATGTTGGGATGACTTAGGGCTGGGATGCTTTCAGGAGAATAATCGATAAGTGAGTTTAGACAGTACCATCCACTTGAAGTTCAGTAAAGGTACCATGTAATTCATACTACTTATTAGCTAGGGGGAATTTAATAAAATTATTGAATCTTACTTACTTAGGCTATAAGTCATCCAAGTCAAACTGTCCATTTTATCTTCCACTGAATTCATCATCTCTTAGAGACAGTCTATTTCACATTTGGACAGGACTGTTAGACAAATATTCTATATATTGAACAGAAATTGTCTTCAGGTCAGCTGCGGTGGCTTATACCTGCAATCCTAGCACTTCGGGAGGCCGAGGCAGGCGGATCACCTGAGGTCAGGAGTTCGAGAGCAGTCTGACCAACATGGCAACACCCTGTCTCTACTAAAAATACAAAATTAGCTGGGTGTGGTGGCACATGCCTGTAATCCCAGCTACTCAGGAAGCTGAGGCAGGAGAATCACTTGAACCCAGGAGGCTGAGGTTGCAGTGAGCCTGAGATTGCGCCACTGCTTTCCAGCCTGGGCAACAAGAGCAAAACTTCGTCTCAAAATAGAAATCGTCTTCAGTTTGGTCTGACTGTTGTCCCAGTACTGTATACAGTCTAATTCCCTTTTAAGTAATAGCTTTTAACATATTGAGGACAGTGATCACATCCTTTGCAAATTTTTATCAGTGCCATAAACCTCCCTAGTTAGTTCCTTTAACCCTGTATTAGTTCATTTTGCTTTGCTATAAAGGAATATCTGAAACTGGGTAATTTATTCAGGAAAGAGGTTTATTTGGCTCATGGTTCTGCAGGCTGTGTGAGCATGGCAAAAGCATCTGCTTGGCTTCTGGTGAGACCTCAGGAAGCTTTTACTCGTGAAAGCTAAGGGGGATGGCAAGGCATGTCATATGACGAGAGGGAGCAAGAGAGAGAGGAGGGAATACCAGGCTTCTTTTAATAACCAGCTCTTGCGTGAACTTAATATCACAGGGAGGGCACCAAGCCATGCATGTGGGATCTGCCCTAACGGTCCAAACACCTCCCACTAGGCCTCACCTCCAACACTGGGGATCACATTTCAGTATGAGATTTGGAGGGGACAGATATCCAAACTATATCCAACCCTTTGATATGTTGTACAGCTTCAGGTTCTCATGTTGTTTTTCTGTAACCATATTCCAGCTATCCATATTGGTTAACTGGAATATAGTTAGAGAAAACAACTTTTCCTAATTGTTCAGGCCAACATGCAGCATTATGGGACTGGTCTTAACTTTAGATAATAGACTTCTGATAACTGATGCAGTCTTAAAGGAGAGCAGGTATTTATGTTGTTGTTTTTTTGTTTACATTGATGCTATACTTTGGATTCTTTGATGTTACTAGCCACTGAAAGCTGGATGTTTTGTCCACATATGCAATTGCTAAGCCACATCTGCCTATTATAAACTTGGCAGTTTGGGGAGTGTCTTTTTTTTTTTGTTTTTCTTAATATCCAAGTATAGGTCCTTACAAATGTATTCTTAAAATTCAACCTGTTTTTCTCTCTTTATATGTATTCTGCCAACTTACCTGGTGTTTCTAGCTTCATTTCACCTGTTTTGATAATTATATCCTTTATTTCTTTTTCAAATAATTGATGAAAATTTTTAATAAGACTGAACTCTCTGAGAACAGACATCTGAATCATACTTCTGGCCAGGCCCTTTTAGGTTTATCTCATTCTGTTCATCAGACCTTCTTGGTACTTTGTATTTCTTTATCTTGTTCACAAGGATGTCATGAAAAACCTTTCCAGATCCTCTACTGAAGCCTAGGTATGCTATCTTTTGCATTTTCCTGAGTTGCTAAGTTAGTCATAGTAGCCAAATGAGGCTACTCCAACATGATTTGTCTAGTAACCAGTCATGCTCAATCATAGTGATCAATGTTTCCAATCTAGTTATAGTTTCCTTTTTTAGAATTTTGCCCAAGATCATTACCAGGTTCACCAGAATGAGCTTTGTCTTCTTTTTGAAAATCTGCCATTTCTCTCCTGTGATTATTTCCTTACATTTACTGATCTAGTAATGTCATTTTAAAATTCCATTTATACTTACTCCTTGTTGCCCTCTGCATTCTCCCTACACGGACCTGCTTTGTGTTCCTTGAACACACCAAGTTCTTCTGTACCTTAGAGCTTTAATACTCCCGAGTTCCTACGCCGGGGATGGTGTTTCCTTGGATCCCCTCAGGCTGGCTCCTCATCTCTTAGGTGTCTGCTTAACCAGTTTTCCTAATCATTCAACCTAAAATGACTTCTGAGCCATTCACCATTCTATTTTTTTTGGTAATTGCTCAGAACTGATTAATGGTAGCCTCATTCTCCTATGCAAAGAATATTTCACACTTAAACTATCTTACATCCTTGCCCCAGGACCAGGACCATTGCCATTGCTGTTTACAAACAGCTTTTTCTTCAGGTAATTGCATGGCTGGATCTCTCTCATGGCTTAGGTTTCAGCTCAAGTTATCACCTCTCCAAGGAGGCCTTCCCTGACCATTCTCTCTAATGGACTGCATCCATCATTCTCAGTCTAACACATACCTCATTTTCTTCATAGAACTCTTCAATATCTGAGGTGTTCCAAGTATTTACTTTTGTGTTATCTCCCCTATCAAAATGAAATCACTATACGAGCAGATACTTTTTTTCATTGTTACTATGCACAACACCTAGAACAGTGTCTGGAGCATGTGTTACACATATTTGCTAATTGTTAGAATTAACAAACGAATTCAGTGTGTTCTAACCAGAAACTGTAAACTCCCCATTTTAATATGTAGTCTCATCCATCCTTCTTTACCTTTTACCAGGGCTTGGTGTGTACTTTCTAGGCTGGTGAATGAGGGCCTCAACAAGGAGTACAGAAGGAGAATTGGAAGTGAAGTTGCACAAGCCAGTGGTTCTATCTATTCTATGATTTTTCCCCTTGTTCTCAGTATAACAGAAAGTTGCCTTTCTGCCCACTCTAGCTTTTTTTGGTCGAAGGGCAGGGGTATGGGTGGCAGGGGTTGGAGAAAGAGGGGAGTCCTCATCATTTTGGCAATGTTCTTACTGGGCAGTGTCTCTTACACGCTTCACTGTTTGTGTCTACCACTTCCTCCTTTCAGTACATCCTGCTACATGTGGTTCAGTGGAGAGCTTCCAGTTTAACCATCATGCAGTTTATCTCTTTTTAAATTTCCTCTTCTCCAAAACTATAGAGAATCATATGGTCACAGTCAACTTTTTAAAAAAGCTTTCCAGCCTTCGTAACTGTCTTTCTTTCATGTCTTCTTAGCTACTTGCTGTTTTTCCTTAAGTTTTTGAAACCTGACTATACTTGGAGTCTTGGGAACACATCTTACAGTGTTTCCTCACACTGTGAGATAAAATGGCTACTTTTTCTTGAAGTTTTTGTCTTCTAAAATGAACAATTCAAATATAGTTATAAAATGGAGTATTTATTTTGTACTTTTAAAAAATGGTTTAAGGTGAGGCTTTGTTTATTCCTAATATGTGAATAATACTGATGTGAAAAATGTGAGTCCCAGCACTTTGGGAGGCCAGGGCGGGCGGATCACAAGGTCAGGATATCGAGACCATCGTGGCTAACACGGTGAAACCCCATCTCTACTAAAAATACAAAAAATTAGCCAGGCGTGGTGGCGGGCCCCTGTAGTCCCAGCTACTTGGGAGGCTGAGGCAGGAGAATGGCGTGAACCCAGAAGGCGGAGCTTGCAGTGAGCCGAGATCAGATCACGACACTGCACTCCAGCCTGGGCGACAGAGCGAGACTCTGTCTCAAAAAAAAAAAAAAAAAAAGAAAAATGTGGGGTTGAAGTAGAGAACTGTATTTAATATTTTGTGTAGCCTCGGTTGTAGAGTAAAAGATAATAAAGGGCAGCTTTTCTTTTTTTTGAATGTTTGTGAATCAAGTGACTGAAGCTGTTACAGGAATAATTAGATAACACTTATTCTTCATGGTGTATCAGTTAATATCTGTGTTCATATGCCAACCCCACCTCTTGCTAAGTATATAGCTGTGGATAAATTACTAAATTTCTCTCAGTCTCACTTTTCTTATGTTTAAAATCAGAGTAATTAACATGAAGATGTTGTGAAAATTAAATAATATTTAGTCTTTACATTGTGCCTGGAACATAATACTCTAAATTGTTAACTATTATGATGTTATTGTTTCACCTTTCTATAGCACTTACTTGAGAGAGTTTTCTTTGCTACTGTAGCTTAAGATTCTGAATTTACTACAAAGTGATGGGGATGTGAAAGATTGTTTCATGGTTAAATTTATTTTCTGGCTTGAAAGTCTGAAAAATCAAGTTTTAGAAAATGGTATTTAATAATCATGCCTTCTAATTTAAGAGAACTCTTTTATTTTAAAGAAATGACCATATTTTAATTGATATGTTTTTTCAGGGGTAGTAAAAAGAATCATTCCTGCAGTAGCTTCCACAAATGCAGTCATTGCAGGTGAGGAAGAAAAGGCCATCACTTAGTTTATTTTGCTTTCTTTAGTTTTTGACGTTGCTGCAGCTTTTTTGTGTTGTAGGAATTTGATATCTTCTTGGATGGGTTGTGTAACTAAGCTGTCGAAAAAGAACCAGTTATTAGACTTTGCATATTTTTTGTCTTACATTATGTCTTAAGTTACCTGCAGTAAAGAGACGTTTTAGTTCCATATGAAGCAGGCCATTTATTAATCTGATAAACAAGAAAAACATGTAGTGTTACTCTATTACATGAATCACACAAAACAATGTAAAATTTGTTACTGTCTCAGTTTTTAAAAATTGGAATATGTATTTTTTAATGAAGAGCCAATGTAAATTTATCTGTTCTGATTTATAACTGACTTTTAACATGCCTAATTTCCATTGAGTTAAAGCACCTGTATTTTCTCCTCCCTTCAGCTGTGTGTGCCACTGAGGTTTTTAAAATAGCCACAAGGTAATAGGTTTCATTTTTAATATGCATGTAAATTTATGTTTTGACTTGGTTTAATTATATAAAGATGAACATTTTTTCATTACAGTGCATACATTCCCTTGAATAATTACTTGGTGTTTAATGATGTAGATGGGCTGTATACATACACATTTGAAGCAGAAAGAAAGGTTAGTAGTATTAAGAACACATTTTTGATCATGCATATTTTGATTTTTAAATATTATTGGTTAGAAATTTGAACAAAGTCACCCATACATTTTCTAACTTCCAGAACTCTACTTATTATATATCTTTTGCTTTATAGCCTGAAATAACTCTATAGCGAAGTAATTTACAAGAAATGGTCTATTATGAAAAGCAGGCTTTAAAGCATAAAAATTTTTTTATAGGAAATATGCATGATTATAAAACAACCTGATTTTTATTTTATTGTTCATAAAAGAGACTAATATTGGTGCATGTGCTGCTGTAATTTGTTGTGTATTATGTGTGTAGGAAAACTGCCCAGCTTGTAGCCAGCTTCCTCAAAATATTCAGTTTTCTCCATCAGCTAAACTACAGGAGGTTTTGGATTATCTAACCAATAGTGCTTCTCTGTAAGTATTGTAGATTTTTGTTATGTTGTAAAAATCATTTTTGTGATTTTTGAAACCTTAAAAAAATTATCTTTTGATAAAAATTATGTTTGATACTTCTCTCTCATCATAATCTTTAGGCAAATGAAATCTCCAGCCATCACAGCCACCCTAGAGGGAAAAAATAGAACACTTTACTTACAGGTTATCAATGTGTATTTTAAATTTTTTTCAGAAAATTATATCAAGTTTTATTTTACTTTAATGTGTCTTACATTAAAGTAATTTTGTTTTCTAGTCGGTAACCTCTATTGAAGAACGAACAAGGCCAAATCTCTCCAAAACATTGAAAGGTATTTTACATAAGGGTATTTACTAATCATTTTCTTTCTTTTCTCTCTTTTTGGTGAAAGTAATCAGTGCTTGTTCTAGATTTCCTCTTAATGCCTTGTATATGGTCAGGTAATAATTACTTACAACTTTAGACATATTAATAGAATTAATTGCTCTTTTAGTAGAATATTTTAAAATCTCTAAGAAATCAAATATTACTTTGATTAAAGAGGATTGGATTTTGATGTTTTTCTAGACCGTAATACTCTGTAGTTTGTTTACATGTGTATTATCCTTTCTGTTGAGTTTTTTTTGCTTGTATTAATAATATTTTTTCTGTTTTAGAATTGGGGCTTGTTGATGGACAAGAACTGGCGGTTGCTGATGTCACCACCCCACAGACTGTACTATTCAAACTTCATTTTACTTCTTAAGGAAAATCTCCACATAATAGAAAACTCATGGAAATAATATACTTTGTGGATGCTAAGAAGTTGAATCGATGTCATTTTTAGCAATAGTGTTGCCACGATTTGTCTTTTTTTATATAATGAACCACTCTTTTTTAACTTTGTAACCTTCCCTTGAAGACAGAATTTTGGTGTTGGTGCTTGTAAGCATTTTCATTAATAATATGAGAAATGATACCTGGAGAGAGAGATTATGAGCAAATGTATTGCTTCTTTTAGAGGAGGAAGCATACAACCTCTTTTGTGTGAATTTTGTTATTATGGTCAAAGAATGCATTCCTAAGTTTTCATTTGAGTACCCAAATACACAAAAGGTGTCCCTTTAAGGAAAATAAAGAATTAAGTTTTAAATAACATTACATTTTACAATCTGACATCTGGAGTATATTGAACATAGGCTATTTCTTGATATAACACTCATTTAATTGTGGCCATCCAAATGAATATTATTGCAGAATTTATCTTGTTCATAATGATTTGTAAATGGTGTTATAGCTGAATACCTGTGCATGAAAATGGGCAATATTTTCATCTGTTTACTTGTAGTGCCATAGAGGCCAATATGCACAATATTAACTAATGCCAAGACATGGCTGTTTAAAAAATTTAATGTTCAAACAGTTATCACTGATGCTTTTGCACTATTTATTAATAAAATCATATATTGTGTACTTCTTTCACTGAAGTTTTTAAAAGTACATTAAGGGTAATCAGTAGTTCCATGGTAATATAGGAATAATTTTTAAATGTGTAGCAGAGTTATATCAAATTTTTATTGCACTTAATACTTTTGCTACAGCAATTTCTATAGTAAAAATTTACTGGTTTAATTTAACTTTCTGTATCAATATAATTTTTTTTTTTTTTTTTTTTGCGACAGAGTTTCGCTCTTGTTGCCCAGGCTGGAGTGCGATGATGCAACCTCAGCTCACTGCAACCTCTGCCTCCCCGGTTCAGGCAATTCTCCTGCCTCAGCCTCCGGAGTAACTGGGATTACAGGCGCCTGCCACCATGCACGGCTAATTTTTTGTATTTTTAGTAGGGACGGGGTTTCACCACGTTGGCCAGGCTGGTCTCAAACTCCTGACCTCAGGTGATCCACCCCCCCCCGCCCCCCTCGGCTTCCCAAAGTGCTGGGATTACAGGCATGAGCCACCATGCCTGACCATGTTTTTGTTTCTTTTAAGTGAATAAAACTTCAAACAAAATTAAGTACAAATACTAAAAAAGTAGGTGCTAGTATTTTAATATGAGAACATGTATGTGTTCTCATTCTT
Organism: Homo sapiens; assembly: GCF_000001405.40. Classification (NCBI taxonomy): domain Eukaryota; kingdom Metazoa; phylum Chordata; class Mammalia; order Primates; family Hominidae; genus Homo; species Homo sapiens. Next base: position 69,054,123 of record NC_000003.12, on the reverse strand, counting down.
TGTTTTTGACTTAGATATGGCAGTTTTCTGTTCAAATGTTTTTTGGTTACTTATGTGTCACTGAGTTAAGTTTTCAGTAATCTTTCTAGCTACATATTGACAAATAAGTTTTATTATAAAACCATACGGAATAAATTTATAAGCTCTACCTGAAAAGTTACAGGTGTAGCTTACAATTTTGAAAGTGAAGGAACTAAAATTTAGCACCATATAGGTGCTATAATAATTCTCAAAGTAGCATTGTAAGAAGGTGACTCTATCTGAGAGCTGAATAAATAGTTTTAGATGGTTTAGGTAGGTCATTTCACCAAAGCTGTACAATTAGAAGTCTTGGAACTGTAACTGTACAGCTAATTTCAACCCGAATCTGCCCCAAATCTCCTCTGCAGACTACTTAGCTGTTTGAAAGTACTTGAGTTACTTGGTACTACTTGTGTACATGACTAAATTGTTAGTTTTAACATGCAAGTTTTTACTGTAGTTAGATAAAATTATTGGAAGATGATTATAACTTCTTAAGGGGTTCAATCTGATTTTTTAAAAGAAAAATAATTCTTTTTTGCAGAGTTCCTTGCAGTGGGGTAAAATATTCAAATATGGGAGGCAGGCATATAAGGTAAATAATCACAGCAGGGAGGGTGTAATAGGATGAGTGATAGGGGTCTGTGGCAAACTGGAGTGAGTGAAAATTATTTGGTGACCACTCTGGCTGACTATTCCCATGCTTGGTATTCATATTTTTCAAAAGCAGCTGGAAATCTAGATTTTTGAATGAAATCTGGCTTTTAGTTAGGATTTTGTCTTTAACTTGGGCCCAAACCAAATATAGCTGCAGACTGGATTAGGAAGGCCACCAATTTAAGGTATTTTCCCATGTCCAAATGTTCGAAGAGAATGCACACAGAAAAGGTTATGTTTTAAGTAATATGCACAGTGCACATTGTTAGGATAACAGCTTTAGTGCTTCCTAGGTGTCTTAGTCCATTTGGACTGCTGTAACAAATTGCCATAAACTGGGTGGCTTATAAGCAGTAGCAATTTGTTTCTTAACAGTTCTAGAGGCTGAGAAGTCCAAGATAAGGAGCCGGCAGATTTGGTGTCTGGTGAGGGCTGCTATTCTGGCTTAGAGTTGGTGCCTTCTTGCCGTGAGCTCCCTTGGGCCTCTCTTATAAGGGCACTAACCCCATTTATGAGGGCTCCATCATCATCTAATCATCTCCTAAAGGCTCCCCTTAATACTGTCCCATTGGAGATTAGGTTTCAACATAGGAATTTGTGCAGGGGACACCGACAGACCACAGTATTAGGGGTATTTTGACTGCAGCAATGAGTTTACTACTATTTTGAGAGAGAGGTTGTGCTTTATGCACCATGTGTTCCACGAGTTGGACACAGTGTTCATACGTGATCCTGTCTTTTAGGCAAGCCCAAACAAGTGTTTCTCCTTACAATACCAAGTTAATACAGAGCTTATTAAATATTTGAGACAAAGGGCTAAGAGAAGTGTGAGGCCCAATTTCCCTTTGCAATTATTGCTGGCAAGGTGCAAGCTTTTAGCACGTGAACTATTTTCCTGGAAAGCACACACACGAAAACTTGAATATTCCTTCCGGGGAAATCGACCTCTATCGGTAGCCATAGCTTCCCCTTCGCTAAGAACTGCTGTAAGCACGAAATCGACATCAATAGAAACCCTTCCGCGTTCCTCGGTAACTAACGGCAACCCTGCGCTCCCGGATGTGACGTCAACGTTCTTCTGTTCTTCCGTCTGTCGACCGAACTCTGGGCTCGTAGATTTGGTTGCTGTGTACGTGGAAGAAGCAAGCGCATGCGCACATGGGCCCCCTTCGTCTCAGCTGTGCGGGAACGGCCGAGGGTAACATCCCGGGCTCGCGGGAGGCTGTCGGGGTAATGGCCACACGCTGACAGAACCAGCCGAGTGGAAAAGGGGAGCGAAGCCGTTCCTCTGCACCCTTCCCCAGGCCTGAGGCCTTCCCGCTTGGTGCTGCCGCCGCCACTGCCGGCTGAGGAGGGGCGATGAGTTGGTTCAACGCCTCCCAGCTCTCCAGCTTCGCTAAGCAGGCCCTGTCCCAGGCCCAGAAGTCTATTGACAGGGTTCTGGACATCCAGGAAGAGGAGCCGAGCATCTGGGCCGAGACCATTCCGTATGGAGAGCCGGGTAAGAGAGAGAGGAGCGGGGTTCCTGGCTCCCGGAGGCTGCTGTTCTCTTGATGCAGGCAGGTTAAGTGGTGTAGAGAGGGGTCCTTCCTTGCTGAGAGAGTTTTCAGGAAGTAATTTCTCCCCGGCCCGTTCCCTAATGCTGCTTCAGCCTCCAAGTCGGTCTTTGCTGTTTTCCTGAGGGAAAACCCAGATCCAGGTTCCCCCTTGTCTTTCTTTGGTCCTGGGTGCGAGGCTTGTGGACTTGGATGACAGGGGACTTGGTTGGTTGGTCTTGCCCTCAAGCTCTCCCTCGACGCAGCTTCCAAGCACAACCTTCCCGAACCTGAACCTCGAATTGCTTCGCGTCTCGGGCACTGTTGGGATCCAAGGTCTGAAGTACGTAAATCATCAGGGAAGGGAAGAACAATCGCTAACAGTCAGTGAACATTTCGCGCTTGGTAGCGCGTAATGTGGTTTTATGTTGTTGTTGAGACGGAGTCTCACTCCGTCGCCCAGGCTGGAGTGCAGTGGCGCGATCTCGGCTCACTGCAACCTCCGCCTCCCAGGTTCTAGCGATTCTCCTTCCCCAGCCTCCCTAGTAGCTGGGATTACAGGCGCCCACCACCACGCCCGGCAACTTTTTGTATTTTTAGTAGGGACGGGGTTTCACTATGTTGGCCAGGCTGGTGGAACTCCTGACTTAAGGCGATCCACCCACCTCGGCCTCCTAAAGTGCTGGGATTACAGGCACGAGCCTGTAATGTGCTTTTTTATGGCCTTCTCATCTTCAGAACAACTCCCAGAGAGAGCTTGGTTTATATCCGTGTTTTACATAAGAGGAAAATGAGGCCCAGAATGGCCAAGTAACTTGCTCTAGGTCACACGGCGGAGGAGGATTAGAATGTGCCGGAGGTATTAGCCGGAAAATGTGTGACCCAAGATTTCTGGATGGTATCACATTTTATTTCTGAATAGCCAAGTCTCTCTTTGCAGTTTCATTGAGCTTAATCTTTCAGGGATCTTCATTCAGTTGCTTTTGACTCTTAAGTCTAAGGAACAGTTCAGCATTTGATGTGTGGGGTAAAGATTTGCTGGTGTTGGGGGATGTGAACCTTTGTGTGAAAAAGGATAAGAGATGTACTTGACTACTCCTTTCTGGTTTCTGTTCTTAATTTTACATCATTGAAAAGTCAGGACCTAAATTTGAGGTACCTCAGTTTAAGATATTTTGGTCCATGTGTGTATGTGATGATCCTCTTTACTTTTTACAAGATGTCATATAACCTTGCTGGAGTAACTCTGTTTTTTCATATGTGCCCCAGTTAATTAGAATTACTAAACTTTAGATAAGATAGAATATAGGTTTTACATATAAGGATATTTGTTTTCGGAAAATGCCCATAGTCTTCAGAATGGTATAATTTAGATGGATACCAAATAACCCTGGGATTATATAAAGTATTCTCCAAGAGGCAAAATTAATTCCTGTCATCTTTTGAATGTATTTAAATTAATCAGACATAATCTTGGTTGTTCATTTGCATATTTAATTTTGATTTTCTCTGGTTTGGATATTGTGCAAATGAATGTGTAGAACTATGCCTCCAAACTGAAGTTTTCTACATACTTTTCATCCTAACTGCCTTTGAAGTCATACATATATTTACATATATATATATTTGTTTTTTTGTTTTTTTTTTTTTTGAGACACAGTCTCACTCTGTCATCCAGGCTGGAGTGCAGTGGTGCCATCTCTGTTCACTGCAGATTCTGTCTCCTGAGCTCAAGTGATTCTCGTGCCTCAACCTCCCGAGTAGCTGGGATTGCAGGTTTGCGTCACCACACCTGCCTAATTTTTGTAATTTTAGTAGAGACAGGGTTTTACCATGTTGGCCAGGCTGGTCTTGAACTCCTGACCTCAGGTGGTCCGCCCGCCTCGGCCTCCCAAAGTGCTGAGATTACAAGCGTGAGCCACTGCGCCTGGCCTGAAGTCATATTAAAGGATAGATTCTACTATAAGGCTTGATAGTTTTTAGAAGCTTTTAGTTACTTGTGCTCTCTCCACCAACTTCTAATTGTGAATATTTTGTGAATATTTTGTTCAGCCACATTTTAATTTGAAAAAGAAAACATTTTTAAAGAAATGCTTTAAATACTTTAACGAATATACCATTTTTAAGATCCTGATTATGCCATTTTTAAAAATCAGGATTTTAGTAGTAGCTATTTGTATGACTGATATGATAATTAACTTTTTCCCCAAGAAAACAGTCATTTTCTTTGTAGCGCTTTTTTAAAAACCCTAGTGTCAACCACCTCTATGTCAAAGAGCAATAGTTCTTAAAAAAACACACATTTCTGAAATTTATAATGACCTTGTAATTTCTGACATAATTTAGAATTTGAGAACAAAACTTCCTCTTAGAGTGGGCTTGGAGAGTGGGATTTAGAGAATCAGCCTGTGATTAAGTGGATGAAAATGAATTTGTTCTCTAGAACTTACCATTCCCATCAGTTTAATATGATCTTCGGGAAAGAACATTTGTCACCATTATCTTGGTTTGAGGCTTTTGTTGTTTTGTTTGTTTTCGAGACAGGTTCTCGATCTGTCACCCAGGCTGAAGTGCAGTGGTTTGATCATGGCTCACTGCAGCTTCCACCTCCTGGGCTCAGATGATCTTCCCACCTCAGCCTCCTGAGTAGCTGGGACCACATATGTGGGCCACCAGGCCCAGCTAATTAAAAAAATTTTTTTGTAGGGACAGGGGTCTCACTATGTTGCCCAGGCTTGTCTTGAACTCCTGGACTCAAATGACTCTTCTAGTGTTGGGATTATAGGTGTGAACCTCCATACCCACTGAGTTCAGTTTTTGAGTGTTGCCCTTTGTCTAGCTCATAACTATATTACTGATATTACAAGTAAAAATTAATATGAAACTGACTGAATAGGTAGGGTCATTTTTCTGTGACTGCACATGGCCCAACCTATTCAGTTAGTTCCATATTAGTTTATTTCATATTGATAAGTAAAGCGTGTTATTATGAGATGAATCATAGGTATCTTGGACTTACTGTGGGTTATAAAACATATACTGTTACTTCCTTAATTTGTTGTGGGGAGGAATAACATACTCGCATCTGGTAGTCCAGGCCAGGCCCAGTCTTTTGTCTGTGCTCCTCCTTCCTCTCAGGTGGACCCACACCAGTTTTCTTCCGTAAGTCCCTGTATTAACTTGGAAACTACTTAATGATGTAGTAAGCAAGGAGTTTAGCAGGTGCAAATTACAGGTATTTCATAGGGTATTTTTTCTAAATTTATATTTATACTGATTTATAATGATGATTGAAATATTAATGTAACATATATGTGTTCTTTTTTAATATTTACTTTTTTGTTAAAGGAATAAGTTCCCCTGTCAGTGGAGGATGGGATACTTCAACCTGGGGGTTGAAATCAAACACTGAACCTCAGAGTCCACCAATAGCCTCTCCTAAAGCAATCACAAAGCCAGTTCGGAGGACTGTGGTCGATGAATCTGAAAATTTCTTCAGTGCCTTTCTCTCGCCAACTGATGTCCAGACCATTCAGAAGAGTCCAGTGGTATCAAAACCTCCAGCAAAATCACAACGACCAGAAGAAGAAGTGAAAAGCAGCTTACATGAATCCTTGCACATTGGCCAGTCAAGAACTCCTGAAACAACTGAATCACAAGTAAAAGACTCTTCTTTGTGTGTTTCAGGGGAAACTCTGGCAGCAGGTACTTCATCACCTAAAACTGAAGGCAAGCACGAAGAAACTGTTAATAAAGAATCGGATATGAAGGTGCCAACTGTAAGTTTGAAAGTATCTGAAAGTGTAATTGATGTGAAAACAACTATGGAAAGTATATCTAATACGTCTACGCAGTCTCTCACAGCAGAAACAAAGGACATAGCTTTGGAACCTAAGGAACAAAAACATGAAGACAGGCAGAGCAATACACCTTCTCCTCCTGTTAGTACCTTTTCATCAGGTACTTCTACCACCAGTGATATTGAAGTTTTAGATCATGAAAGTGTAATAAGTGAGAGCTCAGCGAGCTCGAGACAAGAGACTACAGATTCAAAATCAAGTCTTCACTTGATGCAGACATCTTTTCAGCTTCTCTCTGCATCTGCTTGTCCTGAATATAATCGTTTAGATGATTTCCAAAAACTCACTGAGAGTTGCTGTTCATCTGATGCTTTTGAAAGAATAGACTCATTTAGTGTACAGTCATTAGATAGCCGGAGTGTAAGTGAAATCAATTCAGATGATGAATTGTCAGGCAAGGGATATGCTTTAGTGCCTATTATAGTTAATTCTTCAACTCCAAAGTCTAAAACAGTTGAATCTGCTGAAGGAAAATCTGAAGAAGTAAATGAAACATTAGTTATACCCACTGAGGAAGCAGAAATGGAAGAAAGTGGACGAAGTGCAACTCCTGTTAACTGTGAACAGCCTGATATCTTGGTTTCTTCCACACCAATAAATGAAGGACAGACTGTGTTAGACAAGGTGGCTGAGCAGTGTGAACCTGCTGAAAGTCAGCCAGAAGCACTTTCTGAGAAGGAAGATGTTTGCAAGGTAACTCTAGTAAGTGGAAGGGATTTTTAGATGTGCTTTTTGGAGATTAAATCATTTGTTTTAAAAAATACTTTCATTGATGCATAATAATTTATACAGATTTAAAAACATACGCATTTTGCCATTTCTGTGTAGCATTAAGTACCTTGAAGTTGAACAATTATTAATATAATTTGGAATTTCTCCAAGGCAATTATGGTAGAATAAGTTGATACTTCAATACAGTTAAGCATGAAAGTTTTCATCTTACATCTTTATTTTTGAGTCCTTATCACTTCAAAATTCTGTTATGCTTATTAGTATGTCAATTTGAAAGGAATATTTTCTTACATTAACATGTATCTTCACCTCCTTTGCAGATAGATGTGCCAAAAAAACTAAATGTTATGGTTTTTCTTGTATCAGAATTTGTTTTTACATGTTTACATTATTTGTAGCAAATATTAAATGATAATTTAAGATTTTAATTATTGGTGCTTTTCTGTTATTAGTATTTTCATTCATATATAAGGAGTATATATCCTTATATTGCTTCAGTTTGTTTTCTGCTTATGTTATTTTTGAGATCTCCTATTGATAGCTATATTTCACATGAACGAGAAAGAGAAATGTCTAAGGAACAAAAGCATTGCTTAGGAGGGACAGATTGCTTCTACCTAATACATGTGAAAGGAAAGTGATATAAATTCTTTGACATTAAGTCCTAGTTTTGGTTTTTACTGTGACTTTTAGATATACAAATTTAGTTGGATCTGGTATCTTTAATAGACTTCTGAGATGTAGGATGTCTTGAAGAAATGTCCTGTAAGTGCCATGTATTGAATTACTTAATTTTTTAAAAAAGTGCCAGATTCTGTTAATCAGGTTAAATATTCACAAACAAAATGCTGTGCAATAATATTTCAATTAGTAATAGCTATATACTGTAAGATATATAATAGGAGTTTGAATTCTTAGAAACCAGCACTAATTACTATCAGATATTTTTGAATTTCAGTGTATTTAAGAAGGTAAGTGATTTCTAAGTTCATCTAAACCAAACTCAGGTAAGACTATTTTTTTGAGTCCAAAAAGGAACCCTTCCTACTCCTTTTATACTCAAGTTTATCACCATTTGAGTAGGACCTAAGGAATTAGACATTCCAAGCATTACTTTTTGTTTAGCTTTATACTGATACATTATGGAGATTTAAAAATTCTTATGGGTTTTCTAAAATTACTTTTAGTGTGGATGGATGTATGTATGAATGAGACAGGGTCTCTCTCTATTGTCCAGGCTAGCGTGCAGTGGTGCGATCGCGGCTCACAGGGTCTCTCTTTGTTGCTCAGGCTGGTGTGCAGTGGTGCGATCATGGCTCACGGCAGCCTTGACCTCCTGGGCTCAAGCAGTCCTCCCACCTAATCCGCTCTAGTAGCTGGGACCATAGGCTCGCACCACGCCTGGCTATTTTTTTGATTTTTAGTAGAGATGAGGTCTCACTATGCTGCCAGGCTGGTCTTGAACTCCTGGGCTCAAGCGGTCTTCCCATCTTGGCCTCCCACAGTGCTGGGATTATAAGCATGAACCCGTGTCCAGCCCTACTTTTATTTTATTTTATTTATTTATTTTTTGAGGCGGAGTCTTGCCCTGTTGCCCAGGCTAGTCTGCCTCCCAGGTTCAAGTGATTCTTCTGCCTCAGCCTCCCAAGTAGCTGGGACTACAGACGTATGCTACCATGCCTGGCTAATTTTTGTATTTTTTGTAGAGATGGGGTTTCACCGTGTTGGTCAGGCTGGTCTTGAACTCCTGACCTCAAGTGATCTGCCCTCCTCAGCCTACCAAAGTGCTGGGATTACAGGCATGAGCCACCATGCCCGGCCTCTACTTTTATTTATTTATTTATTTTTACTTTTTGAGATGGAGTTTCACTCTTGTCACCCAGGCTGGAGTGCAAGATCATTGCAGAATCTTGGCTCACTGCAACCTCCACCTCCTGGGTTCAAGCGATTCTCCAGCCTCAGCCTCCTGAGTAGCTGGGATTACAGGTGCCTGCCACCATGCCCAGCTAATTTTTGTATTTTCAGTAGAGACTGGTTTTCACCGTGTTGGCCAGGCTGCTCTCAAATTCCTGACCTCAGGTGATCCCCCCACCTCAGCCTCCCAAAGTGCTGGGATTACAGGCATGAGCCACTGCGCCTGGCCTACTTTTATTTTTTAAATGCAATATGTCATATTTTAAAAAGGGTATGTGTTTCGGGTAAAGAATAATACAGAAAATAGACACTTGTGTATCCACCACCTAGCTAAAATATAGAGGCTTTAAATTTCCTCTTTGACCTCTTTTGATTGCATCCATCTCCCTTCTTCTTTTGGTGTGTATGCAGATTATTCCAGATTTTTGCTATTACCAGGAAGCTACATAAAGTATTCTTATACATGTCGCCTAGTGCATTTATGCAAGAATTTTCTCCTCTAAGGTATACCTAAAAGTGAAATTTTCTATATCAAAGAGTATGTAGATCCCCAACTAGATATTGCCTAATTGTTTTCTCAAGGGGTTTCTCAACTTACACTCCCACTAGCTATTTGGTTGTATTTACTTTTACTCTCCTCTCAGCTGCCTAAGAGTTCTTCTTGTTCTGGATCTTCTGTGTTCCTAATACTGTTCTTGATTGTTTTTATGAGATAAAGCTGTTTTCTTTGTTACAGTGATACACCTGCATGTAAAAATGGTCTTTTTTAAAGCTAAGCGTTCTGACTTTTATGTATTCGCCTTATCCAGACAGTTGAATTTCTGAATGAAAAGCTGGAAAAAAGGGAGGCTCAGTTATTATCTCTTAGTAAGGAAAAAGCACTTCTAGAAGAAGCTTTTGATAACCTGAAAGAGTAAGTATTCTGCAAATGTGAATAATGTTACACATTTTCTGGAAACCTGTATACTTTGTACATATTTAAGAATGTTTTTGAAATTAAAATGTTTTGTAATTTTATCATTATTGAAAGTTGTATAGCTTTCAATTATAACCCTAAAGATTACTTTTCTCTTTTGATTGTCTTTACCCTTTGCCATTGAAGAGAGTCATTTTGCAAAACTGGAAAACTCTTTCCTTTCGTTTTTAGTCTTTTAGTATTAGAGATTTAAAACGTATTTGAAGAAAACTGTGTTAATCAATAACACAGTTGTGCTATAAGGAGCTGATTGGGAAAATGTGATACAAGAAGATTCAGAATTGAAACATTGTATTTACTCTTCTCTTATTTTTACATGTCAGATATTGGTGACATTTTCTCTTTCTAACAGATTTTCTTTGAGGTGTTTTAAAATAAATTTAACAAGGGAAATTTCCTTTTTTTTTCTTAAAAGTTAATAGGCCTAAAACTGTTCTATTTTAATAAGGTATATGTCAGAGAAAAGTTATCTTCCTTTTGAGAATTGAACTCATGTATACCTTTGGGATATATAGACACCATCCTCATTCTCAAATATTATTTTAAATTTAGTGAAATGTTCAGAGTGAAAGAAGAAAGCAGTAGCATTTCTTCCTTGAAAGATGAGTTTACTCAAAGAATTGCAGAAGCAGAAAAGAAAGTTCAACTAGCCTGCAAAGAGAGAGATGCTGCTAAAAAGGTAATTGAAATTTAAAGTAATATTAATTAAACTCTATAGAGATATAGATTTTTGAGGAGTGCATTCATCGTATTTTGATATTGGAAAAAAGAGAAGTAAGGTGAAAAGGATATCATCTATTAACATTTAAATTGTAGATTTTTGGCCACGTGTGGTGGCTCATGTCTATAATCCCAGCACACTGGGAGGCTGAAGTGGGCGGATCACTTGAGCCCAGGAGTTAGAGAGCAGCCTGGGTAACATGGTGAGACCCTGCCTCTACTAAAAAATACATAAAGTTAGCTGGTCATGCTGGTGTGCGCCTGTGGTCACAGCTACTCAGGAGGCCGAAGAGGGTGGATCGCTTGAGCCCAGGAGTTCAAGACCAGCCTGGGCAACATGGCGAGACCTCATCTCTACAAAAAATACAAAGATTAGCTGGCCATGGTGGTACATGCGTGTGGTCCCAACTACTCGGGAAGCTGAGGTGGGAGGATCACCTGAGCCTGGGAGGTTGAGGCTGTGGTGAGTCGTCATTGTACCACTACTCCAGCCTGGGTGACAGAGTAAGACCCTGTCTCAAAAAATAAAAATAAAAATGAAAAGGAAAGTTAATTTATTCTCATTTATATTTTCATATTAACACTTGCTTGTATATCTGAATTTAGGTTTTGAATATCATTTTCAAAGTTGTTTTCTTAGTCTTAGTTAACCAAGGTAGTAGATTAACTGAACAAAACTTACAGATTCTTATTGCAAATGTGATTATGGACAGCTTCTTTGGATGGGGGAGAAATGAGAACTGTACTTAGAGTGAAAGTCATTCTTTACGGTATTCACAGATTTCTTTTTTATTAGGAAATCAAAAACATAAAAGAAGAACTTGCCACTAGATTAAATAGTAGTGAAACTGCAGACCTTTTGAAAGAGAAAGATGAGCAGATCCGAGGGTTAATGGAAGAAGGTGCGTATAGTATTTGGTTGACTATGAAAAATACTGTAAGAACAGGAAAAGTACTTGCCACATAACTAGCTGATGCTTCCTAATTAAAAATACTGAAAGCAAGGAGGGTTTGGACGTAAACCATAGAAATAGGTGACAGTTTATGGAAGAATGAGGAATAAGATATATTGAGACAGAGATACGTGTTTCTAGCTTTTGTTTTTTGGAAGTAAAAAGAAAAGTAAGTCCCTGTAAAATAGACAGAAATTTGTGCTGCCCTAAGAAAACTTTAAACAGGTCTTAAGAGCCTGTCATTTAAACCAAGACATTCAAAGTGTGTAACTCTGGGATTTATGTAATATCTGAATACCTAGCTTAAGTACTGTATGATATTGTCTTTTTCTGACATTTGATAGTGAATTTTTCATTGTATTAATTTTTAAATTATTAAGCACTTTTGTCTCTGAAAAGATTTAAAATAAACAGGGTTGGCTGAGTGTGGTGGCTTATGACTGTAATCTCAGCACTTGGGGAGGCAGAGGTGGGTGGATCATTTAAGGTCAGGAGTTCGAGACAAGCCTGGCCAACATGGTGAAACCCCGTCTCTACTAAAAATACAAAAATTAGCCGGGTGGTGGTGGTGCGTGCCTCTAATCCCAGCTACTCAGGAGGCTGAGGCAGGAGGATTGCTTGAGCCTGGGAGGTGGAGGTTGCAGTGAGCCAAGATCACGCCACTGTACTGCAGCCTGGGCGACAGAGTGAGACTTTGTCTCAAAAAAATAAATAAATAAAATAAAATTAATAGCATTACAGAAATTAAAGATCTATTCATGAAATAAATCATTACAAATGGATACTGAATTAATTTCTTCATGTAATATCCTGGGAGAGAGGAGCCTTTGGAAAACGTGGTCAAGTGAATCTCTCTTTTTATTTCTCTTGTTAATTAAAGTTTTTGTAGTTATAAGAGTAATACTTGCTACTTGTAGAAAGTTTTGAAGTTATAGGAAAGTATATGAATAAAGAGGAAAAGTAGATTATAATCCAATATTATAAGGAACTATTAATTTTTTCTAGTTTTAATGTATTTTTTAATGCATTTTTAAACATATTTAAGATCATATATTTAATTTCCAATCTTCCTTCTCTTACATCTCTCTATGCCATTAAATGCTTTTTATCATTATTAGTGGCTGTATTAAAGTCCATTATATGGGTATACCATAATATGTTTTACTATTTCTAGTGTTGTACATTTATTTTTATAATGTTAATAATATAGTTAGTGGTAGGATGAATGTTTTTGTGCTTAAATCACTGAACTTAAGTAAATTTCCAGAGAAAGGGTAGCGTTTGAGAACAGTTGGAAGCAGTCATTTCATTTGAAAGTTAGCTTTATCCAACTTTTTCATTTATTCAACTAATATTTATTGAACGGTTAGTATGTCAGATACTATGTTTGATACAATAATAAGTATGACACTCTGTCCTTTAGGGGCTTAGTTCAGTGAGAGGGAAATATAGGAACACAGATAATGATAAAACACAATTCTAAGCACTAAAATAGAAAAATGAAGGAACTGTTGTTATAATTATTTTCTCAAGATGTCTTGAAGTCATTAACTGCCTTGCCTTACAATATCAGAGACTGAGGGGAAGGCTAACTGCATGGTTTTCTTATTTTAAAAGAGTTATTTGAAATATTAATATCGAATGTTATTATTTTGTAATTTAATAATTTTGTCAGAGAATGAACTGATGTCTTCTTTTGCTTAATGAACCTTTTTACAGAGAAAATAGAGCAATTTCACATGGGAGTATTTTATATTCACAGAGTATTTACATTTCACAAAAGGGTATTATATATTGTTTCCGCGTGCCCCAGAAAAATTTTTTTTTTTTTTTTGAAACAGAGTCTCACTGTGTTGTCCAGGCTGGAGTACAGTGGCATGATCCCGGCTCACTGCAACCTCCGCCTCCCAGGTTCAAGCAATTCTCCTGCCTCAGCCTCCCGAATAGCTGAGACTATAGCTACCTGCCACCACGCCTAGCTAGTTTTTGTATTTTTAGTAGAGATGGGGTTTCACCATGTTGGCCAGGCTGGTCTTGAACTCCTGACCTCTGGTGATCCGCCTGCTTCCCAAAAGTGCTGGGATTACAGGCGTGAGCCACTGCACCCGGCCAGTATTTTTAAAACTTAAAGCTAAAGAGCTGTAAAACTCAAAGCTGAAAGCACACTACAATGAATACCTGATTACTTCATCACCTAGATTCATCAGGTGTTAACATCTTGCCACAACTCTTCCATATCTTTCTGCACATACATACACTACCCTTTTGTCAACTCATTTGAAAGGAGGTTACAAATACCGTAACATTCTGCTCCTAAATTCTTCAGTCTACATCTCCCAAGGGCAAGTACGTTTTCCTTGACAGGTACATCATAGTCAAACCTAAGAAATCAGCATTAATTCAGAAGTGTAATCCAGCATATATTTTAATATTAATCCTAGTTGTCTCTAAAAGTGTCTGTTATAATTGATCATTTGTTCTGCCCCAGGATCCAAAGTTTGCCCATTGCATTTGATTGTTATGTCCTTTTAGTCTTCCATCAGTCTAGGACAGTTCTCTCTTCTTTATGTCTTTGAGGACTCTGTAGAGTCTAGGGCAGTTGTCCCACAGGATGTCCCACCCATGTTCGGGAATTTGTTACTTTCTTCATGATGAGATTTAAATTAGATTTAGTTCATATTTCTAGTAGGAAATATCTGGGTGATATTGAACAACTATATCACATCAGCAGACACATATTGTCAGGCTGTACTACAATTGGTGATGCCAAAACTGAATGCTTAGTTAAGGAGTTGACTGCCAGATTTTTCTCTTTAAAATTAGTAGGTGATATATGAGAGTGATTCTTTAAGACCGTGTCAATATCCAGTTCCCAACAACCTTTTACCCAATAATTTTAACATTCATTGATGATTGCTGTCCAAATTAGTTGTAACATTGTGGGTTACAAAATTGTAATTTAAAAAAATTCTGTTCTTTTATGTTACTATTAGATAAAACATTCTATTGAGATTTTTAGGGAATAGTTATCATTTGAGTTTATACTTCTTTACCATCACCAGGAGAAAAACTTTCAAAACAGCAGCTGCACAATTCTAACATCATCAAGAAATTAAGAGCTAAAGACAAGGAGAATGAAAATATGGTTGCAAAGCTGAACAAAAAAGTTAAAGAGCTAGAAGAGGAGTTGCAGCATTTGAAACAGGTGAATAGCAATCATAATTCTCTACATATATATTGTTATTACTTCCTGTATGAACAGTTGGCCATGGTTATGGAGCATTTGAAAAGATTTAATGGGGTATATCATGTAAGAAGGATTTTTCAAACAATAGATAAATGATAAGATTTTTTAGCCGAGTGGGGTGGCTCACGCCTGTAATCCCAACACTTTCGGAGGCTGCGACAGGCAGATCACTTGAGGCCAGGAGTTTGAGATCAGCCCGGTCAACAAGGCGAAACCCTGTCTCTGCTAAAAATACTGCACCAACCTAATACAAAAATTAGCCGGGCGTGGTGGTGCACATCTGTAGTCCCAGCTACTTGGGAGGCTAAGGCACGAAAATTGCCTGAAGCTGGGAGGCAGAGGTTGCAGTGAGCCAGAACATTCCACCCTGGGCAATAGAGCGAGACTTTGTCTCAAAAAAATATATATTTTTCTCCATTATTATAGATTCCTGGAATACAGTTATTTACCATGGTATTATTTCTTGAAAAATACTTTTGTCTGTTTTTATAACATATAGGTCCTTGATGGCAAAGAAGAGGTTGAGAAACAACATAGAGAAAATATTAAAAAACTAAATTCCATGGTAGAACGCCAAGAGAAAGATCTTGGCCGTCTTCAGGTAGACATGGATGAACTTGAAGAAAAGAACCGAAGTATTCAGGCTGCCCTGGATAGTGCATACAAGTAAGAAAATGAACAAATATGCAACCCATTTAGAATGAATTATCAGAGTAGGATGTTGAAGAAATACTTTTTCTATTATCTGATCACTGGCAACATTTATAAACTCAATCTAATTTTTTAAGAGAACTTACTGATCTTCACAAAGCCAATGCTGCAAAGGATAGTGAGGCACAGGAAGCTGCTCTGAGCCGTGAAATGAAAGCTAAAGAAGAACTTTCTGCAGCATTAGAGAAGGCCCAAGAAGAAGCCCGTCAGCAGCAAGAAACATTAGCCATTCAAGTAAGCAATGGATGATGAATTAGAGTAGTTTTAAAAATATTTGTTTATGCTTCTACAAATTAAACAATTAGCTGGTTTGAATCAAACAATGTAGTGATACATGTGTTAGATTTCAGAGTACTGGATTCTGCTAAATTTAACCAGTTGTGTTTTTTAAAACTGTTAAAGTAATGCTTACGTGATACCAGTATTGTTTAATTTTTTTGAGTTTTAGACCCATTTGAGAGTATTATAAAAGCTAGGAACCCTCTTAGAAGAGAAGAGCAAAAATGCACATACATATTGCATATAATTTTGAGAGAATCCATTTAACTCCTGAGCTCATTCATAACATCTGTGGGAGTCCAAGGACCTCAGATGAAGTAGGAAAAACAAAATTTGTGAGGCTTTGTCTTATCAAATCATCAGTTGATGGGCATATGGGTTATTTATACTTTGTGGTTATTATCAATAATGCTGCTTTAAATATCCATGCACAAATTTTTGTGTGAACATATATTTTAAATTCTCCTAGATATATATCCTTAGGTCATATGGTAACTCTATATATTTAACTTTTTGAGGAACTGGCAAACTTTTCCACAGTGGCTGCATTACTTTACATTCCCACCAGCAATAGGTGAGGGTTTCAGTTTCTCCACATCCTTGCCAAGATTTATTATTGTCTGTTTTTAAAAGTATAGCCTTTTTAGTGTGTGTGAAGTGGTAACTGAGTATGGTGTTGATTTGCATTTTTTTTTTTCAATTTATATATATTTTTTGAGACAGAGTCTCACTCTTGCCAGACTGGAGCACAGTGGCACGATCTCAGCTCACTGCAACCTCTGCCTCCCGGATTCAAGCAATTCTTCTGCCTCAGCCTCCTGAGTAGCTGGGACTACAGGCAGGTGCTACCATGCCTGGCTAATTTTCTTTTTTTGTGAGACAGAGTTTCGCTCTTGTTGCCCAGGCTGGAGTGCAATAGCGCAATCTCGGCTCATTGCAACCTCCACCTCCCAGGTGCAAGTGATTCTCCTGCTTCAGCCTCCCGAGTAGCTGGGATTACAGGTGCCCACCACCATGCCCGGCTAATTTTTGTTTTTTTTTAGTAGAGACGAGGCTTCACCATGTTGGCCAGGCTGGTGTTGAACTCCTGACCTCTGGTGATCCACCCGCCTCCGCCTCCCAAAGTGCTTGGATTACAGGCATGAGCCACCATGCCCGGCCACCCTGCTAATTTTTTTTTGTATTTTTAGTAGACATGGGGTTTCAGCGTGTTAGCCAGGATGGTCTCAATCTCCTGACCTCGTGATCCGCCTGCCTTGGCCTCCCAAAGTGCGGGGATTACAGGCGTGAGCCACTACGCCCGGCTGATTTGCATTCTCTTAATGACTAATGATGTTGGATGTCTTTTCATTTGCTTATTGGCCATTTATGTATCTTCTTGGGAGAAATTAATTAAAATATTCAAATCCTTTGCACATTTTTAAATTGGGCGGTTTGTCTTTTTATTGTTATTATGAGTTCTTTGTATAATCTGCATACTAGACCTTTATCAGATATAGGATTTGTCAATATTTTGTGCCTCTCTGTGGGTTGTCTTTCTTTTTCTTGATAGTGTCCTTTGATGCCAAAAGGTTTTAATTTTAACAAAGTCTAGCTTATCTATGTTTTCTTTTGTTATTTGTGCTTTTGGCATCATATTTAAGAAACCATTGCTTAATCCAAGTTTATGCAGATCTTCATCAGTTTTCTTCTAAGAGTTTTGTAGTCTTAGCTCTCACATTTAGGTCTTTTGCATGTGGATATCCAGTTGTTGCAGGACCAGTTGTTGAGAAAACTATTTTTATTGACTCCTATGCCCTTTTGATTTAATTTTAAGTTTTGTATGTGTAAAACATTTACATGATTCCAAAGTGAGAGCAAAATCTATTCAGACATTTACTTCCAATTTAGCTGCTCCCCATTTCCTCTCTTTGCCTGTAGGTAACCATTTTATTAGAGTTTGGCTTATCTTTTCAGTGTTTCTATTGGCAAAATGCAAGAAAATATATGTATCTATATACTTACATGTTCTGCGTACATACACATTCGCTTATACACCTATTTCTGTCTCCTACATCCTTTTTACATAAATGACAGTTTATTATTCACACTGTTTTATAACTTGTTTTATTTTCTTAGTAAAATATCCTGATGATCACTCTAGTAAAACATAGAGGTTTTTAAAAAATATCTTTTTACAGTTTTATAATACTTCATTAGGTGAAGGATTTTCAGCTCTTTCTTATTGATAGATTATACACCTATTTCTATCTCCTACATCCTTTTTACGTAAATGATAGTTTATTGTTTATACTGTTTTATAACTTGTTTTATTTACTTAGTAAAATATCCTGATGATCACTCTAGTAAAACATAGAGGTTTTTAAAAAATATCTCTTTACAGTTTTATAATACTTTATTAGGTGAAGTATTTTCAGCTATTTCTTATTGATGGATATTTGGGTTATTTTCAGTATTTTGCTATTATAAGTCATGCCATGGTCCATATATCCTTTGTGTTTCTGCTGGGATAGATAAAATATCAGTAATTTAAATTTAAAATACGTTAGAATAATAATAATACAGAAAAATTGGGGGAATGGGAGATAGAGCATATATGAGTTACCATGCATAAATCCATCACTTTTTCCAAGTACTGTCAGTTTTGTGTGTTAGTGTTTCATTCTATTCCCATATATGTGTTTTTCATAATTGATGTCTTACGTGTTATTTTATAGTTTTTCCATTTAATAGTATATTAGAAATTTTTTTTACATGTTTTATACATTTATTGTAATTTTTAATGGTTATATTCATGTTGTATCGACATTTGCAACTATAGATTACTAGTGATGGAGATTTAGAATATTTCCAGTTTTGTTTTTGCTAGCCTATTTAATACTGTAGGGAATATCCCTGTGTATTTACGTATCTGCTTTCTTAGAGTGAATTCCCAAGACTAGGATGGCCCGGTGAAAGGATGTGAGAAGTTTGATGATTCTTTAAACATATTATAACGTTTTCCAAAAAGGCTATGGTAGTTTATAATGTATGCTCCTGCATATGAGTGGAGCCCCCAGCTTTTATAATCCGTATAGCACCTATCACTTTCTGTGTGATGTGGCAAATATTTATAGACGCACTGTCTTTTCTCCAATATTGTATGGTAATGGCTATGCCTTATACATATTTGTTTGCGTTTCTTTGCCTTAACAGAATGCTTTTCTAAGTAAACATTGAATATACATACAGTTTTAGAATTGCTTGATGAATGAGAGATGTGATAATCATATGTAAAAGTTCATTGGAGAGTATGAAATAGTATACATGAACAATGTTGACACAACACAAAATATGTAGTTAGTGGGAAGTTATAGATAATACTGTACCATTGTTTGTGAATGTATTGTTTCTCCTCCTACAGGTGGGGGACCTTAGGCTTGCATTGCAGCGTACAGAACAAGCGGCTGCCAGAAAGGAGGATTATTTACGCCATGAGATCGGTGAACTTCAGCAGGTACTGTCACAGGTTTCCAAAACACAAATCCAAGAAGTATGTGTTTTTCTAGAAATAAAAGAATTCCTCAGTGGGATAGTGTTCATGGAATTGAGAGGATTACTGTCACACCTAGCATTTGCTGAATTTTTGTGGCTTGTGTGAATAAATCAGAGTGGGCACCTTAAAAATTATACAAGGAAATTCCTTATTTTGTTTTATAGAAAATAATGTTATGATAGATTTGTTATATGTATTCAGTATTGCTTTTCCATTTGTAATCGCTTATTAATGATTGTCAGTCTTTGATTACTGTGGGACAGGTAATAGTTCCC
This sequence comes from Homo sapiens, assembly GCF_000001405.40. NCBI lineage: Eukaryota > Metazoa > Chordata > Mammalia > Primates > Hominidae > Homo > Homo sapiens. The sequence goes on along the minus strand of NC_000003.12, from coordinate 69,034,708 downwards.
GGTTTCTATGCCTCTGTTAATTTTCAGTCATTTATAACATGCAGAGGAAAAGGGAGAGAAAATACAATTTAGGTTGATTTTTCAGTTTTTATAAATACTTAGAAATATTTGGATGAGGAGGTAACTACTAAGAGGTTTGGATGAACTCTTTTTTAACCTTCAGGTAATTGAAGACTATCTTAGAAACGCTTTTTAAAGAAGCACTTATTTATTTATTTATTTAATTTCTTTATTTTGAGACAGAGTCTTGCTCTGTTGCCCAGGCAGGAGTGCAGTGGCACAATCTTGGCTCACTGCACCCTCTGCCTCCTGGGTTCAAGCGATTCTCCTGCCTCAGCCTCCCAAGTAGCTGGGATTACAGGCGTGCACCACCATGCCCAGCTAATTTTTGTATTTTTAGTAGAGATGAGGTTTCACCATGTTGGCCAGGCTGGTCTTGAACTCCTGACTTCAGGTGATCCACCCACCTCAGCCTCCCAAAGTGCTGGGATTACACACATGAGCCACCGTGCCTGGCCAAAGAAGTACTTATTTAGATACTGTATTACACAATCTAACTCTCTTGGAAGGATTGAACAGTTAGAAAAATAATTAAGGGCTGGGCATGGTGGTTCATGCCTATAATCCCAATGCTTTGGGAGGCTGAGGCAGTCAGATTGCCTGCTCAGGAGTTCGAGGCCAGCCTGAGCAACATGATGAAACCTCGTCTCTACAAAAAAATACAAAAATTAGCCAGGTGTGGTGGCGTGTACCTGTAGTCCCAGCTGGGAGGATCGCTTGAGCCTAGGAGGTTGAGGCTACAGTGAGCCACGATTGTGCCACTGCACTCCAGCCTGGGTGACAGAGCGGGACCCCGTTTCTAAAATTAATAATAATAATTAAAAAGCAAATTATTTTCTCTTGGAAAAATAATTTTCCAGGAACCTCTCAAAGTTCAGGTTTGCTAGTGTTTTTAATGTTTTTATTGCTGTCATTGGTAATGACTTCAGAATTTCATGATTCAGAGACTCCAGGAAGCAGAGAATCGAAACCAGGAACTGAGTCAAAGTGTTTCATCAACAACAAGACCATTGCTTCGACAAATAGAAAATTTGCAAGCAACCCTGGGATCCCAGACATCGTCGTGGGAGAAATTAGAGAAGAATCTTTCTGATAGGCTTGGTAACTGCTTTAGTTTTTATGCTCGATGCAGAAGCTCTTCCATCTTGTTTATAGAATTAGAATAATGGTATGAAATTGAAATTCATTTGATCTGATAGTTACATTTTGTGTCTAATATGTAGATTTTTACATTTTCTCTTTTTCTACATGTATTTTTAATACCTTTATTATGTCTCTTTCAAACCATTTTTTCCCATTACACAATGGTATCAGATACTGGCTAAAGTACTTCCATGTCATTCTTTCATTCAGTTCTTTTTTTTTTTTTTTTTTTGAGATGGAGTCTCACTCTTTCACTGAGGCTGGAGTGCAGTGGCGCGATCTCGGCTCACTGCAAGCTCCGCCTCCCAGGTTCACACAATTCTCCTGCCTCAGCCTCCTGAGTAGCTGGGATTACAGGCGTCTGCCACCATGCCTGGCTAATTTTTTGTATTTTTAGTAGACTGCTGCACTCGATTTTTTTTTCTTGTCCATTGCTAAATCTGACCCCTTTGTAGCTTGTCTGCAGTAGTGTAGGAGGTAGAGATCATATATGATTCTCATCACTGGTAGAATTCCAAGAGCGAAAATAGGTCTAAGGAGAGTCAAGATCGACCTTAGAAGAGACATACTAGGGAGTCTTAAGATTCCATATTCTGGCAGGGCGCGGTGGCTCACACCTGTAATCCTAGCACTTTGGGAGGCCTAGGCGGGTGGATCACTTGACGCCAGGAGTTCAAGACCAGCCTGGCCAACATGATGAGACCCCCGTCTCTACCAAAAATACAAAAATCAGCTGGGTGTCATGGCGCATGCCTGTAATCCCAGCTATTTGGGAGGCTGAGGCAAAGAATCCCTTGAACCTGGGAAGCAGAGGCTGCAGTGAGCTGAGATTGCGCTACAGCACTCCAGCCTGGGTGACAGAGCGAGACTGCATCTCAAAAAAAAAAAAAAAGATTCCATATTCTGCTTCTTTACAGTCATGCCCCAGGTTGCCCTTCTGTGATGTTAATAAAAAGAAAAGTATTATTCTAAAATGTTTCCCTTCAAGCACAGACAGCTAGTGTATGTATATTATAGGTATCCCAGAAGCTAGCAAATTCATGAAAAATTCATGTATGCCTTCTACGCCTGACACTAAATGTAATTTGAGAAATCACAGTGTAGTGATAAAATCAGACCTAAATATGAGTCAGGAGACATGGACTCAGGGTATTCTGTTTTGAATCATCCAGCAAAACAGTGTGGAACAAGTCACTTATATTGTTCCAACTATCTCTGTGCTATTCCTTGTGAATCGGGGGGGTGAACTAGATTAGTGACTTTCAAATAGTATTCAGTGGACTCTTAGATACCTTTGGGGCTGCTGTCATGGTGAGAGGGAAGCTTGATAAATAAGAGGCTGGGCTTCTCTAGCTGCTTTAATGAAAATAGGGCCTCCTTTGTCTATCTTTTTTTAATTGGAGTTCCATGAAAGATTTGGTCTAGAAAAAGATTCATTTACTTAAAAAAATGAACTGAATTAGATAAACCTTCATATATATTTAAATTTATAGGTATAAATGTTAGGTCTGTCGTTTATCTCTGACAGCTTTTGAGAGCAATGTGCTGTGAAATATGAGACATCTGAAAATGATATCTTTTGAAATAAATATTTAGCAATAAATGAATGCTAGAAACTGGTACTTTTGTGGTTTTTAGACTGAAGTCTACATACCCTCAGCAATATGTGGTATTGTGCTAGCATATAGGCAAAGCCACAGGACAAACATACCAAGGAATGCTATTAAAAAGACCATAGCTATGCTGTGGAGCAGAGTGTAAAATGTGAAATAGAGGTATTACTAGCTCTACTTTGGTGGAGAAAAAATACAAGAATTCTTACCTAGGTTAAATCTCAGAATCTTACCCATTGCTCTTTTTTTCAATTGAAAATTTTTGTTGATATAATGTAGATTCATGTGCAGTTATAAGAAATAATATAGAAAGGTCCTTTGTACACATTGCCTAATATCTCCAAGTATTAAAATCTTACAAAATTAATGTATAATATCACAACCATGGTATTGACATTGATACAATCTACTGATTTTATTCAGATTTCCAAAGTTTTATTGGTACTCATTTGTGTATGTGTGTGTGTGTGTGTGTATTAAGTTCTAAACAACTATACCACATATCCATTACCATAGTCAAGATATTGAACAGTTCCAACACTATTGAGTCCTTCCTGTTAGCTTTTTTTCTTTTTTTCTTAGCTGAAAATAATCACTCTTAATGTTACCCTTTTGGAAACACACCTACCACTCTCTCAACCCTTCCTCCCTTGTCCCAAATCTCTGGCAATCACTAATCTGTCCTCTGTTTCTAAAATTCTGTCATTTCAAAAATGTTACATAAATAAAATTATACAGTGTATGACATTTTGGGTTTGGCTTTTTTCACTCAGTGTAATTCCCAGGAAGAGGTTCACACAGTTGTTTTTGTATCGGTAGTTTAGTCTTTTTATTGCTGAGTGTTATTCCATAGTATGTACCACGTATATTTAACCATTCACTGCACAAGGGACGTCCAGGCTGATTCCAAGCTCTGGCTATTACAGATAAAGCTACTGTGAATATTCATGTACAGGTTTTAGTGTGAACCTAAGTTTTCATTTCTCTAGATAAATGCCCAAGTGTGCAATTGCCAGGTCATGTTTAGTGTTTTTAAGAAAATGCCAAACTGTTTACAAAGTGGCTGTGTAAGAGTAATGTGGTTTCTTCACACCCTTGCCAACATTTTATGTCGTCCCTGTTTTTTCTTTTAGTTACTCAGACAGCATGTAGTGATATCTCATTATGATTTTAATTTGTATTTTTTCCCTAATGGCTAATGTTATTGAACATCATTTTATGTCCTTATTTTCCATTTGTACATTCTCTATGGTGAAATTTCTGTCTATGTCGTTTACCCATTTTCTAACTAGATTGTTATATATTCCTGATACTAATCCTAGATATATGGTTTGCATTTATTTGCTCTCACTCTGTAGTTTGCCTTTTCATCCTCTTCACATAGATTTAAAAGTTGAAAATTTTGAAGCAGTTTGTCAGTTTTTCTTTCTATGGCTCTTGCTTTTTGTGTCAAATCTGCCTTGTTCTAGATCCTGAAGACTTTCTCCTCTGTTTTTTCCTAAAAGTTTTATAGTTTCATGTTTTACATATAAGTCTATGATCCATTTTGAGTTAATTTTCGTGAATGATGTGATGTGTAGGCTTTTTGGTTTTTTTGCATATAGCTGTCCAGTTGCTCCAGGACCATTTGGTGTTGGTGATCCACTACTCTTTTAATGCATGACTCCATTTTGAAATTAAAATACTTTTGGAAAAGAGTGATAAAGCAGGTATAAGTTAAGATTGGTTCATTTGTCTCAGTAGACAGTCCTGCCTTAGGCAATAAATAGTTATCAGTTTTAAGTGTGGCTACTTGCATCATTAAATGTTTGAAATCAGAATTGACTTGGTATTTTGGTCTCTGGGCTGTATGTGTATGTGATTTTTTTTTCTGTCCTGTAATCAGGTGAATCCCAGACCTTGCTGGCAGCAGCAGTTGAGAGAGAACGTGCAGCTACAGAAGAACTCCTTGCTAACAAAATTCAGATGTCTTCCATGGAGTCACAGAATTCTCTTTTAAGACAGGAAAACAGTAGATTTCAAGCCCAGCTAGAATCAGAGAAAAATAGGCTGTGTAAACTGGAGGATGAGAACAATAGGTGAGCATGGTTTCTGAGTGATATTTTTGGTAGTTCCGTGACATCCTAAAGCACTTTTTAAAAGTATGTTGTTGGGCCGGGCGCCGTGGCTCACGCCTGTAATCCCAGCACATTGGGAGGCCAAGGCGGGCGGATCACTTGAGGTCAGGAGGTGGAGACCAGCCTGGCCAACATGGCGAAACCTACTCTCTCCTAAAAATAAAATTAGCCAGGTGTGATGGTGTGCGCCTGTAATCCCAGCAGCTCGGAGGCTGAGGCATGAGAATCGCTTACACCCGGGAGGCGGAAGTTGCAGTGAGCCAAGATCCCACCACTGCACTCCAGCCTGGGTGACAGAGTGAGACTCGGTCTCAAAAAAAAAAAAATAAATTAAATAAGTAAATAAACAAAGTATGTCGTTGGCTTTTAGCTTCAGGGTACCAAGAACTAAATGTAATCACTTTTAGCATTTAAAGTTAGGGTTATTAGTAATAGGATATTATGGCCGGGTGCTGTGGCTCATGCCTGTTATCCAGCACTTTGGGAGGCTGAGGCAGGTGGATCACCTGAGGTTAGGAGTTCAAGACCAGCCTGGCCAACATGGTGAAACCCTGTGTCTACTAAAAATACAAAAATTAGCCAGGCATGGTGGCAGACGCCTGTAATTCCAGCTACTCGGGAGGCTGAGGCAGGAGAATTGCTTGAACCTGGGAGGCAGAGGTTGCAGTGAGATTGCACCATTGCACCCCAGCCCGGGCAGCAGAGCGAGACTCCGTCTCCAAAAAAAAAAAAATAAATAAAGTAATAGGATATTATAACAAGAAGATAGTACTGGGATTCATTGTCATGTAGATTGTTGAGATTGTGTGGCATGTTTTGTATTTATTTTTTTTTCCAGGGAAAGGATTTGTACCTTTAATCAGATTTTTTAAAGGGGCCTATAACACCACAAAATAGTTTTGAGACTACTCTTTGGAGTTACTTTTATATTACAAGGATTTTAGTAGTATAATTTAAGTCTTTTCTAAATAAATTTCTGGGTTCTTGGAAACCATGGGGTGTAAAATCCATCTATCTGAGATTATATTAAGGCAATGGTTAGTATTTTTTAACCCTCTGTTCTTCCTTGGAAATTTTACTTTTTAAAAAAATGTCAAGTAAAAATGATTTCTAAAGTAAAATATCTGAACTTTTAGAAACATTTTCATAGAACTCCCTAATAAGCTTTGTGGAATCTGAGCATATTATAGGATGATGGTACTCAAAATTATTTTTATAAAGTCTCTTTTTAAATGAAATCTTAACCCAGAGCACCAATAAATAAAATGCACAGAAGTGGAGCTTTTTCACTTTTGGTTTGGTTTCTGAGTGAAACTCAGATGGGATCTGGAACACACTGTTGGAAAATCACTGATGTCAAGCTGGTAATAAAAATGATTTCTCAATATGTAGCTGGAGTTAATAAAGTACTGAGTTTTTAATAGTCTATACTAGCATCTTTTTCATTTTCTGTTTTTTTAAATTCTGCCTTGTTTAATAGGTACCAGGTTGAATTGGAAAACCTAAAAGATGAATATGTAAGAACACTTGAAGAGACGAGGAAAGAAAAGGTATTTCTCTTCGTGACCACTCAGCTCTTAGGGCATACATTAGAGAATGGTTGGGGATGGCAGCAAATTAATGAGATAACAAGATGAAATGGGTGATGCCACTGCTTTTGGAACTTGGTCTTTAGTAGGAAAACAAATATGAGTTTATACTTTATGCTTCTAACTTTGAGATTGACTTATCATGGCATGAATTACTATCACAGAAATTGTCTAACTTTATTTCTCTCTATTAGACATTGTTGAATAGTCAGTTAGAAATGGAAAGAATGAAAGTTGAACAAGAAAGGAAGAAAGCCATTTTTACTCAAGAAACAATAAAAGAAAAGGTATTGAATTTTGTTTTTGTTTGTTTGTGGTGTAACCATTTAGTAGATGCTGTGATTAATCATTGCTTTTTAATTTTAGCTATGCTTTATAACAAGCTTGTCCAACCTGTGGCCCTGGTTGGCATGTGGCCCAGGATGATTTTGAATGAAGCCCAACACAAATTTGCAAACTTTCTTAAATCATCATGAGATTTTTTTCATGATTTTTTTTTTTTTTTTTAGTTCATCAGCTATTGTTAGTATATTTTATGTGTGGCCCAAGACAATTCTTGTTCTTCAAATGAGGCCCAGGGAACCAAAAGATTGGACATCCCTGCTTTATAAGTATCATTTTTTTAATGTCTAAAATCAACATAGTGATGAATTCTAGTATTATAATCAGTGTCCTGCTCAGAGTGGACCCAAAGTAATTTTGAGTTTATCCAAAGAGATCTATGATTTCTAGGACTTGAAATATAAAACCTCTTGCCCTTTTTAAAAATGAATTTAATTGTCTGTCACTGAAACCAGTGCACATCATTTGGTCTATAGGCACTTAAGGAGTAAGTCTGGCTTGTTTTCTTTCTGGTTAATGAGGGTAATTTTTCTGAAATGAGTTTTCTGAGGCTGAGCATGGGGACTCACATCTGTAATCCCAGCACTTTGAGAGGCTGAGGTAGGTGGATCACTTGAGGCTAAGAGTTCAAGACCAGCCTGGCCAACATGGCAAAACCCCATCTCTACTAAAAATACAAAAATTAGCCGGGCATGGTGGCATGTGCCTGTAATCCCAGCTACTCGGGAGGCAGAGGTGGGAGAATTGCTTGAACCCGGGAGGCGGAGGCTGCAGTGAGCCGAGATCGCATCACTGCATTCCAGCCTGGGCAACAGATCGAGACTCTTTCTCAAAAAAATAAAAATAAATAAATAAATAAAAATGAGTTTTCTGTATTGAAAGAATTACCGTGTACTTGGAGTTAGCATAATATATTTAAACTACCGATAGGTAAATTTAAATTACCTATTGAATTTATTTGGAATTTTAAGAATACATTAAAAATAAAATGGATAAGCCAGAAATTTTATGATTTGTAACACTCATTAGTAATTTTATGTTACAGAAATAGGTTTAATTGATAGTATATTGTATAATATGAAGCTTAACAGAAACATTCTTATTCTATTATAAAAACCCAACAAATTACATTGTTGTAATAAATGGGTTCTGTGATGATCTAACCAAGTCTAGCTACAGTTTTAATTAGTAAATATTGTACTTTTTTTTTGTTTGTTTGTTTTGGAGACTGAGTTTTACTCTTATTGCCCAGGCTGGAGTGTAGTGGTGCTATCTCAGCTCACCGCCACCTCCACCGCTATCTCGGCTCACCGCAACCTCACCTCCCAGGTTCAAGCGATTCTGCCTCAGCCTCCCGAGTAGCTGGGATTACAGGCATGCGCCACCACGCCCAGCTAATTTTGTATTTTTAGTAGAGACGAGGTTTTTCCATGTTAGTCAAGTTGGTCTTGATCTCCCAACCTCAGGTGATCCACCCTCCTTGGCCTCCCAAAGTGCTGGGATTACAGGCATAAGCCACCATGCCTGGCCAAATATTGTATTTTTGACTTAAGAAGCCATTTTATGGGGAAATTAGAATGAATCTTAAAAAAGTTTTTTTTCTTCTTTTGATTGTATTGAATTCCTTTGTAGTGTGGCTTTTTTAAAAGACTGAATCTTTGTTCTCATTAACCCTAGGAAATGTTCTTGCTTTCTCTGCTTATCTCTTTGCTCTTTAATATGAACAGAATTTTTTTTACTCCCTAAGGAACGCAAGCCATTTTCTGTTTCTAGCACTCCCACCATGTCACGCTCAAGTTCAATAAGTGGTGTTGATATGGCAGGACTACAGACATCTTTTCTGTCTCAGGTGATGTTTTATTTTTTATATGTGCTTAGTTCTTAGAATAATAATAAAGGAAATATGCAAATGGCAATATTGTCTGTCATCATGACCTTGCCATTCTATGGGTAATTCATCTGAATACTTGTGGAGGAGTGCTAATTTTAGTGAGAGGAAACACGTGAATGATTTTCTGCCTTTGAGAAGACATTTAAAGCAAAAATTGACAGAACCATTTTTGTTCGAACCTGGTAATGGAAGACAAGCTATGATAACTGAGTAACTGTGTGAACTTTCTTAATTAACATAGGATGAGTCTCATGATCACTCATTTGGACCAATGCCTATATCAGCAAATGGAAGCAATCTTTATGATGCTGTAAGGATGGGAGCAGGATCAAGCATAATTGAAAACCTACAGTCTCAGCTAAAGCTAAGGGAAGGGGAAATCACTCATTTACAGGTATTGGAAAAATTAAATTTGCTATAGAAGTAAATGAAGTTTTGAGGCCTAATAAATAGCACCCTTCATTTCCATCTGAATTCTGAGCAAATTGAGAAACAAGATGACATAGTGGCATGTGAAGCCCAAAATGTATCACATATATCAATGATAAAGGCTAAAAAGAGAAATTAGCTAAGGATAACAGCCAACTGAACCTGCTAATTGCCAGAATTAGGCATATTCGGCTGATCTGTCACAGGAAATGCTGGGCTGGAGCAGGCCTCCCATGTTTTACAACCTGCCTACATAAGACATAAGCATCTAGGAGCAGAGAATCCCTCCTCCTTTCAAGCAGCTCTTTCCCAACAGAATAAAGGGAAGTCACTGAGCTGTGAATGCCTGTTCTATTCAGATTTACCTCTTAGATAAGTTGTTCCAGCTACCCCGGGAAGGAGGGGTAAAGGGGATGAGATGTTTGAACTGTAACACCCTGTACATGGGAGGAAACAACATGAGTTGTTGATGGAGCATCCTTCCATCTTACCTTTTTGGCTTTTAAAAAACTTTATGCAGTCAGAAATATTGAAATGTTTTACAGGTTTGAGCATCCCAGCTCTGAAATCTGAAATGCCCCCAAATCCAAAACTTTGAGTGCTGACATGCTGCTCAAAGGAAAAGCTCAATTGAGCATTTTGGATTTCCAGATTTGGGATGCTCAACCAGTAAGTACATAATGCAATTATTCCATAATCTGAAAAAAAAAAAAAAAAAAAAAGAAATTTGAAACATTCCTGGTCTCAAGCATTTTGAATCAGGATACCTCTTTTCAGTGTTAAACACAATACACTCAGAAGTAGGTAAAAATTCAACTCCCATTATATACTTTTAGTTATATGAAAATATTAAAGAACTTGAATTGGCAAAAAGTAGATCAGACTAATCTGAATCCCAGATGTTTGTATAGCTGGTATGCTATACAGGGACCTAATTAATTTCTTTGGTAGTGATGAAAGCCTCTGTCGATACAACCTACACAGGTGGGGCTACGTTAAAGTATATTTTTATTTCTCTGGGTTCTTGTAGTAATTTAGAATAACTGAAATATATGTCATTTCCTTAGATTAGAAAAATATATGGTTGAATGTTTTCAAACAAATAATTGGATTTATCTCTGTTGCACAGTAAACCTTATAAACGGTATACCTCTCAGGAAAGTTGGGACCGTTTTTCTGCCACTGTTTCCTTTACTTAAGAAAGAGCTAGCTCAAGGTTATATGTTGACATGTCTATTTCAAAAAAAAAAAAAAAACCACACACACATTAAATATTTTTATATTACTGGGAGTATTAAAAAAGATATGTTTTGATTTAAACTATTTTGTGGTAATGCTTCTCAGCTAGAAATTGGCAATCTAGAAAAAACTCGATCAATAATGGCTGAAGAACTAGTTAAATTAACAAATCAAAATGATGAACTTGAAGAGAAGGTGAAGGAGATACCCAAACTTAGAACTCAGCTAAGAGTAAGTATTCTTCACCTAAGGATGAGTCTAAGATATTTTAGTTCATTTACTTTAAATCTCATGTTTTTAATTTATAGTATGTGTTAGTGATTTATTTGAAAATTAAAGAGTACTAATATTTGAGCAAAGAAGTTTAAAAATGAATCTTTTATCTTGCTTGTATCTTTACATATTCAAAGTAATTTTCACAATCATGTTTAGTCCCAGTATAGGAAAAGAACTAGATTTCATTTGGCTACACTTCATTTATAACATTGAACTTTGTATGATCTTAGTAATATTTTGTTGATTGTTGTTATATGTATCATCACAATTGTCTCATCTGGATGTTAGAAGACACTGTTAAGCCATAAGTGAGAATATGTTTTCTTTTGATCTTTCCTGTGGTGTGGGCTAAATGCCGGGTAATACTTATACCACCATGGAACAAAGAGACTAAATTTTATATCAAGTGTGCTTACATTAATGGGAGAGAAGTCATATATGGGGAGAATTGTAGATTTAGTGGAGAGATAGGGTAAAATTGATAGCCATCTAGCTTGGTTTTTTTCTTTAATTCCTTTTTTTGCTATTTAGTTCAACATAGACTGAAGTGTGAGTTTAATTTTTAAAAGAGATGAGTATATACTTTTATTTAAATTGTAGTGTTTTCATTGTTGACTCCTATGGCAATATAAATATTAAAGATGTTCTGTGTAGTTATTTTAAAAATTGTAAACAAATACATTTTTCAGGATTTGGATCAAAGGTACAACACTATTCTGCAGATGTATGGAGAAAAAGCAGAAGAGGCAGAAGAACTTCGATTAGATCTCGAAGATGTAAAAAATATGTACAAAACTCAAATAGATGAACTTTTAAGACAAAGTCTCAGTTAACTTGTGAAAATTGAATTCCCATCAAACTGAATGTAAGCATTTAATATCTAAACATTTAATGTGGACTTCCAATAAATTCTTTTATAGAATTAGAAAGTGGGATTTACTGTAGAGTGTAAAAATTTTTTTAAAATTGTTTTACACTATGTAGTAATATTTACAGTTAAATTATTTTGTGCAATATTTGAACTTTATTTTTGAAACTATTCTTTAAAGATTTATTTTTTAAAGCATTCATTTTTTTTCCTTGAATAGCACAGAGATTTATTACTTTATCCTCATATAAATATGGCTAGAGAAGAAGAATGGTGTTCATATATGTATTGTAGATATACAACTAGTTGTATCTATAATTTGTAAGTGTTTATATATATATTAAGAACATTTGAAGAGTAATGTTAACATACTGAAACTTTGAAATCTTTCACATTTAAAATTTCAACATATCTTAATTACTGCTCATGAAAATGTACATTAAGTGTTAAAGTAAAAAATTATTAAATCTGTGGCTATTAAATTTTAAACTAATTTTTTTCCTTTAAAAGTAAGAGTCACACTGACACTGTCTGAAATTTAAAGAGTGAATGATTTAAACTTAAAAAAAATTTTGATCTGAAAATTTATTTCACCCAGCTTTCACAATTAAGTCTGTATAAAATGTGGTACCTTTTGGTACCTATCCAGAGAAACCTGTACATATTCAATGTTATCTAGATGTGATTGGATAATGGAGAAAATTTATTTATAATGATTTTGCAATGGCATCAATAACATTTAAATGATTTTGAAGAAGTATTATTTTACTACCCTATAAAATGAATCGAAAATAATAAAGTTCTTAACATAATTTACTCTTTAAAAATTACCTGTTCATATTTTGTAAACCCATATTTTTAGCACATTAAAAATGAATGTTTGATATTACAGAATATTCATAACAAAATGGAAGAATTATAGGAATTAACTTGAATTTGGCATTTTTAATTTTGTGATTTATCATTTTATTTTTTCTTGAAATTTCAAACACAAGGAAAGCATAGAATAGCTTTTAAAAGTAGCTATGCCTTCTTCCAAATGTTATTTTATTCAAAAAGGTAACCAGGTTGTGTTTTAAACCTGTGAAATATTGTGATGCATTTTATTACTGAAAGTTATTTAACTGCCTTTACTTGCACATAAAAACTCTCATTTACGGCCAGGTGCTGTGGCTCATGCCTGTAATCCCAGCACTTTGGGAGGCCAAGGCGGGCATATCACCTGATGTCAGGAGTTCAAGACCAGCATGGCCAGCAGTTTGGTGAAACCCCATCTCTACTAAAAATACAAAAATTAGCCTGGCGTGGTGGTGTGCGCCTGTAATCCTAGCTACTCGGGAGGCTGAGGCAGGAGCATTGCTTGAACCTGGGAGGTGGAGGTTACAATGAGCCAAGATTGTGCCACTGCACTCCAGCATGGGTGACAGAGAAAGACTCCGTCTCAAAAAAAAAAAAACAAACTCTTATTTAATTTTTAGTTAAAATTAAAACACTAGTACTTCAGAATATAGATACAAGTACACCATCTTGAAGAATTTGGAGTTTTTCAGGGCAATTCAAATGACCTCATTTTTTGTTCTTTTTGTATTCCAGACAGTGTTTCTGTCATTGGATCTCTGATTGGTAGTGTTAATAAATATTCTTTCAGTGTGAGCCAGATTCATAAAATTAATTTTCTTCATTTTAGTAGTAAAAAGTAGTCTAATAGCTTTTTGTCAGCTTGATTTTTTTGTGTGTGTAATATTCAAGGGCAGAATGACAGGACAGATAAGCAATAAGAAATGTATAGAATTAGAAAATATAGTAGTTCCCTCTTACCCATGGGACATACGTTCCAAGACCCCCAGTGAACGTCTGAAACCATGGATAGTATAGACACCTCTATACACTGTTTTTTCCTATACATATATACCTATGATAAAGTTCTATTTATAAATCAGGGACAGCAAGAGATAAACAATAACTGCAAATAGAACAATTATAACAGTGCACTGTAATAAAAGTGATGTAAATGTGATATGTCTGTCTCTTTCTCTCAAAATATCTTATTGTACTGTACTCACCTGTAATCAGACTGTGGTTGACCGTGAGTAACCGAAACCACAGAAAGCAAAATCGTGGATAAGGGGAGACTACTCTATATGAAACTTAAGTTACAAAATTCTCTGAAGCATTTGAAACTAGACGTTTTGGAATTATAAAATAGTCCCTTTAAAATATCCACTAGTAGAAAAAAACTTCATTTGCAGAGAAAAGATTGCAATAAAACTCATTCCTAAACTTTTCAATTTTATAAAATTAAACATTCTTTTTTTATCCGTATTAACAATTTCTAGTTACATAGTTTCTAGTTACATATTACCATATATTACTCTTTATCTACAAATAAATAGCTGATACTCAAACTGATCATATTTTGATTGTTAAACACTTGGATCTCTCAATACTTCTGTAAGTTAAAGTGAACTTAAACAGTTTCTTGAAAAACTCCAGTAGGTGGCAGAATACCTATTGAATATTCGTTGCTATACTTTGCTGTTTGTCATTAAAACATCTCTACCCATATTCTTGCAAAATAATATTTATATTTTAATGGATAGGAAAATGATTTGCAATTAGATGTTTCCATTCTTGAAAGAAAAAAGCTGCAAATAACATTTTCAAGAATATAAAAAAATGAGTAAACAAAGGGAAGGTTGTTTGGTCATTTATAGACAATTAAGCACAGACTGTAGATGTCCTTCCAATTCTTGGGAGGCTAAACTGAGTCTACCATTTCTTACATTTCTTTTACCTATTTTTTGAGAATTGCCAGTTGTACAGTGTTTAGCATGTGGAATGTACCAAATATATCTATGTTGTGACTTAAGATATTCTAAATGTGGATAACTTCTGACCTAGGAAACATGAAGTTTGTAGTGAAGTAAGTGAAAAGAATGTTCAGGAAATTTTTTTTCTCCATCTCTTCAGTTGGCATTTATTGAGAGTTTTATTTGAATGCTTATTAAAAGTATATGATTTATAATATTTAGAAAATAGAAGAAAAAAGAAAACTGTAGATGTTTTATCTTGTTTTAATACTGTATGTTTAGTACGTATACATTTATGTTCTAGTGTATCAAAATTTTTCATTTTCATTAAAGTGAATCCAATTTTCCATATTCTAGGTCCATTTTAAACCATGAAAACTTTAATCACATATTTTGTAAAGGGCTGAAAGTATGATTTAAACTACAGATTGATATATTTTAATTCTAAATGAAAGGTAATGTAAATAAGCATGGATCTGATTGAATAAAGATTTTAAAATAGTAATAGTGTATTTCATTTTTAACAAAATTTATAGTGGTCAATAGTAATGAGTGAAGAATGAATATTGTTTTATGAAAATATAACTTGTTTACATTTGAGATTAATATTTTAAGAAAATGAAGCCCTAATTTTCTATAAGTTACATTATTAGTATTAAGTGTAGTTTTTTTTTTTTTTTTTGACAGAGTCTCACTCTGTTGCCTGGGCTGGAGTGCAGTGGTGTGATCTCAGCTTACTGCAGCCTCTGCCTCCCAGGTTCAAGTGATCCTCCTGCCTTAGCCTCCCAAGTAGCTGGGATTACAGGTGCGCACCAGCACATCCGGCTAATTTTTGTATTTTTAGTAGAGATGGGTTTCACCATGTTGGCCAGGCTGGTTTCGAACTCAAGTGACCTGCCCACCTTGGCCTCCCAAAGTGCTGGGATTATAGGCATAAGCCACTGCGCCCGGCCCTAAGTTCATTATCTTCTAATGAAGATATGTTTTCGGAAAACACAGTGCTAAGAATTTACTTATAACTAGCTGGTAACTACTGTAAGGATAGTTTGTGTCAGTTTTTAATCTTAAGCAATATCAAGACATTCTTCTAAAAGTCTTATGTTTCTGTATTCAAGTAATAACAACAGTTAAAATAAGTTATCCTCTATTTCTGAGTTCATATTGCTTGGATTAAGCTCTGTAACCTTTAAAGTACTTTTAATCTGTTGCCTTTATACATACGCATTTTACCTTTTAGCAAATTAAGATCTTTTTGTAAGACAGACTGGAAATGAAATGTATTTCTCCTTAGTACTTAAATACCTTTTCTCAAAACAAAACAAAAAAACTCAAAATGCTTCAATAATTCACAAATACGGTAAAGAGAATTTACTCTTAGAACTGTCTGGAATTCCCCACACTGCCCTACTCCCAAGTAGCCTAAATTTAATATTTAGAATCGCAAATAACATTAAACAAGAACGTAATGGCAGGTTTTTCTGTTTGTTTAATATTAAACATTCTTCTTGCTTTTACAGGTATAGGCACAGCATGGTAGATAGAGGTATTCCTTCCATTTTTATAAAATGCCATGCTGATTTGTCTGTTTTAAAATTACAATCTTAATTTTTAAAAATATACGTTGTTCAAAAATCTGTGGTCAGGTTGGTAATAGGAAATATAGTCTTTTCTTCTTTTTTCTTTTTTTGGGAAACATAGTCTTATTTTGTTCCAAACACTGTGTAAGGAATTCACTTATGTAGGATTATAATCCCATAATCATTGTTCTGAAATCCACAAAGCTCTAAAAACCATACATATTTTAATACATTTGCTGTTAAATCTACTTCGGTGGTAAAGCCTGCACTGCACTGACATAGGGCTATGTATAGTCTTTAACTCATTTGGTGTGAATACTCATACATTTTGCTGCAGAAATACTGTGTGAGATTATGGGGTACTCACCCAGGACTCAGTGGGGGGGGGGGGGTATTAAGTTAAACGATGGGCATATCTATTCTATTTTTTAAAGTTCAGACACACACAGGGACCCAAGGATTTTGGAAAAGGAAGTGTGTACCCACACTTTATCATCAAGTCAACCTTTTAAAATGGATGCCATTATCACCCCCATTTTTAAAAATAAAGATTAAGTAAATTGCTCAAGGTCATATGGCAAGTAAGTGGCAAAGCTGGGATTCTAATTTGTGCAGTTTGGCTCCAGAGTCTATGATTTCAATAATTAATTATATGGTGCTACTTTTCCTACTGCTTTTCTGTAAAATCATAAGCATATAGATCAGTTACAGCCAAAATTTATTCATTAAAAATGTCAACACCTTTTAATTATGGTCTAACAGTTGGATGAGAGAACCAGTATACTACATTCTGCTGATATTGTTAGCAATTTACTCATTGTAATTTGTTGGATTTGTCTCAAATTTTTTAAGCCATGCATTCTTCCATCTCTGTCTCTCTTTTTCTTAATTCTTGCAATTTCGATGAAGTTTCTTATTTGTAGAAAAAACTAGGTCATTTGTCCTATAGTTTCCCTCCATCTGGATGTTGATTTCTTACCTTTTGTTAGTGTGTTCCGCCTCCTGTGTTTAAATCTAAAGGCAATTATTTTTCAACAAAAATACTTCATTAGGTGGAAGTGTATTCTTCCAGCAGGAGACAGATAATTCCTGATGGTTTCTCAGTTGTGATAAAGAAATAATTGATGATCACTTCTTAAATCTATTAGTTCACAGAGCTTGTGGAGTGATATTGTCATTTCTTTTTCATTTAGTAGTTGGAATGTTTCCATAAAAAATTTACTTCAGTTATTTTGTTATTTGCATCATAATTCATACAGGAAAGACAGTATAAATATTCCTGATTCTTTCCCTTTGTTTACCAGTTTTCAGAATAAGAGTTGGTTTCCTTCTGTCATTAAAAATGAACAGCGATACCTTTTTGGCTTGCATGTTTGGTTGATTGGTCGTGTCTGATATGATTACTTAAATGTATCTGTCCTTCATCCAATTACAGTTACCTTTATTTATGTTTTAAATCATCCTATCTTTGGCCAGTAGGAAGGTTTTCAAGGTGGATCCTGAGTCCTTTTGATATGACCCTAATAGCCTTTTGATTGCTTTGCTGCTTCCTGATGTAAGATGTTGCAGGCTTATCTTGTACATTTCCTGCTCCAGACCCAAGATCATCCATTGTTCTATGGAGTCAGTGTTTCTTTTAATGGGAAATGGTTGGTAGAGATCACAGTGTGAGCGCAAGGGGGTGCTTCTTCCTCCTGGGTAGCTTGTCTCTAGGCCTTTTCAATGGAGCACGTAGGAGAGATGTGTTTTTAAAGATTAACCATACTGTTAATCATACTGAGGCCTCCAACTGAAATTCAGAACTACAGGATGTTTATATAGCCTGATTAAGCTTTCATATTTCTATCTCATGTCAAAAATTTCAGCTTCAAAGGTACCATCATAATTACTTCAACTTGGTGTATCCCATAATACCAATATTGCCACCAACAATTTGGTTACGGAATGCAGTCTACAAAAGAGTTTTTTTGTACTTTAGTCCTGAGAATACATCCCACTAAGTATATACAAATTAAGTTTTAAAGTCACTTGGGATAGCTCCTCTGGGTGATATGCCACAATTGGAAAACATTTAGGTTCATTTAGTTTCATTTTACTTTCAAGGATTGCTTTTTAAAAACAGAATTTTGCTTTATAATGTAACATATTTACATGACTTCAAAGTCATGTCTTCACGCCAGGCGTGGTGGCTCACGCCTGTAATCCAAGCAGTTTGGGAGGCTGAGGTGGGCGGATCACTTGAGGTCAGGAGTTCGAGACCAGCCTGGCCAATACAGTGAAACCCCGTCTCTACTAAAAATATAAATATTTGTCAGGCATGGTGGCGCATGCCTGTAATCGCAGTTACTCAGGAGTCTGAGGGAGAAGAATTGCTTGAACCCAGGAGATGGAGGTTGCAGTGAGCCAAGATTGCACCATTGTACTCCAGCCTGGGCAAAAGAGTAAGACTCTGTCACACACACACACACACACATACACACACACACACACACACACACCAAAAAACAAAGTCATGTCTTCTTTGTTCCTTATACCCCTCCTCTTCCCTCCTTGCCCATATAGTCATTTTAAATGTTAATCTACTTGTAAAATAATAATTAGTAAATATATATGTGTATACACATGTATACACACATATTCCTCTTAGAAAAATGATATTTACATATTACATATCCTTTTCCCACTCAATATTCTGTAGTGTACAGAGATATTTCTCAATTCCTTTTTATGCATGCATAGTTTTACATTGTATGGATAAACCATAGTTTATTCAACCAGCCTTCTATTGGTAGACACTTGAGTTTTATGTCAGCTCAAAGAAAATTTAAATTCTAACATTGGTATTTTGGAGAGAAATTCTATTTGAGAATGGCTGTTACAGTAAGAGAGACTCAATCTCATGTTCAGGTTTATCATATCTGGTTTCCTGTAAGTCTGAATGACCATTCAATATGTAGGTGTTTAAAATAGCACCACATAGCCAGGCGTGGTGGCTCACAACTGTAAACCCAGCACTTTAGGAGGCCGAGGCTGGAAGATCACTTGAGGCCCGGAGTTGGAAACAAGTGCTGGGAACATAGCAAGAACCTGTTTCTACAAAAAAAATAAAATAAAATAGTACCATGCACATGTCATACTGATTTTAACCTTTTTGTATGTGACAAAAATAGGATGGTAGCAAGTAGGCTGAGGAAGCTTTTTTTTTTTTTTTTTATGAGACAGGGTCTCACTGTGGCCCAGGCTAGAGTGCAGTGTCTCAATCATGGCTCACTGCAGCCTCAACCTCACTGGGCTCAAGCGATCATCCTGAGTAGCTGGGACTACTGGCATGAGCCACAGTGCCTGGCTTGAGGAAGCATTTTAAAAAATTACTGTCATTAGTGTGGGATGGTGAAGTATGCAAAGTATAAAATAATAGAGCAGTAATTCTGTTATAGGAAAGGGGTCCCAATCCAGACCCCAAGAGAGGGTTCTTGGATCTCGAGCAAGAAAGAATTCAGGGCAAAGTGTAAGCAAGTTTGTTAAGAAAGTAAAGGAAAAAAAAAAAGAAAGTAAAGGAAGAAAAGAATGGCTACTCCATAGACAAAGCAGCCCTGAGTGCTGCTGGTTGCCCATTTTTATGGTTATTTCTTGATGATATGCTAAACAGGTGGATTATTCATGCCTCCCCTTTTAAGACCATATAGGGTAACTTCCTGACATTGCCATGGCATTCGTAAACTGTCATGGCGCTGATAGGAGTATAGTAGTAAGGACTACCAGAGGTCTCTTTCATGGCCATCTTGGTTTTGGTGGGATTTAGCCGGCTTATTTACTGCAACCTGTTTTATCAACAAGGTCTTTATGACCTGTATCTTGTGCCGACTTCCTATCTCATTCTGCGACTTAGAATGCTTTAACGGCCTGGGAATGCAGCCCAGTAGGTTTCAGCCTCATTTTACTCAGCTCCTATTTAAGATGGAGTTGCTCCGGTTCACATGCCTCTTGACAGTTCCCTTAGAGGCAAAATCTTTTCAATAAAAAGAATAAATTAATACTGTAAAGTGCTTTAAAACAATGTTTGGCACATGTTAAACACCACATGTTCTTGCTGTTATTATTTGAAAAAAATTCCAGGTAAGATTCCTAATTTAGCAGGTCACTAATGGAACTTGTAACAATTCTTAAACAACATTACTTTTAAAAATTACGTAAAAAGCATGTAAGCCTTTGGAAACAAACTTGTTTCCTTATGATCATATTATTTAACTTCTGGTGACTATATTCATTTGAGCATGTTTATTTTGAAGTCATCACCTTCATATAATCAGTTCAACTTTAGTCACTATTTAATGATCAACTCTACTGTGCTGTAGATGGAATACTAGGCCTGGGGGAGCTTAGAGGAAAAGACAGTGGGGGATGGGAGTTCAAATAATTATAAGCAGTAATAAAGTAAATTAACAAAACCATAAAAATTAAACTCCACAGAGTAGCATTTGAACTTGATGAGTTTACGGATAGGTAAAACTATACTGCTTTTAAAATGTGTGTGGACTCCAAAGTATCCTCACCATCACAAAGTGTATTCGGTGAACGATGTTCAGTCCCCAAATTTGGAAGTTAGGGCGGCAACTTCTGCTTGAAATAAGACAAAAGTAAAAATCCACCTCAGTGCAACGCAGAAGACACGAAGAGTCAGGTTTTCTACCCACCCCGTCCTAACATCCTCTGAGCGCTTTAACGCTCTCGCTCAAGGAGGCGCGGGCTGCTGCGATGGAGATGGGCGTCCGGCGCCGGCACGTGCCGTCGGTCTTTCCGGCCCTGGTGAGGGAGCTGGCGGACTCGCGCGAACGTTCGCGGGAGAACGCCAGGAAGGGCAGATGGTTCCTCGACTCTGAGCCCCTCCCTGCTGCGCTCGCCGGGTCGAGGCCGCTCGCCGGGCTGAAGCCGCTCCGAGCGTCGGGCCCCGCGCCCTGGCCCTCCTGGGTGTAGTCCCGGTCCTGCCTCTGCGGGGCCCGAGCCCGCCCACGGCGCCGGCTGGCCAAGGTGTCCCAGCTGCTCCTTGGCGCCCCCTGGCCCAGCTCCCGCGCCCGAGGTTTCCGGTGAGCGGCAGTAGCCGGTTATGACGACTCCCTCCTCTGGAACAGCCGCCGTCTCCTCCGCCTCCTCCTCGGTAGTTCACGGCTGCCCCGGCTCCAGGTGGGACTCCCCCGCAATCTGCGGAGCCTTCCCCCGCTCTCCTTCCCGCCGCCGCAGCGCTCTGCGCTGTTCTTGCCCGGGTGGTAGCCGCTCCCGGCGCGGCTTCCCGGAGGGCTATAGCCTACGCACGCACTCCGCCCGCGCCTTCCCATTCCCTGCGGGCCGGGAGGCGGGCGTCGGAAGCCGATCCTGGCCCTCCCCGGCCCCGGGCGCCCGGCCCCTTCCCAGCGCCCGGAGCGCAGGCGGGCCCCGGGCCCTAGCCGCGTTGACCAGGTTTCCAGCCGGGGCGGAGCCGCTCCCCGGGGCCCCTCCCAGGCGCGCTGGGGACCCGGGGCGCCGCGGTGCACGGTGGCGGGCGGCCCCGGGAGATCACCGACCCCGAAGCAATCCCTGGCGGCGCCCGGGGTCCGGAACCCCAGCGCGGCGTCTCAGCCGCGGCGGGGTGCTCGCCACTGACCCCTCAGCCCTTGGCCGGGACTGACGTTCAAGCGGACAGCTGGGCTCTGCCGGGACTGACGTTCAAGGGGCAGCCGAGCACTTCCTGAGCCCTGCCTGGCACCCGCCGAGAGACTTTTTGGCACAAGTAGGGGCCAGCCGTTGAGGTGTCATTCGGGGTCTCACGTGTTGAACTTTCCATTTGCCCACTGCCGTCTTTAAACTTTTCCAAGCTCTCTCTCTCTGCGACATTGCCCCATTTCGCCCGCTGTGTCAACCCCAGGTTTTGCCTCCTATCCATCATCTTTCAGATGTTTCCCTTTTTTCCTTCCTCATTAGGCCTGTGGAAATCGAATCAAGGGTTTCTGGAGTGGAGTGATTCCAGCTGCTTTGAGCTGAAGGAAAAGTAGCCTGGCCAGTAAAGCGTCCGTGTGCTGGAGGAGTGCAGCCACCCATCCCGGCGGGCCTTGCAGGACGACCGACACCAGGAAGGCTTTGTGCCAGGCCCAGCAGCCACCCCCAGCCGCCTTATGCAAGTGGGTACATGCCCTCGCCAGACGCCAGCTTTCTGATCTGCGTCTTTAGATTTTTTCCATCGCCTAAGCGTTACTTCTCCACTGATCGGTGAGTTTAGTGATGGCCAGAGCTCACTGGAGGACAATGGACTTGGATAACCAAAGGTCAGGGCTTGGTCATAACAATGACTTTATTACCGGGAAGGACGAGTCAAAAAATAGGAAGGCCTGGGAACCCTCAGGCTCGCCACTCTAGGTGGGTAGCCCTGTGATTCAGCCAGTGGGATTACTGCTGTGAGAATGGGAAAGTTGTTTGCTTCTGGGAATGTTTGATCCACTAAGTATCCTGTTGGCCAGTTCCAGTGGATGCCTGTAGAAAGTGGGCCACCTCCTCCCGTTCCCCATTGGAATCTGGTCCGAGTTGCTGTGTTGGGGGTGGTGCCTGTGAACTCGAGTATAGCAGTGTGGTATTCATTAAGGAAAAGAAAGCGCACCACCGGCCAGGCCTTCTGGCTGAGAGTTATCACGTTACATTATTTTCTTTCTTAATATTTCCTTTAATTCACAACATCATCTGAATGATCAGGTTTACTTTAGCATCCTTTTAAGGTAATATGTTTCATTTCTGACAGGTTTTAGAGACCTGAAACATCACAGAAGCTTCTGAGTGGTTCTGAAGATTCAAGAGGTATATATTTTTATTACAAGTAGAGTCATTGTTACTATTAATATGTGTTTTTAAATTTTTATAAAACTGCTGTCAACTCATTCTTGGATAAAAGCTCCAAGTGAAAATGTTATTGTAATTCAGATCAGATTTACAGCAGATAACACCATACTCTTGAGGGCCGCCAAAGTGAAAAACCACAATACTTAACTACTCCAAGGGGGGAAAATGGGGGAAAAAGGATTCCTTTTTGGTGTCCCCACTGTTCACTTAGAATTCCATGGCCTTGGAACTTGAGGTTTGATGGAACATAGCAGTCAATTTCCTTTTCTTCTTTCTTTCTTTGTTTTTTTTTTTTTTTGAGACAGAGTCTCCCTCGCATTACCCAGGCTGGAGTGCAGTGGCGAGATCACGACTCACTGCATCCTTGACTTCCCAGGCTAAAGTGATCCTCCCACTTCAGCTGGGACTACAGCTGATTTTTTGTATTCTTAGCAGAGACCGGGTTTCATCACGTTGCCCAAGCTGGTCTCGAACTCAGGGACTCAAGCAATCTGCCAGTCTTGGCCTCCCAAAGTGCTACTATTACAGGCCTGCAGTCTGTTTCTAAAGGTTCCATCTTCACAGCCCATAATCAATGAAGACTGATTTCGAAAGTTGGGTTTTCCGGTATGACCCAGGAAACAGCAGTCCTAGCTGATGAACATCCAGTGTGTATTAAGACTCTGTCATCCAGTGGAAAGAGCACTTAAAAAAAAAAAAAGAACAAAGATCCCACTAAAGTGACCTGAGAATGGCAGGATCATTGTCTGGGATATATAGGAGAAATCTGGTCCAAGAGATTTAACACTTACTGGGTGAATTAGAAATGCAGTGAGGTTTCTGACCATTATCACTGTTCACAATGTAAAGGCATGATGGGAGAGCTTAAGGGCACAGTCTTTGAGGCAGACTGCTTAGTGTCCTGGAGTTTCTAAGTCTTAGCTATTATAGCTGATTATTATACCTACTAGCATGTAAGCTTCACAAGGGCAATGAGTTTAGTTCGTGACTGCACCTTCATTGCTGTATCCTGAGTACAGAAGCGCTCCTGGAACATTGTCTGTGCTCATACCTTGATTATGATTATAATTTTTTATTCAGCAGACACACACTTGCTCAGAGCCATCCCACTCCCTTTGCTCTCTCACAGATACTTTTCCCCTCCTCATCATTCAGATCTCAGCTTTAATGTTATTTAGGCCCCTTCTCTGCCCCACATGGCTTTAAACTTTTATTTAATAAACATTTCCATAGCATTTAGCATGTGCCAGATAGTTTTCGAAACACTTTACCAATAACTAACTCATTTAACTCATGACAGCTCTATGATGAAGGTTTATTATTATTTCCATTTTACAGATGGGAAAGCTTAGGTGCAGAAAGGTTAAGTAACTTGTTCCAGGTCTTACAGCTGGGAAGCTGCAGATTTGCGATTCAAATCCAGGTGGTTAAGCTTTAAATGTTCACCATGCTATGTTGTCTATCATATTACTTTATTTAGTTTCAGGTATCACTAAACTGGATCCTATCAAGCCCTTCCATAATTTTTGTAAGTTAAAAAGTTTTATTGGAACACAGCCTCATCCATTCTTTTATAATAGACCATGGCTACTTTTTTGGACAGAGGCATTGTTGTGTAGTTGCCACAGAGATCTTATGTCTGGCAAAGCCAAAAATATTTACTGCTTCTCCTTTACAGGAAAAGTTTGCTGGCCCCTAGTTGGTTTGATTCACAGGCCCAGTCATCAGCTGAAGTTGTTTATTTGATTGCTTGTTTATGACAGTTGTAGTAGGTTTAAAGGCACCATGAGAGCAAGGCTCTTTCTTGTTTTGTTCACCTCTGTATACCCATTTGCTAACGTGGTGCCTGGCACCAAGCAAGTGCTCAAAAAAAATTGAATAAAGGATCATTATTCAGTGGGATAGCAAAGTGCTTTGTAATTATACTTAGCCCTTGACCCTTTGTTTTTTTTTTTTTTTTGTTGTTGTTGTTGTTGTTGTTTTGGCTTTTAAAGGAAATTTGTTAACAAAGTTGTCTTCATTTTGATCTCTAGGTTTGCAGGTTGCTATGTTAATGTTGTTTGTCTTTGGAGTCTTACTTCATGAAGTCTCACTGAGTGGTCAGAATGAAGCTCCTCCTAATACTCACAGCATTCCAGGCGAACCTCTGTATAACTATGCCAGCATCCGCTTGCCAGAGGAGCACATTCCCTTCTTTTTGCACAACAATAGGCATATTGCCACTGTCTGTAGGAAAGACTCTCTTTGTCCATATAAGGTAGGTATTATTTCTTTTCTCCTTATTTTTATGAGGATGCAATTTCAGCTGGCTTACAGGTTCTGCTTTATAACCTGAAACTGAAGGCAGAATTCTAATTTTCGGTTGTCACTGTATAAGTTAATCATTGTTTCATATAATACTTCTAAGTGACTAAACTGCTTAAAATTATGTCCCATTCATAAGAGAGAAATTTAAAATCTAAATCACTTCTAAAACAAATAAGTAGCCAATACTATTTGTAAACTCTGTAAAGAAGCAATTAGATTTTATGCAGGAAAGAACATCTTGTTAAAAGTAACTAAAGAATTTCACACCTCTTCTTTCTTAAACGGCACATGAGAGGATCGGTTAGCACTTAATTTCAGTAATAACACCTCAGCCTCTGTCTCCACATAATTAAGCCTGTTACTGTGGCTTTCTTTCTGTTTTAGAGGAGTTGGAAAGGCCTCAAATAGGAGCCCATTAAGACATCTCACAGGGCCCCAGAGATCAAAGCTGGGCATTGTGAGACACTTCCTTTCCCATGGTGCTGGCACAGGAAGCATATGGAAAAGCAGACTTGGGAATCAGACCAGCATTGCTCCTGGGGCCTTGCAGAAGAGCATTCTCAACTCCTTGGCCAGCAGCAGCTGGGTGGTTCCCAAGGGTGGCAGAGTTGTCCATGTGTTGTGGGGTCTCTGCTGATCTTGATTGCTAAGTGAAGTTGCTGATTGATTCAGTTTAGCTGTGATTCCTTTGGTAGCACAAATTCCAGTTTATATGTCTTTTAGGGACTGATTTTAGAATCCGCTTGCTCACTGAGAAAGGTGGTTTCTTAAGCTACTTCAAGAAATTCAAATTCAAGTGGTCTTTGAGCGTCTAGGTAAAGCCCAGACTTTCGGTTAGGGGACCGATATGGTGGGGGTGATGAGTAAGGAGGATTGTTAAGAACCTTGAGACTGCTCTTTTTAGAATTAACTGTAAGTTTTAAATTTATTGTTATAAGAATACGTATTATAAATGTAAATGTGAATGCTCTATAATGATTTGTTTTCTTAATGGAAAAATCTAAGAGTCTTCTCTAAATGTCAGAAGAAGGGAAATCAATGTAAGTTTTATGTTCTAGAAACACCTAGAGAAGCTAAAGTACTGCTGGGGTTATGAGAAATCCTGCAAACCAGAGTTCAGGTTTGGTTACCCAGTTTGCAGCTATGTCGACATGGGATGGTAAGTTTCCATATGGAATACCCTCTTCAAGTCTTCCTCTTTCTATACAGTGTATGTTGATGCCCTAATTTCCAGCTAGATTCTTTTGGTTTTAGATAGTAATTCATTTAGATATTAATTTGCTTGCACAGTCATGAATTCAACTTGACTATTTCATACTGGGATAGGAATATCTGTCATTTCCTCTGCCAGAGGGAGAAACAGCCAGGACCATAGATAATTTTTTCCCCCAGTGTATAGTAAGAAGATAAATGGATGGTTTCTTCTTGATTCTTCCTGGGAGAATTAAGTATAATTAGTACTTCCAATACATGCAATGTTAATGAGGTAAAGAAAATATAGTAATTAAGAATGCATCATTGGCTTCAGTTTCAGGTGATAACTTCATACATGTCTGTTATGTATTTTATGATAAAGGAATAATTCTGTGAATAACTTAGTTTCGTAACTTCATGTAGTGAGGCGTAGTTTTGGAAAAACTATGATAATATACTGTAACAAAATTAAAGTAATAAGGAACCTCTAGCATTTTAACCTTTAGAATGAAAATTCAAGGTCCAAAAAAGTAAAAAGAAAAAAACACAGAATATTTTTATTTGCAAATAGGACGGACACTCTTGAGTCAGCTGAGGACATATTTTGGAAACAAGCTGACTTTGGATATGCCAGAGAGAGGCTGGAGGAGATGCATGTGCTCTGTCAGCCTAAGGAAACGGTGGGTATTTTGCTCCTTACTAAATAAACTTGTTTATTTAATTTTAATTTTATTTATTTTTGAGACGGAGTTTCTGTCTATTGCCCTGGCTGGAGTGCAGTGGCGCGATCCCAGCTCACTGCAACCTCTGCCTCCCAGGTTCAAGGAATTCTCCTGCTTCAGCCTCCTGAGTAGCTTGGATTACAGGCGCGTGCCACCCCCCCCCGCTAATTTTTATATTTTTAGTAAAGGTGGGGTTTCGCCATGTTGCCAGGCTGATCGCGAACTCCTGACCTCAAGGGATCCACCCACCTCAGCCTCCCAAAGTGCTGGGATTACAGGCGTGAGCCACTGTGCCCAACTAAGCTATTTTATTTTTATTACTTATTATTGATTTTTAATATTTATCATTTAGCTTGTAATGTAAAAACAAGATAGACGGCACTATGAAAGGAATTCCTCACTCTCACTTAGTTATTGGCATAGAATTTTATGTAACTTCCCCAAATAGGTTGTTTTCTTTCCTTTGGAAACCCTGTCCTCCTTATCCCACATTTATCAGATAGTCATATTTTAAGACAGTCGAAATATTTTTAGGTTTAGAATCATTCCCCCAAACATGTGCTAATGAAGAGAAATTGATAAACTGCGTCTTTACAAATTCATTCTCAGATAGTTTGGGACAGATGATATAACACCACCATACTGCTCTATATTTGCCCAGAGCTTTACAGTTTGCAGAAAGCTTTTCTGTGTGTTATCTCGTTTGATGCTTATAAGCGTTATAGCAGATACTACTGATGCCACTTTATCAGTATGGAAAACAGGGTCCTCAGAGGAGTTAAGCAACTTCTCCAAGACTGCACAGCTACCTTTTAAAATTAATTACACATCTAGGATTAAAATGCAGGTTTTTTTCCAGTTTACTTTCAACCATACCATATCGTACCTCAGTGGATCAGATAAACACGTTGTCAAGAGGTGGTTTGGGGTAGTAAATACAAGAGCAGGCTCTCAACTACAATTCAGATCCTGAGTCTTAGACAAGGTACTTAGGCTTTCCTTGTTTCAATTTCCTCTGCCTTAAAGCCATGCCCATTATGTAGCATATGGTAAGGAAGAAATGAGGTTCTGCAGATAAAAATGCTCAGTGCAGCAGGGCCTGGTTCCCGGCCAAGGGCTCAGCATTATTTTTTAAAGGTTGATGAAGTTGTAAGCACTTACGATTAAGGTACACTGTTCAATGATCCTGAACCCTGAGTCTCTGACATCTCAGGGGTCTCCGATCTCCAACCACACTGGAGAACTAAAAAAATTTTTTAATTTACTCACATTCAAAAACTGAGTATATACTTTATAGAGCTATTGGAGGGTGTCACGTAATAGAGCTTTGAGCATTCTAGCAAGGTGAATGAGGCCTCAGGATGTGAGGCATGCCATTAAACTGCACGGCCGCAGGGTGTCTTTAACAGAGTTCTGTTCTGTCTTGCACATTTGGCTCAAGTCTAGCTGTTCACATGGAAAGGGCAAGATAATAATGACAACCCCTATCTTGCACTCCTCTTTCAAGGTGGCTTGTAGAATGTTCTTTTGATTAAGATTTACCTTGATTTGCTTTGTGCTAGCAGAGTATGATCCTTGTCTTAGTTGTTTGGGCTGTTATAACAAAATACCATAGACTGGGTAGCTTCTAAACAATATCATCACATTGGGGGTTAGAATTTCAACATATGAATTTGGCAGAGACACGGACATTCAGTCCATTGCAATATTTTACCAACTACAGACTCCAAAACACCATGCAGGTCAAGATTGAGACTTTGTGTTCATTGGGAGTTTTGGGAAAAACAATTAAAATGGCATTTAAATCTATAAATAAAACCCAGAGCAGATAAAAGTTTTTGAAGTTCTGAGCATAACCCAGATTGGTTGAAATAGAATCAGGCTCTGGTAGCTGACTCTTCGACTCCTTTCTTCAATTATTTAGAAAATATTGCCCTCATGTTGCTGTTGAGACAGAGGCTCCCACAAGCTTTACGGTTTGCAGAAAGCACCTCTTATTAAAACTGGCAAACTTCCCTCCCTGCTTTTAATGTCTCTTACATGTGCATTTTTCCTTGTTTCTTTTGGCTTTTGGAAGCTGCTTTTTCATATAGCTGTGGGGGTAGTAGTACTGGATCTGGGTACTTTTTTTTTCTTTTAAAGGGGACTGAACTGAGCCACATATACAGCTCTTGGCTTTAAAATTTGAGGTGACAGATCGTTGGGGAGTTTTCCATGGTAACTTAAAAGTGGGAAACTGGCAAAAGTATGCTTGGCCAGGGTCTGCTGGGAAGGAGAAAATATCCTTCAGCAGATGCAGTCTTTGGAGAGCTTTCCTTGTCATGTTGTGTGGTTTGAATGTGAGGGTATCCGTGCTGTCAGTGTGTCTAGCAAGTCCGGATGAGTCTTTGCTGTGTTAATACTCAGAGTCATTCTTTTCTTTTGCTCAACCTTCAGAGTGACTCAAGTCTGGTGTGTTCCCGTTATCTTCAGTACTGCAGAGCAACCAATCTCTATCTTGATTTAAGAAACATCAAGAGAAATCATGACAGGTACTTTAGTGGTTAATGTTAACATCTAGTATAAATTCTGAAATATTTTCAGATCCAGGGATTTTTTTTTTTTTTTTTGAGACAGGGTCTTGCTCTGTTGCCCAGGCTGGAGTGCAGCGGTGTAATCATGGCTCAGTGCAGCTGTGACCTCCCAAACCCAAGTGATCCTCCCACTTGAGCCTCTCAAGTAGCTGGGATACAGAAGCGCACCGCCAGGCTTGGCTAATTTTTTAATTTTTGAAGAGATGGGGTCTTCTAACGTTGCCCAGGCGGGTCTCAAACTCCTGAGTTCAGGTGATCCTCTCACCTCAGCCTCCCAAAGTGCTGGGATTATAGGTGTGAGCCACCAAGCCTTGCTGAAGGGGTATATCTTGAATTTGTTTTTGATGATATGGCAGAGGGGTTGGGGAATGGGTGGGGGGATGGATGACTCAGACAGGCCATGAGTTAATCGCATTGCAAAGTTGGGTTGTGGATACATTAGGGTCCTGATAGGATTCTGTTACTTTCATATACACTTGAAATTTTCTATTGTAAATAGTTAAATTCTTTTAAAAAATTCAGTTTGGAAATTGGTAATCCACTTTAGTTACAACCCACGTGCTTGGGTCATGAAGACGTTTTCTGAACTTAACTTAATGTTTTGTTATATACCAGATTTAAGGAGGACTTTTTCCAGAGTGGTGAAATTGGAGGGCACTGTAAACTTGACATCCGTACATTGACGTCTGAAGGTCAGCGCAAAAGCCCTCTGCAGTCATGGTAAGATATTTTTAACGTATCTGTTTCGGAAATATTTGCCTTTATTTACGGCACTTGCAGATATTAATGGAGACTCTCAAATGGAAAATGTTACTTCATTTGTACATAATTTGGCATGAGCTTCTGGGAAGTGACGGAAACCGAGTGAATCCCTCAGTTGCATCTGAATTAAGTATGTGTTTATAATAGTAGATACAGTACTTACTGTTTGCTAATGAAAGAAAAAAATCAGCTTAAAAATCCATTTTTATTAACTCACAATTGCCAAGTTTTATTCACTTACAAAGTCACATAGGTTACTTACATAATGTTAATTTTTGAGGTCAAACGTCCATGCCAAGGCCAGGAATGGTGGCTCATGCCTATAATCTCAGCACTTTGGAAGGCCAAGGTAGAAGTATTACTTGAGCCCAGGAGTTCAAGGCCAGCCTGGGCAATATGATGAGACCTCAAATCTAAAAAATAAAAATGTGTTTTGGGGAACCCATTTAAAAAACAATACACATATATTAAAGTATGTAAAAGCATACAGAAAAAGGTACAGTTTGGATTGTGAAAAAGTGAACCCACCCATGTAACTTTTACCCAGGTCCAAAAATAGAACATTGTCAGCACCTCAGTCTCCCTCCCAGGCTCTACCCCCATCCCCCTCTCCAAAGGTAGATGCTACTCTGACTGTTAACATCATTGGCCAGCTTTTTGAATTTAAAAAGTTTGTATTTTAAAATAATTTTAGACTCATAGAAGTTTAAAAATAGTATGTATTATACCCAAGACTGACTAACTTACAAAGGAAAGAGGTTTAATGGACTCATGGTTCCTCATGGCTGGGGAGGCCTCACAATCATGGTAGAAGGCAAAGGAGGAACAAAGGCACGTCTTACATGACAGCAGACAAGAGAGCGTGTGCAGAGGGAACTGCCCTTTATAAAACTATCAGATCTTGAGAACAGCGCAGGAAAAACCCACCCCCATGATTCAGTTACCTCCCACCGGGTGCCTCCCATGATGGGAGCTACAATTCAAGATGAGATCTGGGTGGAGACACAGCCAAACCATATCATACTACAAGGAGAACTTGTACGTTGTCTAATTCCCTGAGCTTCCTCTAATGATAATATCTCATATAACCATGGCACAATGATCACAACCATGAAATTGACATTGGTACAGTAGTATTAACTTGTGCAGGTTTTACCAGCAATTACCTGTACTCATTAAAATTTTATCACTTGTGTAGGTGCGGGTATGTAGGTAGGGAGAGAGAGGGGGAGGAGGACGGGGAGGGCGACCACCACAATCAGGATGCAGAATTGTTCCATCATCCCAAAGAAACTCTCCTGCTACTCCTGTATAGTCACATAGGTTACTTACATAATGTTAATTTGTAAGGTCAAATGTCCATACCAAGGCCAGGAATGGCGGCTCATGCCTATAATCACAGCACTTTGGGAGGCCAAGGCAGAAGTATTACTTGAAGCCAGGAGTTCAAGACCAGCCTGAGCAACATGATGAGACCTCATCTCTAAAAAAGAAAAATAAAAAATAAAAATAAATTAGCTGGGCGAGATGGCATGCCCCTGTAATCCTAGCTACTTGGGAGGCTGAGGCGGGAGGACTGCTTGAGCTCAGGAGGTCGAGGCTGCAGTGAGCTATGATTGCACCACTGCACTCCAGCCTGGGCGATGGATCAAGACCCTGTCTCAAAAAAAAAAAGAAATTCATGCTGAGCAAACCTTTTTTTTTTTTGTCCTTAAAGAGGCCTCACTGCCTGGCTGCAGATCATTCAGAATAATGATCTACCACACATTTATCTGGGATTTTGCAGTCTGCAATGCAATGTCTCAAGTCACTTAGCAGACTTTTACAAGAGGTAGTTTCTATATTCAAGTGGGCTTTTTGATTCCTGGTACTTTCTGATATTTGATTCCACATGGTAGTTGCTCAGGGCATAATTGTATTAGTTGCTTATTGCTGTGTGACAGGCTATTCCAAAGTGTACCCTAGGGTATATTTATATTTATTACCTATTGTTGTATAACAAATGACTCTAAAATTTAGCAGCTTAAAATACAAACATTTATTATCTCACAGTACTTCTGAGGGTCAGGGTTTGGGAGCAGCTTGGCTGAGTTGGCCAGGGCTGTAGCCATCTCTAGACTCAACCTGGGCCTGGAGAATCTGCTGCTAAACTCACTCAGGTTGTTGTAAGCCTCGGCTCCTTTTGGCACCATCTCGGCTCACTGCAACCTCTGCCTCCCAGGTTCAAGCGATTCTCCTGCTTCGGGCTCCTGAAAATGGCTGGGACTAAAGGCGCTCGCCACTACGCCCAGCTAATTTTTGTATTTTTAGTAGAGATGGGGTTTCACCGTGTTGACCAGGATGGTCTTGATCTCCTGACCTCGTGATCTGACTGCCTCTGCCTCCCAAAGTGCTGGGATTACAGGTTTGAGCCACTGCACCCGGTCTGTTCCTTGTCTTAACATTAAAATTGATATCAACCTATATAAAAGTCAGTAAGTTTTAGAAGTTACAGGTGTCCATAGGAGTGTCTGTACCATTTAGAGGTAAAATCTGCCTAATGAACAGATCCTAAGTTACAGTGTTCTAATAGGAAGTTTGGGAGAATCAGTTTGAAGTCATGTCCCAATTCATAATTTCAGGTTTGCTGAGCTACAAAGCTATACTCAGCTCAACTTCAGACCTATAGAAGATGCTAAATGTGACATTGTCATTGAAAAACCAACATATTTCATGAAATTAGATGCAGGTGAGAAATAACTTTTTCTGTTATTTGTGTATTTGTTAATGAGATATTATTCCTTTTTTTGGATGTAGTAATTCTCTCTGAATTTTTTGGAAGCAGTATGACAAACAGTAGATTTGTTTTTTTTGCTTTCTTCTCTGAAGAAGTAGTTGAACTAATTTGAACTTCCCATTATTTTATAACTTGGGCATTTTAGAAGAAACTTTCACATTTATATCAAAGGACTTAACCAAAATCAAAGGACGAGAGGTGAAGGCATATTTATGCCTTTTGTAACTAAATTTACCTCATCTGGTTTCTCTAATCACTTGGTTTAGATTGTCTTTCATTAAGATGTTTAAAATCAAAAGCTAAGCCGGGCGCGGTGGCTCACACCTGTAATCCCAGCACTGTGGGAGGCCGAGGCAGGCAGATCACGAGGTCAGGAGATCGAGACCATCCTGGCCAACATGGTGAAACCTCGTCTCTACTAAAAAAACACAAAAAATTAGCTGGGCGTGGTGGCAGGCACCTATAGTCCCAGCTACTCGGGAGGTTGAAGCGGGGGAATCGCTTGAACCCAGGAGGCAGAGGTTGCAGTGAGCCAAGATCGTGCCGCTGCACTCCAGCCTGGTGACAGAGCAAGACTCCGTCTTAAAAAAAAAAAAAAAAAATCAAAAGCCATGTGTATAGTATGGGTGGGAAAGAAGTGTCCATGACCTGCGCTGACAAACTTTCTGTATCATTTCCATGACTAAAGTGAACTTAAAATTCTTCTGGAAGTTACCAGTGTAATTTATTCTTGACATAAAATTAAAATTATTTTATCATTTATACTTATAGCCTCTTTCTCAGCTTGCAAGCAGAGCTTTAACTTTGCGAACTAGTTACACTGGGGAGGAGAAACACAGATTGTACTATATTATCTCTTTCATTATGAGAGACAGGGATTACTGTGCTAGATCATATCAAAATTCATGAGAGGTTGGGTTTACAGTGAAATATAGAGAGCCTCTGTCACAAATATTTCAGAATTAGTATAATTTATTGATCATAGTTTTAATGTGCTCTGCCTTCTGAAGTCATAGTTCTTATATTACAAAGTATTAAATTCAGAAATCAGACAAGTTTAGGTTTTTGAAATAAAAGCGAGTAAAAATGCTATGTTCCAGGTTTTGACTCGTTTTTAAAACATGCAAATTAAAAAGGGGCAAAGAAAACACTGATCCGTCTGTAAAAGTGGCAAATATGTGTGAGCTATTAAATTTATGCAGATACTTATACAATAAAGTATATAAAGTGAGAATAATAGGCTAGAGTAGACATGTCTCATTTCTTTCCTATATTCATAACTCTACTTTTTTCTTCTAATTTATGCTGTCTTCCAATTTTACTTTTCTTTCTTTAGAGACAGGTCTTGCTCTGTTGCCCAGGCTGGAGTACAGTGGCATGATCACAGCTCATTGCAGCCTCAACTTCCTGGGCTCAAGTGATTCTCCCACCTTGGCCTGCCAAGTAGCTGGGACTACAGGCATATGCACCACCATGCCTGGCTAATTTTTAACATATGTTTTGTAGAGATGGGGTCTCATGGATTGCTCAGACTGGTCTTGAACTCCTGGGCTCAAGTGATCCCCCTGCCTTGGCCTCCAAAAGTTCTGGGATTACAGGTGTGAGTAACTGTGCCTGGTTCAGTTTTCCTTTTCATGTTAACTTGTACCTTAGGGAAATGAACATTCTACAGATCAGGACTCATTAGGGGGCACATTTCTCAAGGATGGAGCTTATGTTTTCTTCTCTGTTTATAAATTCTTGCAACCCCAAGCACTGATTTGTGCTTGCTGCATTCCTCAGTAACTGTTAGGAACTCACTAAATGTTACGTGAAAGAGCTCATGTGTGCTCTATGGCTAACCTGGGAAAAGAGGATAGATTCTGATAGAACTTTATTTTTCTTGTTAATTTGAAAATATATTCTTTGCCAAGATTTTTCTGGGTGAAAAAATTAGCCCTTCCAAACAATCAGCTAAGATACGAGGCTGAAAAAAACAGAGTATTTTTATACTGTTATTTCTGGCACACAATGTTATTATTCACTGTGGGAATGAAGTCAGAATATTTTATGATTTCTGCATTTGAGAGTCCCTGTTTTTCTTTTACTCAGCATTTTCCTACCTTTAAAATGCATGCTCTAAGTGTCAGTTCTTGGAATTTCATCCCATTTAGATTTGTATATTTCCAGGATGAATATTGGGTCCTGCATACCTAAGTGGAGAGGGTGCACATTCTGTTTCTTTTTAATGAATGGCATGTGAACTTACAAATAGTAGTTCCCACAACCCTCTCCACTCTATCTGACCTAGTGGGATCCAGCTAGTCTTCATTCAGGTCTTCCTATGTGCCTGGCACTGGGATGGGTACTTTAAGATGTATTATCTTTGGGTTTCTCATAATAAAGCTGGCACTTAGGTAACTATTTCCCATTTCTATAGAGAAGCTAAAGCTTAGGGACTTTATAAACTCATCTAAGAATGTTGCGCATGCTTGGCTGTGCTGGAATTCAACTTCTTCTTTCTCCAGAATTGCTTCTCTTTCAATCAGAACACAAGACATTCACTTCTTTTATATGATAGTTGGTTAATGTTTTTCCAGGAATGATACATGTAATGATTAAATAGGGAAAAAAGAGACAGGAATGAAAATTACCAAAATGTTAGTTGCCATCATTGCCAGTACTTCCCTGATGAACAGATGTTTCTTAATTGATTTTTTTTTTTCTGGTTTTTTTTTTTTTTTTAGACAGAGTCTCACTCTGTTGCTCAGACTGGAGTGCAGTGGTGTGATCTTGGTTCACTGCAGCCTCCACCTCCCAGGTTCAAGCAAATTCTCCTGCCTCAGCCTCCTGAGTGGCTAACCACGCCTGCCTAATTTTTGTATTTTTAGTAGAGATGGGATTTCACTATGTTGGCCAGGCTGTTCTCAAACTCCTGGTCTCAAGTGATTGGCCTGCCTCAGCCTCCCAAAGTGCTGTGATTACAGGTGTGAGCCACTGTGCCTGGCCCCTTAATTGACTTTAAAAAACAACTGATCAAGCTAGGCATGGTGGCACATGCCACCATAGCAAGACCCCACCCCTGATTAAAAAAATAAATAAAGTCAGAAGAAATAATGGTTTGTCTTCATGGCCCTGTAGTTCTACTCAGTTTTGAGTTAAATAGACCTACCTTGTTTTTTTCTGGGAACTTAATGATCACTTGTTACTTGGGATATATGGGAAAATGCATTCCTGATTTTAAATAACCAATTTTAGAGTGACTTTTGAAACCCAGGCAGTCCATAAATTGAGGACTACCTATGTATCTAGATCATTTCATGTTTGGAAAAACAAAACAGTTATTTTTTTCCCCATTTATTTAAACTAAAATTCTCTTAAACTGTAAATAGATGGGATAGAATAAAACTTGCTTGATCATGTGCTCTTTGGTGTTAATTAATGTAGTTTCATTTTCCAACACTAGGTGTTAACATGTATCACCACTTCTGTGATTTCATCAATCTTTATATTACTCAGCACGTTAATAACTCATTCAGTACTGACGTGTACATCGTGATGTGGGACACCGTAAGTAAGAATGTGCTCTCCGCTTCAGTACTGTCTTTCCCTTGTATCAGTGTGTGACTCTGATGTTGTGAAACAGAATTTTCAAAGACACATATATTTCAACATGTACAGCCGCACATAATGCGGATGGGTGCGAATGTATCTGTACATATATGTGTTGACATGTGCATATACGTATAGGCAGATAGGTATGTATGTGTGTACCTTCATTCTTTGAATTTTAGAATGAGGCAGTGGGGAAGGTTTCTTTCTCTTTCTGGGTGGGTGGAGCTCCAAAGGCCAGAGATTCAGTGACTTTGGCTTAGTGTTCCTCTGGGACACACATATGAAAGACTGCCATTCAGCAGGGCGTGGTGGCTCACGCCTATAATCACAGCACTTTGGGAGGCCGAGGCAGGTGGATCATTTGAGGCCAGGAGTTCGAGACTAGCCTGGCCAACATGGTGAAATCTTGTTTCTACTAAAAATACAAAAATTAGCCAGATACGGTGGCAGACACATGTTGTCCCAGCTACTCAGGAGGCTGTGGTCGGAGAATCACTTGAACCTGGGAGGTGGAGGTTGCATTGAGCCGAGATCGTGCCACTGCACTGCAACCTGGGTGACAGAGCAAGACTCTGTCTCAAAAAAAAAAAAAAAGGCTGTCATTCACTCAACCTCTGTAACCTATGTTGGAAGTGCTTGCCTCTGTTTACTGTTTGGCCTTTTGCATTTACTGTCTGCCTTTGCTTAATAGCAGCTTCCTTGTTACTGTGTCCTTTGTGCTGAATTATGCTGTGTGTTTCAGCTCACTGTAAAGGGCAGGTCTTAGGCATGCACATAAATGCATGTGTTGAGTGACACCTGCTATTTATTTGTTTTTAGTGCAATCTTTTTTTCCTTCTCTCTCTTTGCCTGCCTTTTCCCTGCTTCTTCCCATATCTGGCCCCTCCACTTGCTGAGGAAACCCCAAGATGTGCCCCAGAATCTTCAGCTCTGAAATGAGATAGTGAGATAATGACATTTACCTAGGTGTCATTTTGAGAATGAACCGTGTAGTGTGTGAACAGTCACCATGCCTGGTACACAGTACTTGTGCTCTGAATGTTAACTGTGACAATTACAATAAGGAGAATAAATGGTTTGTAGTGTACATGAGAGAGGCTGTCTAAACTGGGAAGTTGGAACACCCACCAAGGGGTCATATAAGGTTCCACTCAACATTCTGACTCACGACACTCATATGCTCGGCTCTTGGTGTGAGTCTATTCAGGATGACATTGCAGGGGAACCACAGCTTGCTGGCAGGGCAGCCTCAGGTGTTTCTTCCAGAGGGAGTGCTAGCAGTTCACACAGCACAGCTCAGGTGCAAGGAGACAAGATTCGCCTGGGGCAGGTACAGGCGATGCCTTGGCTTAGGAGCCTCATATCCTGTAGGGGCCAACATCTCCTGACACAGCTGTGTTGGCAAAGTCCCCAGGATCCCTGAAAGAGACATGCCTGGTTCCAGGAGTCAGCGTACTCAGGGAATCCGAAACATGGCTTTCCCAGTCCAGATGCAGTTTACCCATCAAGCATCTTTTTAGATCAGAAGCATTGTTGCCTAGGCTTGTTGACACAAGCTGTCCTCATTTGCAGAGAGCCGACTTAGCTAGTTAACAGGAGGTCAAATTCTCATGCAGAAGGAGAGACAGTTTTGCCGACCCTTAATTTCACTGATAAGAGGCTTGTAGTAGAGCTGTGTAAAAAGGTTTTCAGGATCACTGCTCCCTAGACTTTGAGTTAGATTTGAAGTCTGATGAGACTATAATTCTTGGCGTGTTAATGCTTTATTTTCCGTCTATATGCATTTACATTTTCCTCTTGTATTTCAGTTTTGCTGCCACCACAGTTTCATTTCTTCGAAATGTTTTGTGAGCAAAGGGAACAACAATCCCTTTCTTTTCTTCTTTTTGTATCAGTGAAGTCAGGCCACACTCACCAGCCATTACAAGCCCTAAATTATTAACTCAGGGTTGTTTTGCCGTTTTTAAACAAAACTATTTTTAAATTTTGTAATTAACATAAATTATGTTACTTCATTTCATGCTTATGACCCCCGTGGACTTGAGTTTTCATTAGCTTATCTTACAGACAAGAGGCCGAGGCCTGAGCAGCAGGTGAGTGTTCTAAGATAATGCTGTCAGCGAGGGCAGAACCAAAGTTTCCATCCAGGCAGCCTGACCCCAGACCTGTGCTCAGACACCACAGTGCTCTGTCGTCTTCTTAAAGTCCTCTGAAGAGGACTCTACCTAAGTTGCCAAACAGAATTTTATCAGATGACAGAAATTTATCAGATGGCTTCCAGAAGCTTCCTTGTACCTGTTGCATGCTTTTCTACATCTTCCTCAAATGGGCTTAGTATAACTTAGTCACATTAGCTCACTGTAAGTGAGCCAGCTCCTACAACCCTCCCCTTCTCTGTGGCTGCTGGAGTAGGATGCACGGCCACCATGAAGACCCCAGGTTACTCAGTCAGCTGAGCATGAGACATGAGGGCAGTCTGACCTCAGCTCTGGCACAGTTAAGCAGGATGGGTGTAGCCCAGCAGGGTGGCCGCCTGGTGTTACCTCCTTCCTTTGCCACTCCATGTGCATCCATTTTAAACCCGGACGCTTGGTCAAAGAAGCCATTTACTAAGCCAGGTTCTCAGGACAGGCAATTCTGCCAGATTGCTCCAGAATTCAGGTCCACAGGGTAGGTTGGATGGGGATGGCGCTAAGTAAGGGTTTGTGTGGCTGCTGTTTCCCTTTTGTTGGTAAGGACTTAAATTAAGCATCACTGTGACCTGCAGGCTGACTATGACATGAATCCCTCCCGGTGGATGGTGTTGCCAGAGTCCTGATGGTCTTGGATGAGCAGTTTGCCCAGGGAAGAGCAGGGAGGTAACTGTGACTGCAGTTCACATCTTGGTGATATTTTCCAACCTGTCATCACAAGGAAGCCTATGGGGCCTTTCCCTCTCCTCCTTGAAAAGCTCTGCAGTTTACTCCCTTCAGCATGTGGCATCTTCAGTGGGATGGGCAAGGCCACCAACCTGCAAACATGCATAGAGGGACCCATCTTCAGATGCCTCTCTGGGCACAGCAGGGTTGCTCTTATCAAACAGAATGAATAAAAGGAGAAATTACGGCAGGCTTTCCACATTTGCTTGTGCTGAGAAGTAGTATAGCTTTATGATTACTTTTTTTCTGTTTGTTTTTGAGACAGAGTCTTGCTTGTCACCCAGGCTCAAGTGCAGTGTCGCGATCTTGCCTCACTGCAACTTCCGCTTCCCAGGTTCAAGCGATTCTCCTGCCTCGGCCTCCCCAGTATCTGGGATGACAGTGTGTGCTATCACACCTGGCTAATTTTTATATTTTTAGTAGAGACAGGGTTTCACCATGTTGACCAGGCTGGTTTCGAACTCCTGACCATAGGTGATCCGCCTGCCTTGGCCTCCCAAAGTGCTGGGATTACAGATGTGAGCCACCGTGTCCAGCCATGATTACTTTTTTAATTATGAAAGTAATACCTGATTATAATGAGTTCAAACAACACAGAAGTATGTGAAGTTTTTAAAAAAGTCTCCTTCTTCCTCTCCAATTCCCTGTTCCCCCAAGGGTAACTGCATTTAACGTGTGTGAGTCCCTTGCAGGACTCTCTTTATTTTAATAAGTGCAAATATGTCACCCAGGCTAAAGTCCAGGAATATGATCCTAGCTCACTGCAGCCTTGCTCTCCTGGGCTCAGGTGATCTTCCTGCCTCAGCCTCCCAAGTAGCTAGGACTACATGTGCATGCCACCATACCTGGCTATTCTTTTCCATATATGTGTTATATATGTGTTATGACAATATAGTCATAACATATGTGTGTGTGCGTATATATAATATATATTACTGTCTTCTGATTTGACATCTGGCTAATTTTTAAATTTATTTTCTGTAGAGACAAGATCTCGTTATGGTACCCAGATTGGTCCTTGATATGGTTTGGCTGTGTCCCCACCAAATTTCAGCTTGAATTGTATCTCCCAGAATTCCCACATGTTGTGGGAGGGACCCAGGGGGAGGTAATTGAATCCTGGGGGCCAGTCTTTCCTGTGTTATTCTTGTGATAGTGAGTAAGTCTCATGAGATCTGATGGGTTTATCTAGGGTTTCCACTTTTGCTTCTTCCTCATTTTCCCTTGCTGCCACCATGTAAGAAGTGCCTTTACCTCCCACTATGATTCTGAGGCCTCCCCAGCCATGTGGAACTGTAAGTCCAGTTAAACCTCTTTTTCTTCCCAGTCTCGGGTGTATCTTTATCAGCAGACTGAAAACGGACTCATACAGTAAATTGGTACCAGTAGAGTGGGGTGTTGCTGAAAAGATACCTGAAAGTGTGGAGGTGACTTTGGAACTGGGTAGCAAGCAGCGATTGGAACAGTTTGAAGGGCTCAGAAGACGACAGGAAAATGTGGGAAAGTTTGCAACTTCCTAGAGACTTGTTGAATAGCTTTGCCCAAAATGCTGATAGTGATATGGACAATAAAATTCAGGCTGAGGTGGTCTCAGATGGAGATGAGGAACCTGTTGGGAACTGGAGCAAAGGTGACTCTTGTTATGTTTTAGCAAAGAGAGTGGCAGCATTTTGCCGTGCCCTAGAGATTTGTGGAACTTTGAACTTGAGAGAGATGATTTAGGGTATTTGGCAGAAGAAATTTCTAAGCAGGAAAGTATTCAAAAGGTGATTTGGGTGCTGTGAAAGACACTCAGTTTTAAAAGGGAAACAGAGCATCAAAGTTCAGAAAATTTGCAGCCTGATTGTGCAATAGAAAATAAAAACCAACTTTCTGGGGAGAATTTCAAGTCAGCTGCAGAACTTTGCATAAATAGCAAGGAGCCTAATGTTACTTCCCAAGACCATGAGGAAAATGTCTTCAAGGCATGTCAGAAACCTTCATGGCGGCCGCTTCCCATCACAGGCCTGGAGACCCAGGAGGAAGAAGTGGTTTTGTGGGCTGAGCCCAGGGTCCCCATGCTGTATGCAGCCTAGGGACTTGGTGCCTTGTGTCCTAGCCGCTCCAGCCATGGCTGAAAGGAGCCAATGTACAGCTCAGGCTGTGGCTTCAGAGGGTGGAAGCCCCAAGCCTTGGCAGCTTCTATGTGGTGTTGAGCCTGCGGTGCACAGAAGTCAAGAATTGAGGTTTGGGAACCTCCACCTAGATTTCAGAAGATGTATGGAAATGCCTAGATGCCCTGGCAGAAGTTTGCTGCAGGGGCGGGGCTCTCATGAAGAACCTCTGCTAAGGCAGTGTGGAAGGGAAATGTGGGGTTGGAGCCCCCAAACAGAGTCCTTAGTGGGGTGCTGCCTAGTGGAGCTGTGAGAAGAGGGCCATCATCCTCCAGACCCCAGAATGGTAGATCCACTGACAGCTTGAACTGTGCACCTGGAAGAGCCGCAGACACTCAATGCCAGCCCGTGAAAGCAGCCAGAAGGGAGGCTGTACCCTGCAAAACCACAGGGGCAGAGCTGCCCAAGACTGTGGGAACCCACTTCATGCTTCAGTGTAACCTGGATGTGAGACCTGGAGTCAAAGGAGATCATTCTGGAGCTTTAAAGTTTGACTGCCATGCAGGATTTCGGACTTGCATGGGCCCTGTAACCCCTTTGTTTTGGCCAATTTCTCCCATTTGGAACGGCTGTAATTACCCAATACGTGTATCCCCATCGTATCTAGGAAGGAACTAGCTTGCTTTTGTTTTTACAGACTCATAGGTGGAAGGGACTTGCCTTGTCTCAGATGAGACTTTGGACTGTGGACTTTTGGGTTAGTGCTGAAATGAGTTAAGACTTTTGGGGGACTGTTGGGAAGGCATGGTTTGTTTTGAAATGTGGGGACACGAGATTTAGAGAGCCCTGGGCAGAATGATATGGTTTGGCTGTGTCCCCACCAAATTTCAACTTGAATTGCATCTCCCAGAATTCCCACATCTTATGGGAGGGACCCAAGGGGAGGTAATTGAATCATGAGGGCCAGTCTTTCCTATGCTATTCTCGTGATAGTGAATAAGTCTCATGAGATCTGATGGGTTTATCAGGGTTTTCCACTTTTGCTTCTTCCTCATTTTCTCTTGCCGCTGCCATGTAAGAAGTGTCTTTCACCTCCCGCCATGGTTCTGAGGCCTCCCCAGCCATGTGGAACTGTAAGTCCAGTTAAACTTCTTTTTCTTCCCAGTCTCAGGGTATGTCTTTATCAGCAGTGTGAAAACTGGCTAATACAGTCTTGAACTCCTGGCCTCAAGTGATCCTCCCACCTCAGCCTCCCAAAGCACTGGGATTACAGCCATGAGCCTGGCCAATATGTTTATATTCTTATGGAAAATACATTCTCTGTCTCATATTGCCACCTTAGTATTATCTGTGGAATGTCTTTTTAAGTCAGTACCTTTAGGGCTATCCTTGCTTTAGATGTTATGTGGTATTCTGTTTAATGGATGTTTTGGAAGTTGGATGCATGCATCAGTGCATGTATTCATTTCCCACTCCACCCCCCATCACATTTAGTTTTGTTTCCAGTTCTGTGCTATTTACTGAAATGTGACCATAAACACATATGTCCTTTCAATATACCTATATCTTCACATGCTCATCCTAGCATTTCTGTAGGACAGATTCCTATAATTGGAATTTCTAAGTCATAGATTATGTGCATGTTTAAATTTGAGACACACTAAAGGAAATTTTATGTCATCTTGAAGACTATCCAAATATTCTTCAACATGAGTATAGGAAGAAGTGCCTCCTTCCCAAATGGTGGATAATTTGGACTTGGGAAACATGGAAAAGAAGCTTTTGGAGGTGGTTCTTATTCAATAATGTATGACTTCCCTGAGGAAGGATCAGTCAGGATTACTGTATTTTATTATTAAAATTTCCTTTCAAACATATTTTATTTTATCTGAAGTATTTTATCTCAGGAAACCATCTAGAATCACTTCTTTTAATTGCCCTTTATTTATTATTGAGCCAGAACAGGGACATTTCATTTTAGATGGTGTTGAGAAGGGCCTTTATTAGAATGGCATTGGAGGAACATGGAAAGAAGGCTTTTTTTTTTTTTTTTCACATCTAACAGATCTCAATAACTTTGAAATAACTGTAATATGTGCAACATAAAATTTTCAAAATCTGAGAAAAGAATGCTATAAAAAAGAGACATGAACATAATGTATAACTGTAGAGCTTGAATGTAGTGCTACAATGCATATTTCTGATTTCTATTGGCTGAATTTTTCAATCTAAGTGAAACCATTTAAAAATTAATTGATCTTCTTAGCTAATGGAGCTCATAATCAACTACTTTTCAAAAAATAAATCAGGCTGGGTGTGGTTTCTGTAATCTCAGCACTTTAGGAGGCCGTGGTAGGCGGAGCACTTGAGCTCAGGAGTTTGAGACCAGCCTGGCCAATATGGTGAAACCCTGTCTCTATCAAAAGATACAAAAATTAGCCGGGTGTGGTGGCGTGCGCCTGTAATCCCAGCTACTCGGGAGGCTGGGGCAGGAGAATTGCTTGAACTTGGGAGGTGGAGGTTGCAGTGAGCCCAGATCACGACATGGCACTCTAGCCTGGGCAACAGGGTGAGACTCAGTCTCAAAAAAAAAAAAAAAAAAAAAAGCATGTGGTAATTATACTGGAAAGAACTAATTCCTGCTGAAAGGCAGCTGTCAGATGGAAGTGGCAGCACAGGCTGGGTTGAATACCAGCTCTATAACTCAGCTGCTTCGCAATGTAGGCAAATGACTTAAAATTGTGTCTCAGTTTCCTCATCTGCAAAATAGAGAAAATGATATTATCAACTCATTAGGCTTGTGGGTGGCTTAATGTACATTAATAATATCAAGTGCCC
The DNA here is from genome assembly GCF_000001405.40 of Homo sapiens. Classification (NCBI taxonomy): domain Eukaryota; kingdom Metazoa; phylum Chordata; class Mammalia; order Primates; family Hominidae; genus Homo; species Homo sapiens. The sequence goes on along the minus strand of NC_000003.12, from coordinate 68,990,116 downwards.
AAAAAAACTGCCTGGAACATAGGAAGTATGTAAGATGCTATTATTATTATATAAAGTTGTTATTGACACCATTAATATTAATGGGAAATTACCACTTTTTATTCACTAGTCAATGGGTGGGGGGATATTTCATAGAATTACATATGTTATATATTTTTATTTTATTTTATTTTATTAGAGACAAGGTCTTGCTCTGTTGCCCAGGCTGGAGTATATGGCATGATCATAGCTCACTGCAGCCTTAAACTTCAAGGCTCAAGTGATCCTCCCACTTTGCCTCCCAAAGCGCTGGAATTACAAGCATGAGCCACTGTGACCAGCCTATATTTTTAATGTTAAACCTTTCTTTTTTTTTTTTTTTTTTTTTTGAGATGGAGTTTCGCTCTTGTTGCCCAGGCTGGAGTGCAATGGCATGATCTCGGCTCACTGCAACCCCCGCCTCCCAGGTTCAAGTGATTCTCCTGTCTCAGCCTCCCGAGTAGCTGGGATTATAAGCACATGCCACCATGCCTGGCTAATTTTTGTATTTTTAGTAGAGATGGGGTTTCATCATATTGGTCAGGCTGGTCTCAAACTCCTGACCTCAGGTGATCTGCCCGCCTCGGCCTCCCAAAGTGCTGGGATTACAGCTGTGAGCCACCGCACCCAGCCAGTGTTAAAACTTTGAACCCATTTTCTTGCTCTGAAATTTTTTTCCAAAGATTTTTCATTCACCCTGATGGTTTTTGCACACTGAGCATAAGAGTGTGTGTAAACGGTGGCATAGTGTGTGTTGTGTGTATCTATAATTTGGATAAGATGTTCACAGGAAAAAGCCCTGAACTACAAAGATGTGAGAATAAAAGAAGTTAAGGTAGAAAAATGAAACACTATTAATGGCTAAGAGTATAATTGTGATAATTATTTCTGATGATATTTCATCAAATTAGGCATTTGCTCTGGCCCAAGATGAAGATCCATTTTGCTTGTATGGATTTTATGAACTTGCGTAGGATTGTTAGTTTTTAACACAGGCAAATTCAGGTATTTTGTTGCATCTTTGAAAAGTCATGTTATATCCTTTTATTGCCCTAAAACCTTGTTTTGTTTCTACTTTCAGAGTTCTTACGGATATGGTGACCTATTCTCCGACACATGGAATGCATTTACTGATTATGACGTTATACATTTGAAAACTTATGATTCCAAAAGGGTACTGGAAATTTTCCTGAAATGTCTGTGAATATTTCTTGAGTGCAGATGACTCACTCATAAAATAAACATTTATTATGAGTTCCTATTAGCCATTACCACTGATTTCTGAATTTCTGAATTTCTTTTATAATTAGAATCCTCAGTGTTGTTAATCATGCAGCCTTTGAAAAGTTTTTTCTATAATCTTTCCAAAAATATGAATTCTGTTCTCTTTGAATGAAATAGTGTGCTATTCAAGCAATGCAAAATGGAGATTAATTAAAATCTATTTCTCAAAATTATACGTGCTATTTTTGGTGTGAAGGGTGCAAATTACATCTTCTTTTAATGTATCTTTGTTCTTAGGTATGTTTTAAAGAAGCTGTTTTTTCATTACTCCCCCGCATGAGGTATGGGCTGTTCTATAATACTCCTCTGGTAAGCACATTGTCTACCATTAGCATTCATATTTACAGACATAACATTTATACATAAGTTGACAGTATCTTAAATTATAATACAGAAGTATTCATTGTAATATGAACCAGTGTTTTTATTTTAGATATCTGGCTGTCAAAATACTGGACTATTCAGGGCATTTGCCCAGCATGTACTACACAGACTAAACATCACACAAGAAGGACCTAAGGTAATGGATACACTGCGGATTCTGAGGTGGGCTTGAGTTTTCTTCCCTAATAAAAATCGATACCACCTTTTCAGAAACAGAAATAATCAGGAGACCATGTTTTTGTGTTAACATTTTCTGGGGAGGCCAAGGCAGGTGGATCACTTGAGTCCAGGATTTCAAGACCAGCCTGGCCAACATGGCAAAACCCCATCTCTGCAAAAAATACAAAAATTAGCTGGACGAGGTGGCATGTGCCTGTAGTCCCAGCTACTCAGGAGGCTGGGGCATGAGAATCGCTTGAACCCAGGAGGCAGAGGCTGCAGTGAGCCAAGATCATGTCACTGCACTCCCGCCTGGGCGACAGAGCAAGACTGCCCCAAAACAAAACCCAAAAACATTTTCTGACCTGGAGTCATCTGAAACCAGGTGTCAAAAACCTATAAAAGAGAAGCTAAGGGATATTACAAGAATGTGCTTCCTCCTGTCCTCCTTTCCCCCTTCATTGGTTATATCTCCCTCACCTCCCCAAATGTTCATGTAACATACACAACCCCTGCCAAAAAATTCACCCACCCAACCAAACAGACAATGTAATGAGCTGGTTTTTGCCTTCGGTGGTTGAAGTGGATACATTTTTATTCCCTGAGAGTGGTGAAGGAATCAAGCTAAAAAAGAAGAGTTCTATTAATGTATCCTGGTTGAGTTTCATCTCTTTGTGAAAATCACATTTTGGGTTCAGATGTTCATTCATCTACCCAGGCATATGCAGTGTTATTTTACCGTTTCATTTTGATTACAGGATGGAAAAATTCGAGTCACCATTCTTGCACGGAGCACAGAATACCGGAAAATCCTTAACCAAAATGAGGTTAGTTTTTGGTATGCATTTTTAATGCCTTCATATTCAATTCATAGAGCAAATTGTGTTTTTTTTTTTTTCACATTACGTTAAAAGCTTTGGTTTAAAACTTAGTTTTGAGAAAAGTTTGATGGCCTATGCCCGGTTTATTTATTAGATTTGAATTTCTAGTGAGATTCACCAAACCACCCATAGACAAACTAGCTTTGCCTTATAGTAAATTTCATCTGCATCAACTCAGCATGGAAAAAGCTGTCAGAATCTTGCCTTGACTGCAGTAGAGGGCATCCGGACAGACAAGTAGCAAAAATGTAAGACTTTCTTTTGCATAGTTGATGCAACAGATGGTTGAGGCCATTAATCCTGTGGTATCAGCAGCAGATTTAGTTGGAAGAATCTCTGTCCTCTTACATGACCATGTCTTAGAAACTGCATTTTCAGCATCCTTACTCATTTCAGTAGCACCAACTCATAAATTACATTTAACCTCAATGAGATCACCATGCAAGGCCACTACCTACAACATCATGGCCTGAAGATAGCCTCTCAGTAGTAAGAATTTATTCTACAATAGTTAATTGAGCACCTGCTATGTGTCAGGCCATGTTCTAGGCCCTGGAGATAGAGTAGAGCAAAGACGGGGAAGGTGCCTGACCTCATGGAGCTTACACCGTAGAGGTGAGAGACAGATAAGAAGTAAGTGAAAACGTCAATAAGTACGGTGATGTCAGGCAGTGATAAGTGCTTTGAAGGATGAACCAGGGTGATGTCATAGAGACTGGGGATGTGGATGGATGGGGGTTTGTACTCACATGAGGGCATTCAAAGACCTAATCAGAGAAGAATCTAGCAAGGGAGAGAGCCTCTCGGGCAGAGTCAAATGTATTCTAGTGGACTGAGCTTTCAGTATTCTAGAAACAGAATACCAATATGACTGTAGCATCTTGAGAGAGGTGGGGCGATATCCAAGAGGTCAGGCATGGTGCAGGGGGCCACAGATCGTATCAGCCTCCTAGACCTTGGTGGGAGAGGGATTTTATTCCAGTGTAGGGGAAAGCCATTGTGAAGTTTTAAAGCAGGGCGTTGTTGGTAGAATAATGTCTCTTCCTGCTCCTCCCAAAGGATGTCCACATCCAAATCCCTGGAATCTGTGAACAGGTTAGGTTACATGGCATAGGGAAAGTAAGGTTGCAGATGGAATTAAGGTCCCCAACCAACTGGCCTTAAAGTAAGAAGATTATCTTGGATCATCCACGTGAGCCCAGTATAATCACAAATGGGCCTTAAACTCCATCTGCTAGAGAACTTTTGCCTCGGCCTGGACAGCTCTTTTCTTCACTGGATTCTTCTCACTGATCAAATCAGAGTTCATAATTTCCTTAAAAGTGGGAGAGGGAGATATAAGGGAAGTGGGGCCAGAGAGATGCCATGTTGCTGGCTTCGAAGATGGAGGGGGCAGGCCTATGAGTCATGGAGTGTGGAGGGCTTCTAGAAGCTGGAAAAGGTGAGGCAGTGGGTTCTTTCCTGGAGCCTGCAGGAGGAACACAGCCCTGCTGACACCCTGGTGTTAGTCCAGTGAGACCCACGTCAGGCTCCCATCCTGCAGAACTGTAAGGGGATAAATTGTGTTGTGTTAAGCTGCTAAATTTGTGGCAGTTTGTTACAGCAGCAGATAGAAAACAAATACAGAGGGAGAGACATGAATTGACATTTATTTTTAAGTCATTCTGCAAGGAGATTGATCAGAAGTTGTTATTGTGGCCCAGGGGAGAGTGTTTAGCCAAAGTGATGACAGTAGAGATGACATGGTAGATGCATTCAAGACATATTTTGGAGATAGGACCTATGATACTTACTTTTGGAATGTAAAAGTACATTCACATTAGAGAAGGCCAGGAAAGGTATCAAGGATCAAGTGTGACTTGAGGCTTTTAACTTGAGCAGATAAGTGGAAACAAACTGGAAAATATTCAGTAAGAGGAAAGTTGAGGGGGGAGGTGGTGTGTGTCATGTTTTGATGGGTAAAATATTTTACACAGACTAATTTGGCTGCCTAACAGGCTGATCCGAATTATGTAATTAACATCTCTTCCTGAGACCCATATGGATTACAGAGGACATGAACATATGGCATAATGAGGTGTTAATTGTAAGCTCTGTGGATGGAAGAAATGAGCAGTGTGTGTGTTTGTATGTGTGTGTTTAAAGACCTAGAAATACGAACGTATCAAATAGTGCAATGTTGGGAATACAAATGAGAAGCCTCACTAGCCAACAGATCAACAGTATATATTGGTATAGACCATACATATTGAGTGCAGTTGGGGGTCAAGCATATTATTGTGTGCTCCTTTTGTACATTGTGCCCCCCAACCCTCCCAGCAAACCCATGAGGTAGGTATTGTATTATTATCCTCTATTCTAGACAAGGACACTGAGGCTCAGTGGTTAAAAAACATGCCTAAGGTCACCCGGCTGGTGATTAGAGTAACGGGGGCGTGAGTCAAGGTAGTCAGGGACTGAAACTGCTTTCTTAGCCAGAGTGTGCTACTACTAAAACAGCAAATAGATTTCAGAGGAGGCAGAAGCTACCTCTGGCCCCAGTCCATCAGGAAGGGGCAGGCTGAGGAACAACATCAGGCCACTGCAGAGAAGTCCAGTAGAAAGGTATAGTGCTGGTAGATGCTTTAGTGCATGTGTGAGGTTTTCAGATCCAGTCATGCGCATTGCCCAGATGATGGCACCCAAAGGCGAAATTTGATCATTCAGCCCCCAACTCCAAGCCAAAGAGCACCCAACTGGCTGCTTCTTTCTTGAGGATTGGATGTTACTAGAAAGGCAGCTCCTGGGAAGGGAAGAAAGCACCTTTGGCTATACTTTGATTAATAAACAGGTATGTATTAATCAACCCAAATGGCCTCATTAAATCATGGCTTGTGGAATTCTGCCCAACTTTAGGGTTTGAATAGCCATCGGAAGGGATAGGGCCACCTTTTTCGTGCAACTAGAAGTCATGAAAAAGGGCATGCTTGCCCTGAGACCGTCAGCACACATGATTCCTTTTATGTGGGCAATCTTGTTAAAAGACCAAGGCTTATGCCATCTGCCATCTCTCCTGTAAAACAGAATTCTAATCTTCTTACCCCTTCAACTCTTTATAAGATTTCAGTGGCTGTCTGGAGAGGGAAATTTCCATGTTATGACTGTGTGCGTGTGTGTGTGTGTGAGTGTGAGAGAGAGAGAGAGAGGGGAGGGGATTAAATGTTGGTCACTGCTTGTTGCTTTCTGTAAGCAGGACAATAGAGTGCACTGGTTAAGAACGCAGGTTCTGGGGTCAGAAGACCTAGATTTATTTTTGGCTGTGCATTTGGGAGCTGTGAGATCCTGGGAAAGTTATTTCACTTCTCTGAGCCTATCTTGTCTAATTTGTAAAGTGGGCATAGTACTAATACTTACTTGGTATGATATTTGGTATGTTTTTTTCTTTTTTTAGACAGAGTTTTGCTCTTGTTGCCCAGGCTGGAGTGCAGTGGCACGATCTCGGCTCACTGCAGCCTCCATCTCTCGGGTTCAAGTGATTCTCTTCTCTTAGCCTCCCGAGTAGCTGGGATTACAGGCATGTGCCACCACACCCAGCTAATTTTGTATTTTTAGTAGAGACGGGGTTTCACCATGTTGGTCAGGTTGGTCTCGAACTCCTGACCTCAGGTGATCTGCCCGCCTCGGCCTCCCAAAGTGCTGGGATTGCAGGTGTGAGCCACTGCGCCCAGCCACTGGTGTGATTCTTACGAGGATTAAGTGAAGTAAACCTAACGACACTCTTAGAAATGCCAGCACCATTTACATGCCCCATCAATGATACTTGCAACTGTTGATGTTGCTGTTGCAGTGCAGTGCATGCCACAAGGCAACATGACACAGTTGCAGAAATTTCTGAATGGTGGTGATCCCCCGTGGCCTAATTGTGAGGGACAGAGAACCATGACTATATTTTTGATAATAGATTAACAATGCTTTGTTACTTTCTGTTTGCTAGAAGAATAATTGTTTTTCTATGTAGAAGTACTGAAAATGTTTTTCTGCCAAGACCTTAGTATTTTCAGAGGATGAGGTTCAAAGCGCTAGTGTTGTCTGAAATGAGATAATGGATGGGGCAAAAACTCTTAAGGTAAAGTCTAGAACATTTTGGGCATTCTGATGCCCAAAAATGTGTGTTGAAAGTTGAGGGAATAATAAGCAAATGGTAATAACAACAGTTAATGGTTAGCTATTTCTGTGCCTAGCACTTTACTTCCCTGAATTGTCTTCTCCTTTCAGCCTCACAGCAACACAGTGCATTGGTATCTGAGGGAGGTAGAGTCGTGTGTTCACAGGTGGGGCCTGGATTTGAACTTAATGACAGTTCAGAACTATTGACCTGAATGATATTTATTTATTTTCTTTTTATTTGTTGTTGTTGTTACCAAATGATATTTAATATCTGAAATAGTATATGCAAAAAAAGAAATTTTAGGACTCATAAGGGAAAAACAGAAGTGAAAGAAGGAAAAGAAATGCTAAATGTTTCTCTTTTTTTCCCAGCTTGTAAATGCACTGAAAACAGTATCTACATTTGAAGTCCAGATTGTTGATTACAAGTATAGGTAAGTAATAGCCAATCTCAGCAGACACTGTCAACTTTTGCTTGGATGAGGTCAAGGGGGCTAGAAAGCATTTTTCCAGTGGGAGCCATTGGCATTTGTAGGCCCAGAAGGGACAAGTAGACACTACAGATGAATGAAATGGGCAGGTGAAGTCCCTGGTAACAAGGGCAGTTACTCTTTGGCTTTCTGGGGCCTGATGTTGTCACTCCATCTCCTTATTCAAAAGAAGTGATGAATTCAGATTTTCATTTAAAATTTCAGAATTTTTTGTTTGTTTGTTTGTTTGTTTTTGAGACAGAATCTTGCTCTGTCACCCAGGCTGGAGTGCAGTGGTGCCATCTCAGCTCACTGCAACCTCCACCTCCTGGGTTCAAGTAATTCTCCTGCCTCTGCCTCCCGAGTAGCTGGGACTACAGGCGTGTGCCACCATATCCGGCTAATTTTTGTATTTTTTGTAGAGACGAGGTTTCACCATATTGGTCAGGCTGGTCTTGAAGTCGTGACCTCAAGTGATCTGCCCGCCTCTGCCTCCCAAAGTGCTGCAATTAAAGGCATGAGCCACCACACCCGGCCTAAAATTTCATAATTTTAAAAAATTGGCAGACTGGCCACGATGGCTCACGCCTGTAATCCTAGCACTTTGGGAGACTGAGATGGGTGGATTGCCTGGGCTCAGGAGTTCAAGACCAACCTGGACAACATGGTGCAACCCCATCTCTACTAAAAAATAAAAAAAATTAGCCGAGTGTGGCAGCGTGTGCCTGTAGTCCTAGCTGTTCAGGATGCTGAGGCAGGAGAATGGCTTGAACCCAGGAGGTAGAAGTTGAAGGGAGCTGACATTGCACCATTGCACTCCGGCCTGTGTGACAGTACGAGGCTCTGTCTCAAAAAAAAAAAAATTGGCAACTAGTTCAAAATTTAGGTGTTATAAAATTTATCAAATATTTGATAACATTATCAAATGTTTGATAACAAAAAAGTTATCAAAATTTAGATGTTATAAACCTAATTTGCCCTGCCTCCTGCCAGATTTCAACATCTGACTGAAAATTATTTATATGGGGATAATTTGAGGGTCAGAATAACATGAAATTTTAAAAAAACTTACCAAATATTTACATTTCTTTTAAAACTCTTAACACAACTAAAAGGCTTAGAAAGACAGAATATGCCTATTATTCACAGTTTGGGTAATTCCTGTTGCTAGAATTACATCTTCCTGGTAAAAGTAGTACATGTTTCTGGTTGAAAAGTCAAGCAGTATAGAAAAGATCAAAAGGAAAAGTGAAAACTTCTGTCTCCATGTCCACCTACAGTCACAGCTGTGTTTCCCAAATCTAACACTGTGAACACTTTCCAGTTAAAAGAAGTATACATATCCCAGCATGTGGGTATCTAATATAGATACACTTAATTTCAGAGAATGTTGGCATGGGAGCTTTGCACTTCATTCATCATACATTAGTTCATTTGTGCAATAAATCTCTATTGGGGACCCATGAGCTGGTCACCAGTCTCAGCAGTAGGAATCCCATTATGGCGGATGGCATAGCCCTGGTCTTGAGGATCTCAGACACTGAATAGAGGTAAATAGCAATTGTAAAAACAGCTACTATTTATCGAAATGTACTTTTATGCTTACTTGCTTTATCTCATCTCACGCTTTCAACAGTCTTCTGAGTTGGCCCAGCTAGTCCCATTTTACAGATTATGTAAAATCTGCTGCGCTGAAGAAATGTTGTGTCAGTGTTGCTTGAAGAAATGAGTGAGCCAATATGGGGCCCCCACATCAGTCCCAAAACCATTCACCTAGATGAGGCTGGGAAGAAATGGAAAGAACTGGGCAGGGCACCTCTGAGGCTGTATCATTGACTGGCTTTTAAGGATATGTTGTAGTTTCTCAGATAAGCAAGAATGATAATGAATTCGTACCTTGCCAGTCTGCGGGAAATACTAGTAACATGTTGGCATGGGGATTGGTGAGTGCTGACCACAGGCGTTTCCACAACTGGCAGTGCAGGGGTATGTTCACCTGGGTGAATGGCCGTCCTTCCCTTGGCATCAGTTCACATTCCTGGAGAAACTGAGGCACATGTTCTCGTTGTGATACACATACACATGGAGCTGTCATCTTTTTCCTATGCGGAGTTTTTGTTGTTAGCTGGTGTAAAAGGGAATTCAGCTTCCCTTCGTAGATCCAAAATAATCTTGATCATTTATTTTTCTTTACTTTGGGTAAGTTGGGGCTGGGAGATCTCATTTCTTTCTGTTTATTCAGAGTGTCACCCTTATTCCAGCATTTCTCCCTAGCCTCACCTCAGTGAATTGTTTGGGGACTGATTTTTGGTTCAAAGTTTACACACTGGTTAGTGTCTTGGATTTAGAGAACACTTGTACAGTCCTAACATGCATAAAATTGTGGATTTGTCTGTTCCAAAGGCAGGATAATGCCCTGGTGGTATCTGAGATCATTTTGGAGGTACCCAGAGGGCATTATAAAAACTTAAATCACACAAGGAGAAATGTTTCTTTTTAAAAAGTGCTTCTATTGTCCTAAGGAAATAGTTTTTAATTTAGTGCTAGTGTGTCACAACATCTCTTTAACACTTGCCAATTTCTCTTTTTCATGAAGAAAGAGCAGGCCTCAGGCTCTGAGCTTTGTCTTGCAATAGTATCTACCTCGATTTGAACACTACTTAGTTTGATTATATCAATTTTTACAGTTTTGTTGATGTCATATGTCACTGCTTTTCCATTTAAGACAGATATTAAAGTTTCCTTTAAAAAAAGTACTTAAACCTAAAAGGATAGGTGAGCTTACTTAGAAAATATGTTAAATTATTAAGAAACTTATTAATTACTAGAGCGCACTTGAAATTGGCAAAAATGCTTCTTAAAAATGGAATGTGGTTTAAAATGGGCAATACACTTTTATAAATATCCTTACTGTGAATCATGAACTAACTCAACCTAATACTTCTCTCTTCTCCCCATCTCTCTCATGTTATTCTGTATGTTCACAGAGAACTTGGGTTTTTAGATCAACTAAGGATCACACACAACACGGACATATTTATTGGAATGCATGGAGCTGGTCTGACCCATTTACTTTTCCTTCCAGACTGGGCTGCTGTATTTGAACTGTAAGTGTTGGGAGGCAGTTTTACACTGAAGCAACTGATAATGCTTTTTATGCATGCTAAAGCTTTCATTCTGAGCATCAAAAGGCTTAATATTTAATCATTCAAAAAGAGAAGTCACATCATATAGACAATCTGGAAAGAAAAGAGGCCTGAAGCTAAAAATACAAAGTCTGCAGCCTGCCATTGCACTTAGTAAGCCAACTACCCCTTCATCTTCCCATCCCGAGCATGATATGGAAGATGTGAATCTGTGGTTTCCTTATTCTGAGTTTGTTCCTGCATACCTCCCAAACTCTGAGCGTCTTCTTGCAAACAGTGTAGTTATTGTGTTAAAAGAAAGCATTTATGTCTCATGCACGACATAGCTTCAAAACACAAGCCAACCACTTAACTTAGTGCTTGCTGATCCCATACACAGGGAAACTGAGGCCCTTGGGTGTTCATGATTTGCCCAGGGCATACTTTTAACTCAGTGGTTGGTTTATGGAGACATGACCTTCCCTCTCATAATAATTCTGCTGTTGGCACTGTGCTCCATTTTAGGTCTTGAGACACTAATAGCAGTTACTGTTACCTGTTTCCCCCCATTATGTCTAAATATCTGGGTTCTATGGTTTCATTTTAAAAGTGATTTGACTCTGTATTTAAATAGGAGGCTATTTAGGAAAAAAGTTGTCATGAACTTCCAATGCCCTGCAAAACATTTCAAAAATATATATGATATATGTAGAGAAATAGCCAGATAATGGATTCTATCTCTGTCATTTCTCTTATAGAGAGAGAAGGAAGGATGGAAGAAAGGAGAGAGAAGGGAGAGAAATGTAACTGAGAAAACTCAAGCCTTATAGTCTAATGGACCTGGGTTCTACTTTTGCATCCTTCACTATTTAGTTATATGACCTTGGAAGTGTTACCTATCCCCCTTGCCTCTTTCATACATTTAAAGACAGAGGTATTATAAGGTCATGCCAAGTCCATAGGCAGCAGGCCCTATTGAATAAGGTCAATTCTCTCCATTCCATGACCCTATTTTGTTTTTTAAAAGTTAAGTTCATTTAGTTCAGAGAATATTTTTACATTCTCTTCCTCAGTCTTGTTTACTGTCTTCCTCAGTCTTGTTTACAACCTTTTGCAAGGACATATTTGGGAGCTGCATTTTATTTTCGCAGAGTTGTTGATTTGGAAAAAACCTTGGACAAAAGCCTCATGTTGTGACACCCTTGTGTCCTTAGGTACAACTGTGAAGATGAACGCTGTTACTTAGACTTGGCCAGGCTGAGAGGCGTTCACTACATCACTTGGCGACGGCAGAACAAAGTCTTTCCTCAGGATAAGGTAAAGTTCAATCACAAAACTTACCTTGCTTCATTTTTAATTGGTTTAAAGTATCCAATTATTGATATGAAAAATGGTTATTGAACTTCAGTGCTGCAAAGATAAACTGTTCTCTGGAATACTGAATTGTTTTATTTTATATTTGCAAATAGGAGAAAAAGGGGAATTAAGCAACCTATATCTTTAATGTTACAAAGGCAGCTTCGTGAAATTTGGGCTTAGAAAGATCTATTAGATTATATATAGAGACGGGATCAACAAGCAACAGCCCTGTGGGCAAATCCAGCCCATGACATGTTTTTGTAAAGAAAGCACAGTCATGCCTGTCTGTTTATGCACTGTCTCTAGTTGTTTGTGCACTTCAACGACAGTGGAGTAACTGTGACTGAGACCTTAGAGTCAGCAGAGCTGAAAATATTTATCATCTGGCCCTTATCAGGAAAAGTTTGCTGGTCTCTGATGTAGAACATAAATTAGTTGCCTTAACCAAAGTAACATAATTTTCCTGCTGTAGAGAAAACCATGCCCTCATTGAGTTATGGATTCGTGTTTTGGTTTATTTTCACAGGGCCACCATCCAACCCTGGGGGAGCACCCGAAGTTCACCAACTACTCTTTCGATGTAGAAGAATTTATGTATCTTGTCCTTCAGGCTGCAGACCACGTATTGCAACACCCAAAGTGGCCATTTAAGAAGAAACATGATGAGCTATAAATATGCTGAGTCTGTTTGCAAAAAGAGAGTGTTTAAACACTCCAACACCCAGACTTAGAATTAAATCAGTAAAGCAATCTGTTATTTCCTATCCCCGAATTACCTTTTCTATGCCAAAACATACCTTCAGGATATTGTTATGTGTTGTATAGATGTTAAGTGTTTCATGTGGTTTTTGTGTCATTGCTATTTATCAATAGCAATAATTTTGCACTGAAAACTTTTTATAGTTCAAAAATTAAGCATGGACTCCCCAGTATACTTTAACTTTCTTTCTTTCTTTTTTTTTTTTTGGAGACAGAGTCTCACTGTCACCCAGGCTGGAGTGCAGTGGCATGATCTCAGTTTATGCAACTTCTGCCTCCCCAGGTTCAAGCGATTCTTTTGCCTCAGCCACCTGACTAGCTGGGATTGCAGCCTGCACCACCACACCTGGCTAAATTTTTGTTGTTGTCGTTGAGATACAGTTTCACTCTGTCACCCAGGCTGGAGTGCAGTGGCATGATCTCAGCTCACTGCAACCTCTGCCTTCTGGATTCAAGTGATTCTTGTGCCTTAGCCTCCCAAGTAGCTGGGATTACAGGCGTGCACCACCACGCCCAGTTGATTTTTGTATTTTTGATAGAGACGGAGTTTCACCATGTTGGCCAGGCTGGTCTCGAACTCTGGGTTCAAGAAATCCTCCCACCTTGCCTCCCAAAGTGCTGGGATTACAGGTGTGAGCCACCACGCATGGCCCTGAACTTTCTCTTTTTAGGAATACCAAAGTTTTCAACTTTTTCAGCTTTAGAATTTGTAAATATTTTTGTAGAATATCATATGACTGTAATTCCAGAGTGTTCCAACTTGTTTATGATATATTTGGGTAAATTTACAACTGTTCTTTTATTTGCCATAATCTGGTTATAACACTGTTTGTGGTAGGAAAGGAAAACATGCAAAACATACACACACACACACACACACACACACACACGCAGAGTTGTGATTCTCAGTACCAAGCTATAGGACCATGTTATAGATCAGCGTTTAGTCACCTCCAGGTTATATGCATCGAGAACCTGAATAAATCATGCCACTATATTAATTTATATTACATGTTTCATATTTAAATCATGTTTTCCTAAAATGTAGCAACTACATGTGATAAAAGCAAATTAGAACATTCTGTAGGACTGTCTTGCATACCTTCTGTCTGGTTTCCACTGATTCCTTCTTAGCCATGGAGAGCATTTGTGATTAATTAATTTATATATGAAATAATGGTTTCCATTTTATGCGAGTATTTGTAACTGCATATACCAGTGCGTGTGCGTCTACCTCTGTCAGCATGAAAGTATTCCAGTCTTTAATTTCAAAAACTTCAAATTAGCCTCATGAAGAGAATTTTTCCCTGTGAAAAGTAAGACCAAGAAAAAACAAACTAAAGACATGTGACTTATTCAATGAAAGTGAAAAAGAAGCTCTAAAACAGTGTCATTGATTAAAAAGAATATCTGGAATGTAGCCCCACTCTTTGAGTGGGATTCATTTCTTACTGCTTATGAACTTTCAATTTAGTAGTCAGAAACCATGGATTTATTTTACTGCACAATGTGAAGTTTACATTTTATTAACACTTGAGTAGTCTGATTTAGAGACTAGTTACTTCTATTTTTTAAAATAATGGAGTAACAAATTACAGAATAGCTAAATAATTTTTTAAAAATATTTTACAGTTGTAAAAAATATCCATCAGAAAAATGACACACAAAACAAAATATCTGGACCTTTACAGAAGACGTTTGCTGACCCCCACTTTAAAGGATTGGAACAGTCTTCTAGAATTGAGGAATATTTATTAAAATACCTGTAAAGAAAATAGTGAATCACTGTAGCAATGGCTTTGATTCAGACCTTAAAATCACATAAGAAGAATTACAACATGTTATGGATTTTTAAGTGGCAGGTATTGTAACTGTTTTTTGTGTGCAAAATACTGAGTAACCACTGGGAAAATATTTCAGATGAAAGGGATGACAAAAGCATGTTGCGCTTTGCATCAGCAAGGCATTGACTTCTGAAAAAATGATCTGAAAAAAGTTTCACCGTTTGTCTTCTTACCTCATTTTAAGAAGCATGTGAAAATGGGATACTATAGACTACTGAGAATTTCAGAAATTGAGAACAATTTCATAATAAAACGGCTATATTTGAAGAGAGAATACATTTTATATAAACAGGAAAATACATTTGACACTTTATGGAATTTTATGAGACTTTTTGTGGGAACAGAAGGTCTTCAAATTGTAAAATGTAAAGATTGCTCTTTTTATTAAGTCTTTAACAGGGATGTATTTCATTGTATGTTTTGGGTATGGCTTTGGAATAAATCATTTTATATTTTATTTGAATATCAGAACCATTTTTAAGGTTTTCTGTGTCTGAATGTTTCTGTGCTTCCTTTTTGGCAATCTGGTAGCTCTTAGATTATAAAAATTAAGTACCTCTCTGATGAAGAATTCAGTTTGATCAAAAATGCCTTTTATTTAGCAGTTTATTACATGATGCTTCTATAAATGTTATATTGTATAATCATTACCAAAATGACATAAGAATTATGGTTCCTGTTTTTCATGTGAAGAATGCTTCCCTAAAGATCACAAGCCTTCTGATTCCACGTTCACAGTCTTCCATTCGTTTAGGGAAGTCTTCCATTCCACTCTAGGGAAGTTATGGGACTTCCCTGAAGATCACAAGCCTTCTGATTCCACGTTCACAGTCTTCCATTCGTTTAGGGAAGTCTTCCATTCCACTTTAGGGAAGTTATGGGACTTCCCTGAAGATCACAAGCCTTCTTCTGATTCCATGTTCACAGTCTTCCATTCGTTTATTTACTTGTTCATTTAGTAAATATTGATTGGGCTGCAACTTTGTATCAGTTACTATTCTAAGTTCTGGGAATACAGCAAAGAATAGATAAAAGTTATTGCCCTCATGGAGCTTACGTTCTGATGGAGACAGACATTAAACAACATAATGGAGCTTACATTCTGGTGGAGACAGACGTTAAATAACATCAATAAGATGTACCGTGTG
This sequence comes from Homo sapiens, assembly GCF_000001405.40. Lineage (NCBI taxonomy): Eukaryota > Metazoa > Chordata > Mammalia > Primates > Hominidae > Homo > Homo sapiens. The sequence goes on along the minus strand of NC_000003.12, from coordinate 68,974,539 downwards.
CCAGATCCTGATACGTGCTATGGAGAAAACCAAAGAAAGGGATGTGGAGTCTGGGGTGGGGTGGAGTCCTGCACACTTAAGTAGGGGGTCAGGGAAGCCTTCATTGACTCAAGACTAGAAGGAGGTGAGGGATGGAGTTATGCAGATAACTGGACAAGGAGCATTCCAAGAAGCTAGAAGAAGATGTGCAAAGACCCCAAGGCAGAAGCATGCCTGGTATGTTTGAGGAAGAGCAAGGAAGCCAGTGTGGCTGGTGTGATCAAGGGCAGAGGAGTAGGAGGCAAAGTCAAGAGATAATGCAACAAGGGTGTAGATGGCAAGGTTCTGATGAGATGGAAGCCATTGAAGGGATCTGAGTAAAGTAGTAAAGACCTGCCTTATCTCTAACACACTAACTCTAGCTGTTACGCTGAGAATAGGGTGTGGAGGGATGTCTTAGGAAAACAGATTCTGGGATGGAGATTTGAATGCAGATAGTTTTTGGGGGGAAGGTTCTCACGATCAACACCTGTGAGGGTGTAAGGGGTCCAGGCTTGGGCAGAGGGAGAAATTGAGGGGCAATGCCAGGTGAGGCCTCAGCGGGGTGCTGTAGGGCTGGAGTGGCCTTTCAGTGAGGTCCCCAAATGAGGCAAGAAATGCACGAGGCAAGAAATGCACGTAAGTTCAAACAGGGGCCATCCCAGAGAGGGGTGGGGCCTTAGCAAGGCCACTTCCTTCAGCTGAGGGCAAGGCCTGGTGAGGAGCTCAGCTGTGACCCATCAGCAGCCAAATGTCAAGCAATCTGGGGACTGAGTGCTTCAGTCTGAAGGGGATCTCAGCGGCACATTCACTAGCGGGTGAGGTGGTGCCGAGGTGCCGTTTAGCTTGTCTTACTCTCCCTCCTGCTTCCTGTCAACTGAAAGTTGGATCTAAAGTCTCCTTAAGATTCAGATTGAATGTCTGTTTTTAAAGAATACTTATAGTTGATACCGTGTACTGCTGACTGAATATTTTAGGCTTTGTGGGCCACATATGGTCTCTGCTGCGTATTATTATTTGTTGCCCTCCTCCTGCAATCTTTTAAAAATGTAAAAACCGTTCTAAGATGTTTAAATAGAGGTTAAGGAACTTGCCCAAAGTCACACAGCCAGTAGCAGAAGGATTGGATATAGGGCTTTCTTGGTGAAGGAATTTTGAGTTAGGTAGGGATGTTTACATGTAATGCAGGAAGGAAGGAGGTCGGGGAGGAAGAAAGGGAGGAAGGAAGGAAGGGAGGGAAAGAGAAGGGAGAAATTAGTTGGGGGATATAGAACATGGAAAAAACAGTCCTGGAGTTGGGCCTTTTCTTGCCGTTAAAAAACGAATTTTTTGTTTTGTTTTTTAGTTTTCCGACAGGTCTCTCTCTCTCACCCAGTTTGGAGAGCAGCAGCGCAATCACAGGTCACCGTAGCCTCAAACTCTTGGGCTCAAGTGATCTTCCTGCCTCAGCTTCCTAACTAGCTGGGACTACAGGCATGCACCCCCAGGCCCGGATAATTTTTCATATTTTGTTGAGATAGAGTCTCACTATGTTGCCCAAGCTGGTCTCAAACTCTGAGCTTAAGAGATCCTCTGGTCTCAGCCTCCCAAAATGCTTGGATTACAGGTGTGAGCCACCACTCTTGGCCCAAAATAGTTCTTTTTTGAAACCTAGTCAGTAGAGAGAAAATACGGAAAATACTTGCTTTTTCTAAACTAGGAGCATATACACAAATCAACTCAGGTATGATTGCCCTGGAGAAAGCAATTGTTTAAAATAACCTACTCCCAAGCAAGGGCTGTTGCGAGAATACTTTAATACCTTGTTCTCTTTCGGCTTACTGGGACATGTCAAACGATGTTATAACCATTCTTGTCAAAACAGAAGAAGTGGGTTAGAGCAGTTTGCTCACGGTTTGTTTCTCCCTGGTTGTGTGCCCTCGCCTTGGCTGGTAGTGCACAGGACCACAAGGTGGCAGTCAAGCCCTTCCAAATGGCCTCTTGGGTGGTCTGAAGCCTGTGTCTGAATCTCATTGTAGATTCCAGGCACCCGAGTGTTAGGAGTAAGGCCTTGCTTCTGAGTGTGATGGATTTTGTTATTCCTGATTTGAGGGAAGGCGGGAAAATGATAACGGACCGTTTTCAGGTTTAAGTGTGGAATTGCTTAGCTGCCGCCAATAGCTGGATCCTGTATAGTATCTCCTGATCATCTTGTGGGAAGAGCACTTGGTCCCCAGAAGATTATTTCTAGTGACAGAAGCTGCTTAGGGGAATGCATTCTTTTTGACTTGGTAGAGAATTTGATGAAGACTCTAGCTCTATTTAGGATCTATAGATGGCACATGATCTCTTCAGTTCTTCTTCAGAGCAAATTTCTTTATGTTGGTCTTCTAGGTTATATTTTCTTACTTGTAGATTGGTGGTAATATACATTAGGCAGCGTTCATATAAGGATAAAATAAAAGAATAATGTCACACTTATTTAGTGCCTGGCACAAAACATGTTTAGTAAATGCTATTATTGTACTATAACATATAGAGTTATTATTTAAAGGTCTAATACCTGGGGAGCATTTAAATTCTGATCTCCAGACCTCTCCTCAGACCAAGTAAATCAGAATACCTAGCGGCACAGTCTGGCTGATTATATTTTGTTAAATGTCCCCAGGTGGTTCTGATGTACAGGGGTTGGGAACTGCTGTTCTGGAGACACTGATGAAGCTGGTGGCAATAGACAGTTCATGAGGTCTAAGCCAGAATTTGCCAAAGTATCTTCCACTGAGTGTCCATAAGATGTTCCACAAAAAAATGGGTTACAGCTGGGCGTGGTGGCTCATGCCTGTAATCCCAGCACTTTAGGAGGCTGAGGCAGGCTGATCGCGAGGTCAAGAAATCGAGACCATCCTGGCCAACATGGTGAAACCCCGTCTCTACTAAAAGTACAAAAATTAGCTGGGCATAGTGGCATGCACCTGTAGTCCCAACCACTTGGGAGGCTGAGGCAGGAAAATCGCTTGAACTTGGGAGGCAGAGGTTGCAGTGAGCTGAGATCCCGCCACTGCACTGCAGCCTGGCAACAGAGCGAGACTCGGTCTCTAAATATATAAATAGTTATTTGATAAATGCTTCCTTAAGTCAATTTAAAGCAAGTTTATTGCAGGACTTCTCAGCACCTTTGATGTATGTGCATTGTGAATCTCTAAACAGGAAGATGTCATATGCACTGTATGCAAGTTTATTTGACCATGGAATCTTTTCTTCAAGAGGTATGAGGATTGGTGTTGCAAGAATCCCACTCCAGGCAGGCTACCCTAAGCATTTGCCATGGCTAAAGCCGCCTTCTGGGGAAAGGGGGACCAGGCAGTGCCTTCACCATGCAGTTGTTCTGGTCAGTTGCATCTTATTTGTTGAGTTAAATCAACTGTGATACCTGGTTCTTGTTAATTGGACCAGGAATCAACAGCTGAGCCAAAGTCTATTCAATCAAGAGGCTGCGAGATAAACGGTAAATAAATGACCCATCCAGAGCCATTCTGCTGGGGACATTTGAAGGTGAGGTGCAAAGAGAATGCCAAAGTTCCTGGGACAAAGACACCAGATCTGAGCTACTGGGGTTCCTCCTCTATGGGGTACAATTATGAGTCACTTTCCAGTTATCCATGAAGCTGCTAGTACATTTAGGTTATGGATTGGATTAGCTCATCCTTACAATCTGAAAGAACTTCACTGCTACAGCAATGCCAACACTGCAGGTATTATTCTCCCCATACTACACCATGGAGATGCAAGCAAACTAAGGTTGAGGGATTTGGACCTTTGTTGTCTTACTCCAAGTTGAATGCCAGCCAGTTACATCACTGTGTTGTTGCCTCTCAAGCTGAGGTCATTCAATCAGCAGGACAAGAGTAGGCAAAAAGTAATCGTAGTTTCCAGAGAAATCTGGAGAGTAAATGGCAAGGACACAATTCAGCGGAAGTGTCTCCTGTCTTGGGTGGAAATCCAAGTCGGGCACAGTGTTAAGTAAAGGTGCCAGCAAAATCAGGCCAGTTTGATATAAGGCCATTGGATGAGGAATCAGCAGGTAGGGGATGAAGTTTAAGGTGACTGTTGCAAGTCCCAGAAGAAAACCCGAAGTTAAAGTGGTATAGCCATGTGACTAGTGAAGCAGGTGACTAGTGAAATGAGAGTAGTACTAGGGACACATTGAACAGACCTAAGGTGAGGCAGGGAAAGGCCAGGATTAACATTTGAAAGCCAGCTAAAATAAGGCAGGATGAGGAGGAAAATGGAAAAACTAAGGAAACAAGTAAACATCATCCATAGCAACCCTTCAAACCCTTAAGGCACGTGGAAAATGGGGAGAAAAGAAAGCAAGTACTTATTCACAGCAAGGGCAATTCTACATTGATGGGAAAATGTAAATCCTCTAGAAAAATATCTTTGTCTACATATCGTTTTTCAAATATTCAAGTGATATTCAGCAATGTGCTGGGAGAGAGTTTACCCATGAGGCATTTAGAAGTGTTTATGGTTCACCTTGCAGAAATGAGACTGAGAGGTTTTCTTCCAGTTGCTACAACTGCTTTTCTGTAAAATTAGAAGTAAGATGTGATGATGGAGCATCTCATAGTACATTATTACCAGATTCTGAGATGGAATTTTGGTTTTCCCTCTCAGGTATCTCTATGCAAATAAATTGCCTTCAGAAATCGCTTTGTTATTCTATCATATTTACTTTTTACTAGATTATATGTTACTGGAGAGTCTTGCTCTTGATATTCAGATAGCAGTCTATTGGAAAGAAGAGTTTTATGGTGGAAGCTACGTGGTGCAAGCAATAAATCTAGAGGACAAGGGGATAAAAGTCATACCCATAGAAAGGTGCCCATTCTTTGATGGTTTTGCTTTTAAAGTAGTGAAAAGGGCCATAGCTGGGAAATATGCTCTCCTTCTCTTTGTCTTTCTTCTCCTTCTTGTTCCTTTCTTCCTCCTCCTTCTGTTTAATTCTAATAGCACTTAAAAGTCTGTGGTGTAAAAGTCTGCTTTCCTGTTGGAACTTGATAGCACCCATCAGCCAGGAGTCCTGCAGAAATGACTTGACTAGTTGCTTCTTAGGTAACAGCATCTTGTCCAAGTGAAGACCCCTGTGGTAAGACATCGTAGCAGAATTTGGATTTACTCTGTTGGGATCTGTGCCTGACCCTTGGAAGAGAACCCAAGTTAGCCTGAAGATAACACCCGCTTCACCCATTAAGACATCTTGACATCCACCGAGAGTCTTCCATAAGGTAGTGAGTGATGTTTGGCAAGTGCATGCAGATGACATCTTGACAGAAATTAGAGGGGTTTTGCAGACTCATGAGGAGTGGCAGTGTGGGAGACGGGTGAAAGTATGGGCTCTGGCCTCAAATGCACCCCGTGCTGCTACTTTTTACATGTACACCTAAGGCAAACCACTTAAGCTCACTGAGCCTCAGCTTTCTCATCTGTAAATGGAGGGTATTAAGGGACCCAACCTCATCAGGTGGTTGTGAGGAGCTATTTGTTCATTCCAGGTATGAGGCACTCTGCTGAGAACACAATGGTAAGGAATAGGGGAGACTGATATTAGTCAGGTAATCACACAAGTGAGAGTATGTAAGGATAACGGGAGAGAAGTACCCTGAAGGGAAAGAATATGTTGCTAAAAGGAAAACCTTAGCCACATTAAATTTAACAGAGTTTAATTGAGCAAAGGACATTCGGGAATCAGGCAGTCTCCGGAGCCAGAGTAGGCTCAGAGAGACTCCAGTGCAGCCACATGGTGGAAGATTTATGGACAGAAAAAGGAAAGTGATAGACAGAAAGCCAAAGTGAGGTAAAGAAACAGCCAGATTAGTTACAGCCTGGTGTTTGTCTTGTTTTAACATGGTTTGAACAGTTGGCCCCCTTCGATTGCCCCTGTGATTGGCACAAGAGTAGGCTACAATTTGTTTACACCTCCATCATAGGATACAGTTTCCCATCTACGTAGAAACCTTTAGGCTGAACTTTAAATATGTGAGAAGGCAGCTTTAGACTAAACTTTTTTTTTGAGACAGGGTTTCCCTGTGTCACCCAGGCTGGAGTACAGTGGCACAATCACTGCTCACTGAAGCCTCTACCTCCTGGGCTTATGTGATCTCCCATCTCAGTCTCCCAAGTAGCTGGTACTACAGGCATGTGCCACCAAGCCCGGCTAATTTATTTTCTGTTATTGGTGGAGATGTGGTTTCACCATGTCGCCCAGGCTGGTCTTGAACTTCTGGACTCAAGCCATCTGCCTGCCTCGACCTCCCAAAGTGCTGGGATTACAGGTGTGAGTCATCATGCCCAGTCTAGGCTAAACTCAACAATGTTCCTGACCAGGAGAAACGCTTTAGACTGAGGGGTAGTGTAGTCAGGGGAGCTTCTTCCCAGGGAAATGTAAGAAAGCACAATTAATGCCTGGCATCTGGCAAGGCCTCGATAAATAGTAAGGCAGCAGGGAGAGGAGGAAGAGCAGGAAGAAGATGCAGACATATAGGAAGCCAAGGCCATGTGCCCATGTACCCCAGAGAAACCTTTGTGTAGGTGCCAAACTTTAATCTGAGATGCCATGATGCCAATGGCCACTGAGGTCTACAACCCCAGAATGTTTGGCCCTGTAATGGGTTGACAGTCTGAGAGGTAGACCCTCAGTGAGAAGGGTGAGAGCAGATGGCAAATGATGCCCCCCTGGGAAAACTGGCAGATGCTCCAGGGCTGCAGGACTGGAACTTTTGCCTTGTGGTAGTTTTATCAACATCATCTGAGAACTTCACTAACTAAAAAGGCTCTGTCTGCCAACCTTCCTCCCCAGGCCTCAGCATTCTCAGCTTTTCAGTGAGGAGTTTGGACACGTTATCTGAGCTCTAACTATCTTGTCTAGACTTCTGCTCATCAAGTCTATGATGAAATGACAAATTAAATGTGGATATATACAAATATATGCACACATGTGAACTCATGTTATATAAAATAGCCACTTCGTGGCTCTGATGGAAAAATGGTTCTTCTGTGCCTTATCCTAAAGTCTTTATATAAAATGCATGTGTTCTTAACCCCATGTTAGTGGGGGGATTATTCATCTACTTGTATTTAGAGATGGGCTGAGACAGAAAGAAATACTCACATAATCCAGTGTTTTCAATGATAGTAGGAAAATGTCTACCAAGAGAGGGGAAACGAAAACTGCCCCCTTTTTTTTTTTGAAATAACAAAATTAAGAAAATTAATTGCTGTTTAGTGGAGGGGGAGGGGAACTCCTGAAGCAGGTGTTATTACTATAATACTCACTACTTGGGTGAATGTGGTAGAGAAAGCCCCTACCTGGAAACCAGAGAAGGCCCTATCTGGAAACCAGAGTCTTTTTTTTTTTTTTTTGTAATTATATTTTAAGTTCTAGGGTACATGTGGACAACGTGCGGGTTTTTTACATAGGTATACATGTGCCATGTTGGTTTGCTGCACCCATTAACTCGTCATTTACATTAGGTATTTCTCCTAATGCTATCCCTTCCTCTGCCCCCCACCCCATGACAGGCCCCAGTGTGTGATGTTCCCCACCCTGGGTCCCAGTGTTCTCATTGTTCAATTTCCATCTATAAGTGAGAACATGCGGTGTTTGGTTTTCTGTCCTTGTGATACTTTGCTCAGAATGATGGTTTCCAGCTGTGTCCATGTCCCTGCAAAGGACATGAACTCATCCTTTTTTATGGCTGCATAGTATTCCATAGTGTATATGTGCCACATTTTCTTAATCCAGTCTATCATTGATGGACATTTGGGTTAGTTCCAAGTCTTTGCTATTGTGAATAGTGCCACAATAAACATACGTGTGCATGTGTCTTTATAGCAGCATGATTTATAGTCCTTTGGGTATATACCCAGTAATGGGATGGCTGGGTCAAATGGGATTTCTAGTTCTAGATCCCTGAGGAATCGCCACACTGACTTCCACAATGGTTGCACTGGTTTACACTCCCACCAACAGTGTAAAAGCATTCCCATTTCTCCATATCCTCTCCAGCATCTGTTGTTTCCTGACTTTTTAATGATCGCCATTCTAACTGGTGTGAGATGGTATCTCATTGTGGTTTTGATTTGCATTTCTCTGATGATCAGTGATGATTAGCATTTTTTCATGTGTCTGTTGGCTGCATAAATGTCTTTTTTTGAGAAGTGTCTGTTCACATCCTTTGCCCACTTTTTGATGGGGTTGTTTGATTTTTTCTTGTACATTTGTTTAAGTTCTTTTTAGATTCTGGATATTAGCCCTTTGTCAGATGGGTAGATTGCAAAAATTTTCTCCCATTCTGTAGGTTGCGTGTTCACTCTGATGGTAGTTACTTTTGCTGTGCAGAAGCTTTTTAGTTTAATTAGATCCCATTTGTCTATTTTGGCTTTTGTTGCCATTGCTTTTGGTGTTTTAGTTATGAAGTCCTTGCCTATGCCTGTGTCCTGAATGGTATTGCCTAGAGGAAACCAGAGTCTTAATGAAAGTCCAAGACTGCCTTTTAAATGCAGGAAAAAAAGTTATTTACACAAATGGTAAGTGCCTAATGCATTAATGCCTAGCTCTGTGGATTGTGACTTCTGTCAGTATTAAGCATTTTGTAGCTCCAGTTCTTAATGTTACTAGGGGCTCTGGACAAGTTTGCTCAGTGGGTCTTACAGCCTTCAGGAGACATTCCCTTGGCTACAGTGGTTCAGATTTGGCCTACCCTGGAGATGCAGAGAAGGATGATCATGCTTTAGGAGCAGAGTATAACTTGGGTATGTGTATATGACCCATTCTAAGGGAAATGGCCCCATGGCTTTGATATGAGTACCTTCTTTTTGTCTTTCTTATCTCTGAGCCAGGGGAGCTGGGCCTCTGAGTTGAGTGCAGTAGCAGCAAATAGCTTCCAAGCCAGAAAAAAATCAAACCCCAAACCTTTCCCAAGTAAAAAGGCAGAATTCTTGGATGGTGTTTTGTTGCAATTATGTCGAAATGTGAATGTGGAATTGTATGTTTTCTTGTTTTTCTTTTTTAAGATGGGGTCTCATTCTGTTGCCCAGGCTGGAGTGCAGTGGCATGATCTTGGCTCACTGCAACCTCTGCCTCCTGGGCTGAAGCCATTCTTCCACCTCACCAGCTGGGAATACAACAGGCACACGCCACCATGTGCAGCTAATTTTTTGTATTTTTGGTAGAGACGGGATTTCACCACAGTCCAGGCCAGTCTTGAACTCCTGAGCTCAAGTGATCCACCTGCTTTGGCCTCCCAAAGCGTTGGGATTATAGGCATGAGCCACCAGCGCCCAGTTGGAATGATACATTTTTAATTATGAGGTGTTATCACATGCACCACAGTTGTGTCTGACCTTAATGATACCTCTGACCTTGCCTCCATTCTTCCCTCCATCCCTAAACCACCATCCTCCTCTTCAGCAGTCCCTGAGCCTGCCCTCATCCTCCTAGTTTTACACACCATGGAAAGAACATTGATGTTATTCATCACCCCTGAAAAATGCTGCATGGAGCCCAAGAGTTACGTGCGATGGTGATGTCAATGGGAACAATTCATTATTCTATCAAGCACTTGGCATGTCAGACAATGAAAAAGTATGTGCTTTAGAACTGACAGCTCAAAGTAGTCTTTTCAGCTATCAGCATGCCAAGATCTTGATGGTATAATGAATTATTCTTTAAACCTATCATTTCATCCTATCAATTTAGTCCTATAGTCTTTTTTTGGGGGGAGGAAGAGGGGGGAAACTAAATTATAGAACTTATCTCAACTAGCAAGCAAAATAACTTTGCACCTGGGAAGAAAAGACTAGAGGTGTGAGAGGTAGAATTAGAAAGAATATTCCTCAGGGATGACATTGAGGTAAATATATATTACAATTCACAGAAGTATGGGAAAAGTCCCTGATTTTTATTTGACTCTTGGGCGTAAAACATAGTTTATTCTCATTGACCACCCGTAGAATTTTCATCCTCATTTTCCATAACAATGCACTGGAAAAATCAGAGACAATTTATTATTCTGTTTACATTGTTATGCAAGCTTGCTGAGCAATATAGTTCCTGATTATTTAGGACATGCAGGTGTTTAGAGTAGTCTTGGATTGGACTTTGAGTTTGGTTGGAAGATCAATTTTTCCCAGTTAATCTCCATATGTAGATAACTTTTCCCACACTTGATGTATGGTTTCCTTACTCTCATGTGGCTAATTAATTCTGTTCATTCTCAAATCTGACCTCTTCAAAGATCTGCACCCATCTCTTCTCCCCTGAGTGTTTTGAGACCAGAGTGAGAAATTCCACAGCTTGCTGGCTTTATGGGGAGTGTTTAGCACGTTGGCATGCATTTCGGGTGACTTCTGAACACGGCACAAAGCATGTTTAGGTTTCAGCTGGTTGCTTTCATCCGAAAATGTCAGCTTTATTTCTAGGAACAGCAGCTGCCACATTTTTTTTTCCCAGAATATCTCTGCTGAAATGCTTGATGTAAATGGTTATTTTCATTCCTGTTAAATAATACCTTGTTGCTACAGCAATGGTCATTTTAAATACCATCACAAAATAACAGCGACACCAATTTGTCCTCAGGATTGGGTCCTAATTGTTCATCCATTGTTTGAAAATAGAGAACTGCCTCATTAATCCACTGCAGAATATTAAGCGTTTCATTAAAATATTGCCCAGAAAGGAGAGTTACTTCAAATCCCCTTCATGTGTCCTTCATAGCCAGCAATATTATCTATTCTGCATTTTTAACTATCAACCTGAAGAAAAATCTGGGCATCCATGACCTTTTAATTTGTGCTTCAAAGAAAACATTTCTTAATGTTATGTAATAAATCAATCATTACTTGCTTAATAATCTTAATGCATGTCTTTGAAGTCAGCAATCCACAAGAGATGCTGGGATTTTTTAGAAATTGGCAACTCTCTGGTCATTTGATGTAAACTGTGTTTCATTGATTTGCTGTGAAACTGTACTTGATATTAGCTGCATGTAAAGGCATGAGATCATGAAGAACAATGAAAAATGAAGAGAGATACACACATACACATTTTCATATAATTTCTGTAATGCATAGGAAATATGATGTTTTAGTACTTAAGTATTTGAAATGTGTCAGATAATACTAACTCCACTTTAAGTCCAACTTATTTTTGTAACTACTATGTATATAAAATGTATAAAATGGTTTGTATAATCTTGAAATGACAATTTGCAACTGTATTTTCTATGATTCTATAGATGCATTATTTAAGATGCAAATTTATCCAACTTCTTTCAATCATCTTTTGTTTATTTGCCTTGATTTCTTTTATCTGAAGCCTTTTTCAATTTAGACATATTTCATCCTAGGAAGAATATCCTAGTTGCTTTTTATTAATGCTCTGTTTATTAGACCAAAAAAAGAAGCCCTGGATTTTTATTTTATTTTTTAGAAGGGCTTCAGATAACACAGTTGCAGATCCACTGCTACTTTAATGACTAACTGCTGAATTATAGGTTTCCTGATTTGACATGTATTTAGAAAAAGCAACAAAATGCAATTAATCTGATAGTAATAGGAATGGAAGTTAATATTGGCCTGAAGCTAAATTGCTCATTGTAAATATCTAGCCTGAATAATTTACAATCACAAATGCTTACTTCTGGTTCCTAAAAATGTCCCTCAGTTGCTGCCTGTACAACTCAGATTGTCCCCATTTTTCAGAGAATTCTATCCAGACATTACCAAGGTGTTGTCTTGGTCACTGTAACAGTGACAATGACTTTCTTTGCACTTTCCTGGGTTCTTCTCTTTGCAAATGGAGAGCCCCGAACGGCATCTCAGGGCATGCCCTTGGTGAAGGGCATCTCAGCTCACAGATTGCCTGCTATATGACCTTGGGCAAGACATTGAACCCCCCACTCCCTGGGCCATAGTTTAGGAAGACCTACCTTAAAATAATTTCTGTTAAGGATCAGCAAGTAAAACCTGGTCTGTTACAGGAACTCCAAAAAACTCTGGCACTCCGAAAAAGGGAGAGAAAAATGTGCTATAATATTTCACTGGTTTGGTTGGTGAGGGGAGCACATCTCACTTATAACTCCCAGGCCCAGCTTGGGAAATTATCACCAATTGTAGGGTGGCTCTTCACTCCTCTCTGCTTCTTTCCCCATTACCTTTTCCATCATTTCTACTCAATAATTAATATGGAAAGGCTTTTCTTTATTGAAACAATGCTCCCAAAAGGTTTTTTACATCTTCTCTAGGTTGTTTCACTTGCCTTTTATCTGAACACTTGAAACACATTTAGACAGAATAGGTTTTATCTGTTATTTTTGTTCCTTTTTATTTCGTATGTAGCTACTACTTGTAGTAGTATTCCATTATAGAAATATATAAAAATACTGCTAGAAAAAAAATCACCTAAAGGATACCATATTTCTCCATCCTGACTTAAGCTGTGCACACACACCCCTCCACAACACTCCCTTAAACACATACATTTACACAAATTTTACACACATATATGTATGTAGAGGTAACTTCTTTCATGTGAGGCTATATATATGTGGGTGTGTGTTTGTGTATATGTATAATAATATATTCATTAAATGCATATTGTGGATAACCTGTTTACTAACAGGATTTAATGAATACCTCTCCACTACCATACAATTATTTGCATCAACATTTTAAATTTCTGTGGATAATTTCATTAAGCCAATCCCATATTGTTGGACAGTTAGACTCTTTGTATTTACTATTAAAAAAACAACTGCCCTCAATATCCTTGCATAAAAATCTTTGTGCATCTGTCCAGTTACTTCCTTAGGATAAATTCCTAGATATGGCACTACTGGGTTCCAGGGCATGCACACTCTTAGGGATTTGATCACATATTGATAAATTTAAATTTCCATCCAGAAATGTGGCACTTTTTTTTTTTTTTTTTTTTTTGAGAGATAGAGTCTCACTCTGTCACTTAGGTTGGAGTGCAGTGGTGTGATCTCAGCTTACTGCAACCTCTACTTCCTGGGTCCAAGTAATTCTCCTGCCTCAGCCTCCTGAGTAGCTGAGACTACAGGCATGCACCACCATGCCTGGCTAATTTTTATATTTTTAGTAGAGATGGGGTTTCACCATGTCGGTCAGACTGCTCTCGACCTTCTGATGTCAGGTGTTCCTCCCGCCTTGGCCTCCCAAAGTGTTGGGATTACAGGCGTGAGCCACTACACCCAGCCAATGTGGCACTTTTAATCTAACCCCTCAGCAGAAATGTGAGCATCCAATTACCCCCCCCTTATTCACTGGATATTCTAAGTTGATGGACGCAGAGTAGCAGAATAGCTTTTACACAAAATATTGTGTGAAATATGGAAAAGATTTCACATATGGGATCAATCTGGTTTCCTATATTGAAACAATTCTAAATACTCTGGTTAGCAAGGCAAGTTTCAACGCTGATGTACAAGACAAGGATCATGACTGAATAGAAAGTATATCTAGCTCTACAGGGCTGGACCACACACCAGGAACTATTGTTTTTGATTGAATAGATCAAATAAAAGAGCAGTGGCGTACATTATTTAGACAGCTCAGTGGCTGTCACTTCTCAAACTAGGTTAAGTAAAAAGGGCTACACAGGTTAATTAAAAGATAACACCATGCAGTTGGACACAGTGCTTGGGTAATTGTTTCTTCCACTAAGGTAAGTATGCAATGCATATCATAGAGGTTTAGAACAAAAAAAAAAAACTTGTGTGACAAAAATGGGACCTTTGTATTTAAAGCTGAAGTGCTCTTCTTATGTTAGATATTTATAACCTAGACACATAATGAAACATTTTCAAAATTATCTACAAACATTGAATAGCAATACTGATCAGTGGACTTGGATTGTTTGTAATTGCATAAAAAAGATGACATTAAAAAACCTTTTTAGGGGCCAGGCACAGTGGATTGCTCTTGTAATCCCAACACTTTGGGAGGCCAAAGTGAGCAGATTGCTTGAGCCTGGGAGTTCGAGACCAGCCTGGGAAACGTGGCAAAACCCCATCTCTACAAAAAATATGAAAAAATTAGCCGGGCATGTTGGCATGACTACAGTCCCAGCTACTCAGGAGGCTGAGCAGAGAGGATCCACGGGCCCGAGAAGTCAAGGCTGCACTGAGCCATGATTGCACCACTGCACTCCAGCCTGGGTGATAGAATGAGATTCTGTCTCAAAACAAAACAAAACAAAAAAATCCCAAAACCTTTTTATATGGTTAGCTTCCAAGATACGCAAAAGTAGAGTGAATAGTACAATGGGCGCCCACATACCCATCACTCACTCACAAGTCATCAATATATGGTCACTCTTATTTTATCTATACTCCACTCCCTCCTGCACTGGATTATTCTGAAGGAAATTCTCAATGACATATCATTTTATTCATAAATATTTTAGTGTACGGAAAGGTGATTTTGACAGATTGATCCCAGTTTAGTTTTTTGATCCAGCCTTATCAGAATATCTTTGGAAAACATGATTAATTATAGAACCTCAGAAAAATCATTTGACTTCTCTAAGTCTCAGTTTCCTCTTCTGTAAATGAGATACTTAGACATCATAGTGGTGATACAAGGATTATAGGAGATAGTTCAAGATAACATAACATCAAAGTGATGAAAAAATTTAAATAATCTAAATAATCATCATTGCCATTATCATCATTGGAATTCAGATTTTATAGGTAAATGACACAGGAGCATTGAAAAGTGGAGTAATAAGATGTAGGGACTTAACCATAAAAATGAACAATATAATGGCATTCACAGAAACCTGGTTGGAGTTGGAGACCATTATTCTAAGTGAAGTAACTCAGAAATGGAAAACCAAACATCGTATGTTCTTGCTTATAAGTAGGAGCTAAGCTATGAGGATGCAAAGGCATAAGGATGATACAGTGGACTTTGGGGACTCAGGGGGAAGGGCAGGAGGGGGGTGAGGGATAAAAGACTACACTTTAGGTACAGTGTACACTGCTTGGGTGACAGATGCACCAACATCGCAGAAATCACCACTAAAGAACTTTTCCATGCAACCAAACATCACTTGTTCTTCAAGAACTATTGAAATTAAAAAAAAAAAAACAAAATATCAAAAATTTCAAGCCTGAAAAAAAAAAGATGTGGGGGCTTAAGAAGCTGCTGGGAGAGATGAAGATGGAAAATGTGGCAGATGTATTTGAAAAAGATGGGTGAAGTAAGATATACATGATGAAGGAGCATCAGCACAGACAGCCAACGTTCAGGCATGGGGGAGAGTAAGGACGTGAGTGTCTGATGGTGGTGGTCACTTGTCAGTGTTCTGCTTCTAGGCAATAGGATAAGAACTTGGGGAAGTGAAACATCAGTAGAAGATTGACGAGGAAGAGACAGAACTTGAGTTTCACAAATGTTAAATTCTATTAAAGGTCAAATTCTATCATAGTAACAAATACTACTATAATGGAGAAGTTGAGCTGTATATGGAAACAATTTTTAAGTCTTGCCTGATGGATCCCTTATTTCCAGAAATGATTGATATCACAAATTTATATGTGACCGATATATTTAAGTCATCTCTTGGAATTTAGTTTTGGGGGGATTTAATTGGTGCTCTATTATGCTAATCTTATCAAATGAAACTGGCTAAATTATTTTGAAATTTTGGATCCTAAATGGCTATTTACACTGGCCACTGGCCACCTCCTTCTTCTTCTTTTTTCTTTTTTTACTGATATCAATAACTTTTTAATTCTTCATCAAAAAAATGACATGCAGAATAATTTCACAATACAGAATCTTTCCAGATGCTTGTATGTTTTATGTTCACCAGCAAATTACTTTTATTTGAATGTATCAGAAATGGCTCCAGACACTAACTTAGACAACCCTTGCCTTTTTTGAAAACTTATCTATCCTATGACCAGTTTCAAAAGGACTGAATAGCCACAGAGGATACTTTCATGAATGGCATAAAGGAGTTAATGGCTGCTAACGGCTTAACTGGGGCCATGCCTCTCAGATACCATTTGCAACTAACAAGGACTTCAGGTGCCTTAACTAGAAGGAATGGATAATATGGACATTTTATTGGCAATGCTAGGGAGAGAAATGTGTGGGGCAGGAGGGCATTTGATGTCTTTAAATCAAATCACACAAGAACAACACTTATAAATCACATTAAGGAGTTTAGATTTTATCCTCAACAGTATGCCTTCCAACTAAAATGGGAAGCAACATAATCATATTTAGATTTGAGAAAGGTCACTCTGGACTGTAGGGGAAATAGTAAGGAGAAGAGTGTAGAAGTCCATGAAGCAGAAGAGTGACAGCGAGGACAGAATAACGTGGTAGATAATAGCAGTTAGAATTGACAGGCCTTTGTTATCAGTTGGCTGCAGAGGGTGAGGGAGAAGTAGGAGATAAGGATGCTACTCAGGGTACAGATTTCGGAAACATGGTGGATGGTTGCATAGCTTGCTGAGATAGCAAAGGCAAAAGACAGGCAGGTTTGGAAGGAAAGATGGCAAGTTCCATTTGGGATGTGCTGAATTTGAGGTGCCTGTGAGGTATCCAAATGAATATTTGTGGTGAACTCAGTCTTGGAGCTCAGGAGAATGGATGTCATGGGCATGGAAATGGTAGCTGAAGCCACAGGAATGGACACGATCAAAGACAGCAGTAAATCAACGAAGAATACAGGTGAACACACAGGTGCTGAGCACTGCTTACATCAGCCCTCTCTGGTTTGGACTTTCCCCTGGTATAAGCTTTTTTTTTTTTTTTGCTTTTTTTTTTTTCGAGAAGAATCATGCCCAAGGTCAGGGAAGAAATCAGTGTCATTGGGCTATCATTCGATATTTGAGTTGGAAGAGATTCTTAAGGTCAAGTGGCAGATTAAAGATAGCCATAAATTTCTTGACATTCTTTCCATGTACAGGTGGAGTGTATTTCTTGCCCTCCCACCTCTTAATTCTTGGAGGGCTCCATGGATGCTTTCACCAATTCAATATGGCAGAAGTGACCCTGGGCCAGTACCCAGGCTCAGGCATCAAAAGACTGGCAGCTTCCCTTTCCTGTTGTTTGGAGTATTTGCTGTTGGTGCCCGAGCCACCATTGAGAAATCTGACTACCCTGCTGGAGAGACTATGTGGCCCTTGGACCCATGTAGAGAGAGAGAGAGAGACCCAACTGAGCCTAGCCTTCCAGCTGTCTCACCAGGGCACCAGATGTGTGAGTAAAGCTGTCTTGACCCTCCAAACCAGCTACCAGCTGAACACCACAGAGCAATTCCTGTGGTCCCAGTCAACAGTCGCCATATGGAGCACAAGAATTGCTTATCGGAGCTCTGCCTGAATTCATGCCCCACTAAGTTGTGAAACACAACAAAATGTTTGTTGTTTTAAATCACTGAGTGTCGGGTTGTTTACTCAGCAATAGAGAAGAGAAACAGTTGTTTGTACCATATTCCCTCGTAATCCAATTTTGTAAAACATTATAGCATCAGTAGAGTCCTCTGTTAAGCCAGAAAGACCTATATGATGTATTCAAACCCGTGTTTCCATCTGTAAATCAAGGATAATAATACGTGTCATCCCTGCTTCTCAGAATTATTTTAGAGCTCAAGTGAGATAATATATGTGAATGCACTTCATAAATTATAAAGCACTCTACAAATATAGATGAATTTAAATAGAATTGTAAAGCACTCTACATTTTAAGTTTAAATATTTAAGTTTAATTTAAATAGAATAAATAGAATTTCATTATAAAACGAAAGTTTTAAACTGACAAAGTTTTAAAACAGTGTTAAATATACAAAATTAATTAGCGTACTTATAATTTTAAGTTAAGATTAATCAGAATTATTTTAACTCTCCATAAGTTGATTCAGAAGCTTTTCATTAGTTTTTTCTGCTTATTTAGTATTTTGATTCTTTGCAAAAGAATGGAAGTTCATTTTCACCTCTTCTTTCACCTTGTGTTGGTCTAAAGAGCTTTATTTACTTAAGGAAATTGAACAGATTCATTTTGGTCAAGAACAAAGAGATTTGTATCCAAATACACAGCAGGTACGAACTTCCTTGGATGACTTGGTTCTAGCTACAGATGACTAGCTTTTAAACATTTGTCACATTACCTCATTAGTAAATTGAATTATAAAATTAGCATCAGTTGCTCAGCAATCTGGTGATCTGGTACCAGTTTTCTTCAGAGTAATTGAATTAATTTGTGTAGTTTAAATGAACACCAATCTTGCAATTTTTCCATCATGATGCCTTTGAAAAAGTGGGTGGATGGAGAGTTCAAATTGAATTGTGATCCTTCAGAGGAACATAGTGAGGGATGCTTTCTAGTGTTTATCTTTAGTTGTTTGACACATGCCTGTAATAGCAAATTCGAAGTAACAGCAAAATAAAGTCAGGCGTGAGGTGGGGGTCAGCCGTGGTAGTTCCTGAGTCTATAAGATTTTTCTACTTTGGCACTATTGACCATTTTGGGCCAGATAATTCCCTCTTGTGGAGGCTGTGCTGTGCTTTGCAAGTTGTTTAGCAGCATCTCTGACCTCTAACCACTAGATGCCAGCAGTAACCCCTGACAATCAAAAATGTACAGACATTGCCAAATGTCTCCTAGGGCCCCAAATTGCCCTCTATTGAGAACCATTGCTGTGGACAGTTGAGTGTGTTTCTCATTCTAAAGAGCAAACAAATTTTGCCCCAAACTCCTGCTCACTTCCCATCCCTACCTCCCTAATCCACAGCTTTACACATTACGTACATTTCTGTTTGATCAGCCCATCTCTGGTGGTATTTTTGTGGGCAATGATCTCTTGTTTATCTCCTTGATATTTGACAATAGGCTGCTCTTCCTTAGCCCCACTTGGAAACTGACATCCACATTTGAAGGTGATTTTTTAAAGAAGCCATCCTTTAAAAGGTCATAAAACACTTGGCATTAGGTTCTTAGAGTGTGTGATGAATATTTCAATAGTTAAAAATGTAGCCAGGCAGCACAAAGAAATGATTTAATGTTGTAAATAAATCTCTTTGTGGGATTTAATGTGCAAAAATGGACAGCAATGGCTTTAAAAAATCATTCCCCAAATGATAAGATCTATACAATGGCACACTCTGTATGTTGGATCCATATCTGGGGAGAGTGTTCACTATATCTTTCTTAGATATTGGAGGAAGACACTAAGATCATTTTCTCTCTTAGGACCTCCATCTCTTTTTCTCAAAACTAGAAGCCCATAAGGTTGACTTTCTGGGAAATAATACTGATACCAGATCTCTGGAGAGTATAGCATTCATCATGGTCCGCTAGATAATAATAATAAATAACAACATGGAAGTAGTCCTTATGTTGCGTCAGGCACTTATCTAAGAGCCTTACATGTGTTATACTCAACCTTGCGGACTACGTCAGGAGTTGACCAGCTTGATATGGCCCAATGGCCAAATGTGGCTACTACTTGTTTTTGTACAGCCTGTGAGCTAAGAATATTGTTTACATTTTTAAGTGGTTGAAAAAAAGGTCAAAACAAGGATATTTCTTGACAAGTGAATATGATATGAGATTCAAATGTCAGAGTCTATTCAGCAAGTTTGATTGGGACATGTCCACACCCATTGGCTTACATATTGCCTGTGGCTGCTTCATGCTACAAGATGGAGCTGAGCAGTTGCTGCTGAGCCCATGGCCTGCAAAGCCTAAGGTATTTCGTATCTGGCGTTTTACAGAATAAGTTCATTGACCCTTGAGCTAGGTATTATTACTGTCCACATTACAGAAGTGAAAAGAAAATCACAGAAAAATAAATAGTTTGTTCCAAGTCATGTATCAGAGGTGTGGCAGGGTCAGGACTTGAACCCAAATAGCCTGGCTTCAGAGATCCTTCAGTCCACTGTGGTATCACAATACAGTGACGATAAAACTTGCCAGTACAGAACTCTTGCTAAAAAACAAAAACAACTCCCTGTAATTCAGCTCCCTTTATTATACTTTCCAGCCAGTTCATCTTTATTTTTGTACTTAGAGTCCCTGAGCAGCGATAGCTGAATGAAGTGCAGAGCCTTTTGCACTCCTTAGGCTGTATATATATTCCCTTCCAAATTTCTAAGGATGAGTGTTTATAATTTTCCTTTTATCTAGGGGGATCCTGCCGTAAAAGGAAGCACCCCTGAGGTGCAGTGAACAGAGAGCTAGGAACTAAGGCAAATAGCTGGCTTCCTGTTGCAAAGGAACAAGTGAGGAAGGAGGAAATGTCAAGGACAGAAGGACGGTTTCTAGGTCTGCTGTAATGGATGTTTTAATGTCTATGTAGAACAGTTAGGAACTTAAAAAAAAAATCTCATCCAACAGCTTGGCCCAGAATTGGCCTTGCTTCATTCAATTTATCCATTTTAGAAGATGAAAGGCTGCGTTGTCTGCCAGGATTTAGTGTCCAGTCCCAGGGAATCATTGTGTTTCTAATCTGATGTTTGGGCCATGACGCCAACCCTTTGCCTGCTGGTCAAGATCAGTTCCTCTTTTTGTTATGTTGTTAAAAGGCCCATGACACAGATTGGTTTCAAACAGCATTTGGCTCCGTAGGGGACCAACTCACAGTCCTTCAGTTTTATTTTATTTTTTTCCTGGTATTTAGAGAGGAGTTCATTCCTACTAGCAGAGGACTGTAATAATACTCATTTTTAAAAACAGCTCCCCCAAAATTGAGTACGGAATGTTCTAGATCCTGACTGGGGTGTGGTTGCATGGGTGTATACATTTGTCAATGCTCATCTGAGCATTTTACCTCAATTATAAGGGCATGAGAGGAGGAAAAAGCATGAAAACTAGATAGAAAAAAAGAAGAAGAATGAGAATAGTTAATTAGAGCACCTGTCTGAGGCTGGGTAAACCTAGAATTACTCTCTAGTAATCACTTCTAATTCTTAAGATTTCTTCAATCCCAGATCAAGGTATCCCCTTGTGGGAGGCTTACATTCATTCCCCCTAGTTGTGTTCTCCATTCCTTTGAAAGCAGTCATTCTAAGGCCACATAAGGATAACTGATATTTATCCCTATAAATAGTTAGTGTCAGAAAGGTAATCTTTCTCTGCATGTCTCTTTATTATGTCACACTGGACTTAGAATTAAATGAAGATAGAAAATCTATCTACTTGAGGTGGGGGGCAGTGAATGAATTTGGCATTTATTTCCTTAAACTTGTAAGGAAAGTGAAAGTGTAAAGATAAGAAATATGACTTTAAAATAAAAAAGTCTTTGGTTGTAATCATTCGTCATGCCTCTGATACAGATTTCCAGTCTTAGATATAAATATTTCAGGATCGAGACGCTTTCATCTTTCTCTGCCTTGCAAGAAGGGAAGATTGGAAACAATCTTCCTTAAAGTAAGCAGCTTTAATCATTGTTTCTAAATCAACTGAACTGTGTAGGGAAAAAAAGAAGATGTAAGAATCCTATAATCCCTGGTTTAGTTGTAATGAAAATGTCCAGGCTGAGAAGGGAACAGATGGATTTTGATTAATTTCTACTAAGACCAGCAAGTATCAACCTCAATATTCTTTATAAACTTGTCAGGGTAAATGTTATGTAGTCATAAGAGAATGAAGAAAAAAAGATTTATAACTGGGTTATGAAGAGTTAAAGAGGATATACTTAAAAACACGATCCTTAGCAACATGTCAAAAATGCAGATTCATTGAATCACGGCAATTTTTTTCAGAGACTGTTTCAGATTTGTTCCTTTAAAACGAAGTTGATATTTTTAAGAAGAGGACTTGTACCCATTGCCTTGGGTATCCAGTGCAGTGGGCCACAACATACCCACTACATAGGCTTAACGGTAAGAAGAATGCAAACAAGACTCAAAGAGCTGAGAAGCTGCACCCTGGATTCGACATTTATGATTCCAGGATGATAATTGAAAACAAAGATGAACTTTACCAAGACATAATTTGGAATGAACTTAGACAATTCAGTTGCCACAGTTCATTAGTTTTATGGTTGATATTTAGGGTACTGAGGGGCAAACTCTCAGCTTCCCTTGTCCTTTGCAGAACCTCCTCATTCCTCCAGTCAATCAGAGAACCAACTGGGAAGAAGTGCAGAAAAATTCAGGGGCTTAGAGATTTAAATTCGGCATTAACTTGCAATTAGAAATGAAGTTTCTAAAAAGGCAAAGAAACAATCTGAAGTAGCATCAGTCCCACATTTGGGTAGAGTATGAGATGTTTACCTCCAACAGAAAATCAATAACTGCTGATTTTAGATTTAAAAGTACTTCTGCTGTCTAGCATTGTCTTCTTCCCGGTGTAATTTCACATTTTCTATTACTTTCTGCCTGGTCTATGAGACGGCCACAGACTGAGGGCCGGGTGAACAAATAGAATCTTAAATATAACCTTCAGTATTATCGATACTTAACAAATTGCCAATTAAAGGCAGTATTCGTCATTCAAAAACTTCTCAGATCTCCTTTAAAAACAAAACAAATTTCAACTGGGAGCAAAAATGTGATCTTTCTTAAAAAAAAAAAAAAAGGATCTTTCTGAGCAGAGAACATATGGAAAATGTCCTCTCCTTCCCAGGTATAGAGTGATATATTTACATAGAGGAAATGGAGAATTATTAATGAACTATGTGATCGTTGTGCCTCCCATCACTGGAATGTGGTGAGTAGTAAATGAATTAGGCATTAATTCAACAGTAGATACACCATTTTTTTCTATTATCTTGTCATCATAGCTGTGACTTGGAAATAGGATCTACTTAGGGACAAGGATGCTGAGCTCACTGTAATGGAAACAGGCTGTTTGGGAAATTTGATCCAAGGATCATGATTTTAACTTGATAGTAGCCCACCTTCCAGGGAGCTCCTGTTCATTTTCTGTCAGTTAGGCCTGTGGGTTGAAGAGGATGCATCCATTAGAATGGCCTCCTGTAGAAAATAACTGGAGCCAACCTCTCCATTAGGCACAGTAGGCGCAGTGCCTAGGGCCCATGGAATATTTTAATTTCTTTTGAAATTGGAAAAAAAAGATTATAATCCAGTCTGGATGACATGTCTTTATATCAACAGAATCATAAAATATAATTTTCAATAGCTTTAAAATGTTCTTTTTTTATTTTTTATTTTCAATAGCTTTTTTATAGAGGAAGGAAGTCATGTAAGCAGGAGTGCCAAGGGCCCACAACAGCCATGATGTAGGCCTGGAAACTGATGGCAAACTCTAAGATTTTAGTGGAAGAGAATGATGCAAAGGGGCTCTTTGCAAAGGCATGGCTTGAGTGAAGAAAACCAGGAAGGGGCGGTGAAGCCCTTAGGGGTTAGAAATCATGGGAAGCTATCACCACCTGTGGGCCTGAAGCCACAAAAGAAGACACTTCATTGGCCAAACCCAATTAGAAACCAGGGGTGAGGGAATCTAGAGGTTCAGTCCATCAGCTCCAGAGGACAGAGAGCCAAGCAGAAGCACAGGCAAGAGCAGAAAATAGATTAGAGTTGGGAGATGGAGTTGTCAGCAAAGAATAACCAATTCAAGGACCCATATTCCAATTACTTCCTGTCTCTGGATATTTTTTTCTTTTGTTTTTTCCTTGAGACGGAGTTTTTGCTCTGTCACCCAGGCTGGAGTGTAATGGCACGATCTCAGCTCACTACAACCTCCGCCTCCTGGATTCAAGTGATTCTCCTGCCTCAGCCTCCTGAGTAGCTGGGATTACAGGTGCCTGCCACCACACCCAGCTAATTTTTGTATTTTTAGTAGAGATGAGGTTTCACCATGTTGGCCAGGCTGGTCTGGAACTCTTGACCTCAAGTGATCCACCCGCATCGGCCTCCCGAAGGATTACAGGTGTGAGCCACCATGCCGGGCCCTGTCTCTGGAATTTTTGAGGGGGTAAAGCTGCCTTTGTGAAGGATTAATAGGATTCATGCATGAATTGTAAAAGTAGAAACTTATTTTCACTTTCAAAAAGAAAAAAAAAATGGATTTGAGAGGATGGTACCTACCCTTCAGGGTGCAAAGGGCCCAGGCTTTCTTGCTTGAATGCTTTCTTTTTAAAGAATCTGTCCTTTAGGGGTTGTGTTTCCTAGCCCTTTCCAGTCAAGGCTCAACCTTCCTTTCTAGCCCAGTGAGGAGATGGTTGGAGAATTGGTCAAGAAAAGCCTTCTGAATCAGACTGCCTGACCGAGCTCCATTATTGAATAGCTGTATCACCTCAGTTTCTGTATCTGTAAAAATAGAATAATAACAGTACATGCTTCATAGGATGGTGGGGAGGATTAAATGAAATAATAGTAGCAAATATTTATAGAGTGCTTATTATGAGCTAAGCAGTATTCTAAGCATGTTATGTATGTTAACTCATTTTAACCACACAGAAAAACAAAGATTAAAACCTGAAGAGAGACCAGTTTGTGATGGTATTATTTGGGTAACAGGATATGGCTGTGCTTGAAACTAAACTGCCCTGGGTTTTCATATATGTGAATCAATAAATATTCTCTTATTTTTGGGAGAGTCTCTAAGCCGGTAACATTGAATTTCTGTTATTTGCAACCAAGATAATTCTAACAAAAGAGATAACATATATATATATAGTTATGTATGTTGATATGGCTTGGCTCTATGTCCTCACCCAAATCTCATGTCCTGTTGTACTTCTCAGTGTTGGGGGAGGGATCTGATGGGAGGTGTCTAAATCATGAGGGCAGATTTACCCCTTGCTGTTCTCATGATAGTGAGTGAGTTCTCACTAGATCTGGTTTAAAAGTGTATAACACCTCCCCCTTCACACACTCTCCCTTTCCTCCTCTGCCATGGTAAGAGGTAATTGCTTCACCTTCATCTTCCACCATGATTTTAAGTTTCCTGAGGCCTTCCAGCCATGCTTCCTGTACAGCTTGCAGGACTGTGAGTTAATTAAACCCTTTTTCTTTATGAATTACCCAGTCTCAGGTAGTTCTTTACAGCAGTGTGAGAATGGACTAATATATATATACACACACATATATATGTATATATTTATGTATATTGTATATATGTACACAAATATATACTCATTAGCTAAATAAGGAAGAAAAGTGATAGAATTCATTGGTAATGTTGTTAAACTTGTATAGACATTGCTATAGGAAGTCTCTCATTAGAAAAACTAATAAGGCCGGGCGCGATGGCTCACGTCTGTAATCCCAGCACTTTGGGAGGCTGAGGTGGGTGGATCATGAGCTCAAGAGATTGAGACCATCCTGGCCAACATGGTGAAACCCTGTCTCTACTAAAAATACAAAAATTAGCTGGGCGTGGTGGCACACACCTGCAGTCCCAACTACTCAGGAGGCTGAGGCAGGAGAATTGCTTGAGCCCGGGAGGTGGAGGTTGTGGTGAGCCAAGATCGTGCCACTACACTTCAGCCTGATGACAGACTGAGACTCCATCTCACACATACACACACAAAAAAACCCCCAAAAACTGATAAAAGTGACTTTAAATTTGTTCAGTACCTTTGGTGCCAGGTGATTGTATGTATATTTTTCATCCACCCTATGAGGGAAGTTTTAATACTATTCCCACCTTATAGAGGAAGACAGGAAGCACCAGAGAGCTGGAATAACTTTCCCAAAGCCAGTTAGCTGCTGAGTCAATTGAGCCAGGATTCAAATCCTGATGCCTAACTCCAAAACCTGTGCTATGTTATCATAGTAGACTTCCTCCCTGTGACATACTCAGAATGTATGAGGGGATGGCCCATGGGTTTGAGCCAGTGTAGTTTTTGCCATCTTCTTTTGTTCCATCAGAGAAGGCTGGGATAACCACAAGAACTGCAAAGGAGGATGGGATCAGAGCTGCCGTGATGAACACGGCTCACCGTGAAAAATGAACTCTGCATCAGCTTTGGAAAGGTGACCCTCTCTCCTTCAGAGTAATTGAACTGACAGAGGCTTTTCTCTACCTGTTGGTCACATGCTGTGTGGGCATTAATAGTAAAGCCCCTGACACTAACTTCTGCAGCGATAGAGCAATTGTCTTGCCATATTATGTGCTTTGGCAACAATAAGAGTCTGAAGTGGTACCCACTGGCCCAAACCCAGAAGTGAACTCCTTCCTAATGACTTTTTATTTGTTACCAGTCTTCCTGCCCTTACTGAAGCAAAAGGGAGGCCCTGATCATGGGTGGAGGCCACAGAGAAGGGAAGACATTTCCCTGGACCTGAGCATGCAGCTGCAGCCTCTCAGTTCCCTGGAGAGGGGCTGGGGTCAGGGTTGGGGCTTGAAGGATAGAGGAACATCCTCAGTCCTTTTCAAGCCTATGATTCCCATCTCTTGGGGTTAATATCAAATAATTGCCTGTCAGGCTTTCTCTGACCTTCCTTCCTCAGGCCCAACTTCTTTCTCCTTCCTGTGTGCTTTCATAGAGCATTTATTATATCACACTGTAATACTTTTTCCTTTAAAAATGTATTTCCTCTTCTTTATAATACAAAAGTCATTATATTCTAGACTACTGGAAAAAATACTCATAATTTCATCACTTAAAAAACTCATTCTTAGTATGTGTACTTCCTTTCTTTCAAAAAATATTCTAGGTTTTTTTTTTTTTTTCTGAGACAGAATCTCACTCTGTTGCACAGGCTGGAGCTCACTGGCATGATCACAGCTCACTGTAGCCTAGACCTCCTGGACTCGAGTGATTCTCCCTCTATGCATAATTTTAAAATTTTTTCTAGAGGCAGGATCTCATTATGTTGCCCAGGCTGGTCTCAAACTCCTGGGTTCGACTGATCCTCCCACGTTGGCCTCCCGAAGTGCTGGGATTACAGGCATGAGCCACTGTGCCCAGCCGAAAATATTTTACTTTTTAGTTAAAAGCTTATCACTCCAAAAGGGCCATGATCTCCTCATATTTTAGGTGGCTAGTGCATAGTAGGTGCCTGGACAATATTCGCTGAATCTGGCTGGCACAAGCCAAATGTTGATTTTAACTTGCTTTTTAAAAAATTTCCAATTAGTCACATCAAAGTTGTCTGGAAACCTCTTTAGCCAACTTAAACCAGTGAGAAAAAAGCTTCTTCTAATGTTGGAATCCTATGTCTGTCTCAGGCTCTTGGTTCTTTTATTCTAACTTTTTAATTCTGTCTCTGCCTTTTTTTAAAAAACAACTTTACTGAGATATAATTCACATACCATAAAATTCACCCCCTTTAAAGTGTACAGTACATTGGCTTCAATATATTGACAGAGTTGTGCAGCCATCATCTCTACTTAATTTTAGAAAATTGTCTTCACCCCAAAAAGAAACCCTATGTATATTAAGAAACTGTAATAAGCAGTCACTCTTCAGTCTCCTTTCCCCATCTGCTGGCTGCTAGTGTCTTTCCTCTGTCTGTAGATTTGCTTATTCTGGATATTTCATAGAAATGAAATCACACAATATGTAGTCCTTTGTGATTGGCTTATTTCATTGAGCAAAACGTTTTCAAGACTCATCTATGTTGGAGAATGTATCTTTTTTTTTGAGACGGAGTCTCACTCTTTCGCCCAGGCTGGAGTGCAGTGGTGTGGTCTTGGCTCACTGCAGCCTCTGTCTCCCAGGTTCAAGCGATTCTCCTGCCTCAGCCTCCTGAGTAGCTGGAACCACAGGTGCCCACCCCCAAGCCCAGCTAATTTTTTGTAGTTTTTCTTTTTTTCAGTAGAGCTGAGGTTTCTTCCTGTTGGCCAGCGTAGTCTAGAACTCCTGACCTCAAGTGATCTGCCCACCTCAGCCTCCCAAAGTGCTGGGATTATAGGCATGAGCTGCCATGCCTGTTCCATCTATGAGTTTTTTTAAAACAACTTTTTACTGTTGCTCTGCATGTTTTTTTCTGTCTACTTGTCCTTCACATTCTTTGAGAGCTCCCTAACTGCCTATGTGTTCAGATGGCCTCTGTTATCTGATATTTGCCTTCTTTGTCCAAGCAGTGTGACATCTCCTGTATCCCATTGCTCAAGACTCCAAAGATCAAATAACAACCCTATTGGAATTTGCCAGACTCTAAAAAACACTGTTTATTTCAGCTTTATGTAATATACACTTCTATAATTGGATGTCTAATGACTAGAAAGCAAGTCTATTTGAAAGTAACAATCTTACACACACACACAAACACACACACACACACACACAGACACACACAGACATACAGAACCATTCCAAAGACTACATAGGCAACTGGGAAAAGAAAAATAAAATTTCCAGAAGAGTATGTCGAACAATTCATTTTTAAAAAGTATATCCCTGCAAAAGAATTTTAATTAACTGAAAGAAGGATTGGCAACAACTAGGTTCTAGGAAATAGAAAAGTTATATGATGTTCTAAATTTTCCAAGTTTTATTATAACTGAGAGGAATTGGTTCAAGGTTTATCTGGAGCTTTAAAGTCTAAACCTCAAATCAGTGTCAATTACCTCAGCATACACTGCCAAGAAGATCACTTATTATTAATGGGTGGTGAAATGGATCACTAGGAAGTTAAGATAATTCTTTGTCATGAGTTCTGTCTCTGAGTACAATTGAGTTGTTTTTCTAACTATATTTCAGAGGTCTAGAATATGTCTGTATCTAATCAACTCATCACATTTTCCTCTGTGTGTTATTAAGGCATTCATTAGCCTTCAATAGCACTGCAGAAGCTGGCTTTGGTTTAAAATTGTGCCCATGGTAGGAATATTTCCATAAACCACTTAAAACATTAGTAAGCTGTACTCTTCTCCCCGCTCCGCAGAATTTATTTAATCTCATTAAACTTAAAAAATAGTCGAAGCAGTGGGTAGCATTTTCTTTCTTTCTTTTTTTTTTTTTGGTGAATCAAAACATGAAAAAAGAATGCAAGCATTAAGAGGTAATGAACATTGGATGCACTCTATTCTAACTGTTCAGACTTAAAGCAATATAAAATACTTAGGTGTCATTATCTAAAGTACTTATGATGGGATTGTTTTTCCTCGATAAGAAATTAATTGGTAATAAATCTGTATTAGAGGGAAGCTGGAAGTAAAAACAGACTGTGCCAACTTAATTTGGCTTTAGGGATAAGAAAGAAGCAGATGTTGGAATTAGCACTTTAGATAGTAACCCTCCAAATCAGCATTTGGAGACAAGATTGGTTGTGGAATTTTTCCTGGGAACTGGTAGATTCACCCATCTGAGGTCCATAGCTTTGATTACATTTTGGGACCTCTGAAATTTATAGAAAATTGTACTTAGAAATAGGACTCATAATTTAAAATTTTCTTAACACCACAGTGCTCACAAATTTGCATGTCATTTGTGAGTAGGGGGCATACTATACTAATCTTCTTTCTCTGGATTATGTCAATTTTGGTGGTATACATGCTGCCAAAGTAAGCACTAATAGCAAAAAGCCCAGGACTCAAGCAAGATGGGTTTTAGCATTCTTGTAAAATAATTATGTTGCCATAGGCAAGTCGTCTAACTTCTATGACATCAGTTTTCTCATCAGTAAAATGGGAACAATTGGTAGCTGCCCTGCATGTTTGGTAAGGTGGAAAGTACTGTGGAAAGTTAAAAGCACTGGAGAAATAAAATGTGTGTGTTAAGTCAGAAAACTATGACTTACACCACTGAGATAGTAAATATTACAGATCCAAACCCCAACATTAGAAATTTTTTGTAATAAAACAATCAAAGAAATATATGAAGATATTCATCAAAACATTACCAATGATGGTGCAATGTTGGGAGTAATCTAAATATCCAACAATAACAGATTGGCAAAATAGATTATGTTATGGCTATAGTAAGGAAAACTATACCTCTATGAAGTTTCACGACATGTAATCTGCAAAAAATTGCAGAATATGAAACAGTATTTTATTATATAACCCCAACTTTTAGTTTGTTGAAATACAATATATAGGAAAAAACGGAAATAGATAAAACATTAATGATTAGCTCTGAGTGGATGAAGCATGGTTGACTTTTTATTTTGAGGGGAATTTTCTGTATTTTTGAAGTTTTCTGTATAAAGCACATAACTTTTTTATTAGAAAGATATACATGTATGTGTGTAATATGTATCTATGTCTCATTGATTCCCAACTGGGGCTAGTTTTGAGCCCCATCCCCACCCCCAGTGAATGTTTGGCAATGTTTGGAGCTATTTTTGCTTGTCCCAACTGTGAAATGCTATTGGTGTCTAGTGGGAAGAGACCAGGGATACTGCTAAACACCCTACAGTGCACAGGGAAGCCTCCCACAGTAAAGAATTATCTGGCCAAAATGTCAATAATGCTGAGGTTGAGAACCCTGAGCATTTCTTCCTAGGTCAGACCTCTGTTGCTGGTCTCATGAACAAGGGCTGAAGGCTAAGGGAGATTTGTCCACAGTGGTCTCCCAGGTAACGCTCACCCCTACCTGACTTTCTTCTCTTCAAACTGTCTTCTCTTGCACTCAGCCCATGGAGTCTGTACCCAGTCTAAAGCTAGAGGGGAGGCTATTTTCCCCAATCTATTGTTCAGGGTAGGCTGTGGCTTTTTGATATTCAAAAGCCTGGCTTCTGGGGCTCAGAAACCCTTTCAAAACTATTATCTCTGGTGTGGGTTTCAGCAGCCTATTTTGAAACTCATAAGCCATGGCTTTGTCTCTTTGTTCTCAGAGTTTTGCTTTGGTATTTTTTTCCCTAGGGCTGTAAGCATACTGTTTAGCTGCTGCAATTTGTTGAGTGCAAGAAGGAAAGAAGGGGCATGGAGTAAAAGGAAGTACAAGGGAGTATTTAAAAAATCATCTCAGTGCATTTATTTATTATTTAAAATGTATGTCAGTGTGTTCTAATAACCTTAAAAAATAAAATGCTGACATAATGAATCACACATTACTTTTTTGTTTTTGTTAAGAATCTTATGAAAATGTTAGAATGTTTTGAATTTGCTAGGGGCAAAATTAACTCAATTTGGAACCTTGTTTATCAAGACTGGGTGGGAGTGTCACTTTGGGGTGTCGCCATATTCAACCTGATACCCACTTTTTTTTTTTTTTTAAAGAGATAAGGTCTCACTCTGTCATCCAGGCTAGACTACAGTTGCCCAATCATAGCTCACGGCAGCCTCAAACTCCTGGGCTAAACTTACCCTCCTGCTTTAGCCTCCTGAGTAGCTGGAACTACAGGTGCCTGCCATGACGCCCGGCTAATTTTTAAATTTCTTGTTAAGACAGGGTCTCATTATTTTTCCCAGGCTGGTCTTCCCAATTACTGGCCTCAAGCGATCCTCTTGCCTTGGCCTCCCAAAATGTTGAGAATACAGGCATGAGCTATGGCGCCCAGCTGATACCCGCTTTTTTATATTCTCCAGGTCCCGTCTCGTTCTCTTCAGCCTGGTCCTTGAGACTTGTATTAATTTGCAAGGTTTGTTTAGAGATTCAAATGGTTAAGGCAGATTGAATTTTTCAGACCAGGCATACTACGAGGGTAATGGAACATGAGCATGGCAGGAAAATGACCAAATCCTAGAACAGAAACTGCTTGAGGTTCCTTCCATCTCATGACACCTAGAAGCATGGTCACTGTGAACCTCTGTAAACTCTACCTCAATCTTGCTTCTGTTGATAGAATACTATAGTAGTCAGCGTTCTTCAGAGAAACAGAACCAATAGGATATATATAGAAATAAATATGAATATAAATTATATATATAAATTATAAGTATAGCTTGTATAAATAAATATAAATTATACAAAAATAAATTTAAATACAAATTATATAAAAGTAAATATAAATATACATTATATATAAATATACATTATTTATAAATATATATTATATAAATATACATTATAAATATATATTATATATACATTATAAATATATATTATATATAAATATACATTATTTATATATATAACAAACCTGAGATTTTTTTAAGGTAATTGGCTCATGCAATTACAGAAGCTGAGACTCCATGATCTGCCATCTGCAAGCTGGAGACTCAGGAAAGCCAGGGGTGTAGCTCAAAACACTGAGAGCTCTATAGCTGATGGTGTAGATTCCAATCCAAATCTAAAAACCTGAGAACCAGGAGTGCTGAAGGCAGGAGAATATCGATGTCCCAGCTCAAACAGTCAGCCAGAGAGTGAATTCAAACTTTTTCTGCCTTTTTGTTCTATTCAGGGACTCAATGAATTGGGTAATGCCCTCTCTCGTTGGGGAGGGCCGTCTGTTTTTTACTTAGTTTACCTATTCAGATATCAATCTCTTTCAGAAATACCTTCACAGACATACCCAGACATTATGTTTAACCAGATATCTGGGCATGCTGTGGCCCAGTTAATTCAACACATACAATTAGTCATTACTAGTATATAATGTGTAGAGCCTTGCACAGAGTGAGTGCCCAATAGATGAGGCTATCACAGTAATTCCCTAACTGTGTACTTTCACTTGACAGCCTCATTCCCCTCTGTGGCTGCAATGAGTACCTCTAAGCATCTAAGCAGATGATTTCCAAATCCACGTCTCCAGCCCAGATCTCTACCACTCAAGATTCTGAGGCAACTTGGAGTAGGGGAAAAGCATTCTTGACTTAGAGACTTTCTAGCTTGAAACAAGTCACACTAAGAAACATCACATATGTTCTCTGAGCCTCAGTTTATTCATTGGTAAAAATGGAGAAAATAAATAACTTCTAATGGAGTTACTACAAAGAGAAAATAAGACAATGTGGGTAAAATCACTAAATATGTTAGCCTTTTCTTACCTAGATATTCTACTCAAACACAAAATTTTCAAGCACTGAAGCTCCCAGTAAACCGAGTCAGCTACTTCCTGAATATCTCTTTTAGAGTTGCTGTGGTCTCAGATCTCCAACTCTGTAGACTGGCTTCTTCATAGCTTCAATTGCACATCGTCCATAATTGTCTGTCATGTCTTCTACTTTATTATGACATTTAGTTCAACTGCCCCAACCAAATGACTCAGTCTCTAGGGCCCCCATTTTCAAATTCCAGGAAGAAAAGTCTGTTTGGCTCATGCCACTTTTCCAGCCAGGTCACACAAATCAGAGGAACTGGATAGATGAATTGTACCTGGCTTAGGACCTCAAACATAATTTATTTAGCTGTTGCCACGTGGGTTGGGTAATACGGAACATGGTTAGTTGTTCAGTCAGGGCAGTGGGTAGGGCAGTTTTCCGCAATGGACACTAGTGAGCATTGTCCAACGTTCCTTCTTTTCTAGGAATTTATAACCATGTAATGATAGTGGGGCTGCCATTCACCACCGCCCCCCCTTGCCCAACCTGGGCATGGACATAGACTTGTGAAACAAGCTGGGCTAGATTTTTAAAAAACTGAAGTCAGAGGAGAATTCTTGTTGCCTTTAGGGTCACGTGGCTGGAAGGGAATAGCTTGGGATTATTGAATAACATTTCCTCTGCTTTTTGGATGTAGCCTCTTCTTGATAAGAGAATGAGGCCAACAATAAAAAAAGAAAAAAAAAAGCCAAGAGATGGGGAAATTATACATACACATACATTCCTTCCCTGAGTACTAATATCCAACCACACTTCTGGAACTTCTCAGTTATGTGAGCAGATAGCTGTCCCTTTTTGCCTATGCCAGTTGTGTTGGGTTTCTGTCACCTGCAATCAAGGGTTTTGGCTAGGACGCTTTCTCGGGAGATGCTTGGCAGGCAGGCAAATGTCTAGTACTGCATCCAGCTTGAAATCCATGGGATTTGAGGTCTATGGATAGATTTAGCTTCCCTGATGAGAAAGTCCCTGATTGAGAGTATTTCAAATGTCAGTTGTCCAAGTGAAGCCTCTTAAGTCCTACTTTAACATTCATGACCTTTTACAAAATAATGTTCCAAGGTAGAGGCAAAAAACTCAAGTCCAAAAATAAAAGTCAAATGGCATGTGGTTTTTGTTGCATGTGTTAGAATATGATAGATAGAAAAAAAAAACTGGAATAAAACCCAACTCTTATTTTTCGGTTTTCTCCAAAACTTTGCACTAGAATTCTAGGAGATTAGACAGGACAGGTAATGACCACCAGCATGGTTTCTCTTTCCACCTTTATTTTGTCACAATATCAACTTGCAAGACACAAACTCAGCACGCTCAGAACCCAAGTTCCAAAGATATTTAACTGTCAGCCCATCTTTGCCACCATCCTCACTAGATTGAGTCGTTTCAGGGGAAGCTGAGTTGGTGAACGGGGAAGGAAGAAATTCTCAGTATACATCATCATTCAGTGTGAGGCAGAGTGGCTGCCCCTTAGGGTTGCAGAGCTAGAGAGAGAAGAGAACATTAAGGATGGAATCAGGCTAGGCCCATGGTGGAATATGAAGGCACTGCAAATCCTGTGTTTCTTTAGAATAGCATTCTCATTGGCCATTTCTGCCAATGGAGTCACTCCTATTTTCATAAATCTCAGCCCCCTTCTGATTGTGTTATGCCCCACCTTTCCAATTTTGCCATTTACTTAAATTATTATCCATATATTTTTCTTTAATTGGAATCACCTTTGAATTTAGCCTCATTCCAAATAGCAATATCCATGAAACCACAGGTTTGATATTCTCACTTAACTTTTTCCTGATGTACATTAAAACAATGAAAACTATTAAAAAATTCTTTTGCATTTCAGGTAAAGTCATTTTGCAACCCATCTGTGGAATAAAAACCATATTTTGGAGAATAATGGGTTAATATATTGTTTCTTGTGTTACCACACAGACATGCTACAAATGTGGGAGGGATAACAGTTAGAAACTTTATTTATATCTGGAAATGATTAGCAGATTTGATACGGTCACCTGTTACAGTCTATAAGGTGAAGGTACAGAGAACCAGTAAATTTTGATGGAGCAGATAGGGGTTAGAGAAAAAATAATTTCTTTCTTTCTTTTTTTTTTTTTTTCTTGAGATGGAGTCTCACTCTGTTGCCCAGGCTGGAATGCAGTGGCTCAATCTTGACTCACTGCAACCTCTGCTTCCTGGGTTCAAGGGATTCTCCTGCCTCAGCCTGCTGAGTAACTGGGACTACAGGCACGCACCACCATGCCTGGCTAATTTTTGTATTTTTAAAATAGAGATGGGGTTTCATCATGTTGGCCAGGCTAGTCTCAAACTCCTGACCTCAAGTGATCTGCCCGCCTCGGCCTCCCATATTGCTGGGATTACAGGCGTAGGCCACCACACCCTGGCTTAGGGAAACAATAATTTTTTGTTTATTATCTTTTTTCCTTGCTAGACTGGCAGTCCTGTGAGAGTGCAATCTGTATCTACTTTGTTCACTAATGTGGGCTCGTAGGTAGCAGAGAGACTGGCACATAGTTGGCACTCATTAAATATTTGTTGGAGGAGGAAGGTATGAGCTGAATAAAGAGTCTCATCCAGGTCATTGTGGTATATATTTGTAAGTTCTTTGAGGTCTAGGATTATGGATTTTTCTTTTACAACTGCATCTCAAGTACCTCATACAATATCTAGCACATGCAAATAAAATTAAAAAATTTTTTTGACCAAAATATGTTTAGTCTAAGTTTGGTAATTTATGATACAAATGGAATCACATCTCCATTTTCAGCTTTAAAAATTTGATATTTTAGACATTTACAAGAACTTCCATTAGTTTTTAAAAGTTATTTTAAATTGTGGTGAAATGCACTTTGTAATAAAATGTACCAGCTTAATGATTTTTAAGTGTACAGTTCAGTGCCATTAAGTACATTCAAACTATTGGGTTACCGTCACTTCATCCATCCCTGAACTCTTCATCTTGCAAAATGGAAACTATACCCATTAAACACTAACTTTCCATTCTTCCCTTCCTCTAATCCAAACTCATCCAACCCATGGCCTGTGGGCCGCAGGATGGCTTTGAATGTGGCCCAACACAAATTTGTTAACTTTCTTAAAACATTATGAGATGTTTCTGTGATTTTTTAAAAAAGTCCATCAGCTATCATTAGTGTTAGTGTATTTTATGGGTGGCCCAAGACAATTCTTCTTTTTCCAATGTGGCCCAGGGAAGCCAAGATTGGACACCCCTGCTCTAGCCCCTGGCAACCACCATTATACTTTCTTTTTTCTTTTTTGAGACAAGGTCTCACTGTCACCCAGGCTGTAGTACAGTAGCATGATCATGGCTCACTGCAGCCTCGACCTCCTGGGCTCAAACAATACTCCCACCTCAGCCTCCCAAGTAGCTGGAACTATAGATGAGCACCGCCATGCCTGGCTAAGTTTTTAAATTGTTTTCTGTAGAGATGGGGTCCCACTATGTTACCCAGGCTAGTTTAGAACTCCAGGGCTCAAGCGATCCTCCTGCATTGGCTTCCTGAAGTGCTGGGATTATAGGCATGAGTCACATGATTCCACTTTCTGTCTTTATACATTTGACTAGTCTCAGTACCTCACATAAATGAAATCATACAGTATTTGTCTTTTTGTGAATGGCATATCTCACTTAGCATGATGTCTCCAAGGTTCATCCATTTTTGCATCATGTGTCAGAATAGCCCTCCTTTTAAAGGTTGAATTACATTCCATTGCATTCATGTATATATCACATTTTATTTGTTCATCTATTGATGGACACTTGGGTTGCTTCTTTCCAAAAAGTAATGTTGCTATAATGTGGGTGTACAAATATCTCTTTAACAAACATAATGTTTAAACAAATTAGCAAAAGAATCAATGAAAATAAAGTAATGAATGACATCACCAGCCTTCTGTGTAGCTGAGTGCTATACGACCATATTGGGAGATGCTGGAGTGGAAGGGATGGACAGAAGAGAGGGTACCAAAAGGAGCATTATTTCTTTGATGATTCTATCTGTGGTTGTCCCTGCTTGGAACCTAGCTTGTATTGCTCTGTGCAACAGCTCTTGTATGATTTCTAAAAGTGACCTCCCACTGTGGTTTCATAAATCCTTCTTATGCTAATTTGCCCTGAAGTGCTGATCTTTTCCAGGGTGTAAATTATTGAAGCAGTTGTGGTCAGCAAAGGGAATGATAGTGAAACCCACCCGAGCCTTCCAAAGCAAATATCCAGACACCTTGTCTGAGTTCCAGAAGTCTAAAACAAGTCTGACCAAGCCATCCAAGGCAGGAAGTCATTTTACGGCTAAAACGGCTACCCACTTCCTGGGCAAGGTGAGGGAATCCAGGATGCAACAAGAGAAGCCTCACATCATTTCACTGTTGCAAGTTCTCTGGGCTTTTTCCCTGATCAGGACTGTGGGGAAGCCACGAGAATAGAAAGTTATTCACAAAGACTGGCCGAAGCCATTTTTAGATGTTCACTCTCAGGCAGGAGGATCTATTAGTATCTGTGTAAAGCGGGCCGGAGCTGGTATTGCAAAATTGTTTATAGCATTTGGTCTGGCAAGGGACGTGATGTTCTTTACTATTGGAATAAGGGGAGGGACCCCTTAGTGTTGGGACACTGTCAATGTATGAGATAGGATGTCTGGCAAAGTAGGCTGAGCGCTAAGAAGCTGGACTTACATTTCCTTAGAGGGTGTTGAACAACAGACAGGCTGAAAACAAACAAACAAAAATTATATGTATCAGTTATTTCATTTATAAAGTCCCTGCAGTTCCTAGTTTGAAGCAAGGGAAAACAAAGCAAATATCCTGCTAGAAAAGTGTACTAGAAAGCTAGAAAGCTGGGGTAAATAAAAAAAAGTTAGAAAACAGTGCTTTGAAAATTTCAAAGACAAATGTAAAGGAATAGACAGATGCTTTAAAAACATTTAAATTTATTTTTATATATTTAGGAGGCACAAGGGCAGGTTTCTTACGTGGACATGTTGCATGGTGGTGAAGTCTGGGCTTATCGTGTACCCATCACTTGAATAGTGAACACTGTACCCAACGGGGAATTTTTTAGCCCTCACCCCGCTCCCACCCTCCCACATTTTGTAGTCTTCAATGCCTATTATTCTACATAGTATGTCCATGTGTACCCAGACAGAGGCTTTTTGCTTTTTCTCTGTTCTTTCTTCACTTGTTTCACTGTTCAACCACTCGAACACAGAGCTGACAGTAAGCGAGACTGTTTCAAGGCATAAGTCGGCCATTTAAAGGTGGTTTCAACCACGGGCATATTAGCCTTTTTGGAGTGTCAGTTTTCTCATCTGTAACATGGAGATTATAATAAGAGAATTTACCTTGTATTTACCTTTACTTATATTTACATGGATTATAAAGATGATAATCCGTGTGAAGTACATAGTATAGTGAGCCACACACAAGCCTCCAATTAAGTCAGCTATCATTCTTATTAGTCTCCTCAGAAAAATTACTAAGTGCAAAATTGTGTTGCAAATTTTTAAAACTGAAGCTTCGCTAGAAACAAGAGGATTTTTTAAACAGGCCCAGGAGAGTCAGAACGTTCCTTTCAGGCATAGTCAGTCATCAGCACGTATTGATTAAGCACCAGGACATGCCAGTAGTGTTCTGGATGTTATACAAATGAGGAAAGTAAACACAATGTCCAAGTCACGTGGTGTCACTACCTACAAATACAGAGGCACATCCAGGGGTGTTTTGTGAATGTGTGGTGTGTGCAAAATACCGTTGGCGTGACCTTCACAGGTTCTTACATAAGAAAATAAATCATTTGACCCCATTTTTAGGAAACAGATGTTGATTGATTTTACACAACCTCAAAGGATGCAAAATGGGTCGCAAAGAGAGAGAGAAAGAATGTTACCGAATGAATGACAGGAATGTTTTCTTGTAAGAGGAACTACTGTCTCTGCCTGGAACAATTTTTGCCCAGATATTCGCTTGGATGGCTTTTTGTCAGTTAGGTCTTGACTCAAACGTCACTACCTCATAGGGACCTTCTCTAGGCAGCCAATCTAAATTAAACCCATCCTCATATCCTTCTAATGCTCTAGCCTTCTTTTATTTTCTTTTAGCACTTATTGTGCTCTGAAATGACCTTATTCATATATTTGTTGAATTATTTACTGTCCAACCTTCCCCACAAGAATACACGCAACTCACATGTGCCTTGTTTGTCACCATATCCTAGAGCCTGGCTCACAGCAGGCGCTTGATAAATAGCTGAATGAGGAAACAATTGGATAATTGGGGCTTAGTGGCTATTTCTTTTTTTTTTTTTTAATATAGCTTGCCTTTTTTGTGGTGATTTGGTTAGTAAATCTCAATTTATCAGATCATTCTGGCTTCTTGCTACTGCACAAGAGACATCAGGTCATTGGAAACTTACAGATGAGTCCCTTAACTGTACTATCTTACTTTAGAAACAAACACACTTTTATGCTTGTATGAATTTGCTAGGGCTGCCATACAAATACCACAAACTAGGTGGCTTAAACAACAGAAATTTCTTGTCTTACAGTTCTGGAGGCTAGAAGTCCAAGGTTAAGGTGTTAGCAGGGTTGGTTCCTTCTGAGGGCTGCAAAGAATTTGTTACACGCCTCTCTTCTCCCTAGGTGGTTTGCTGGCAATCTTTGGCATTCCTTAGCTTGTGGAAGTATCACTCCATCTCTGTCCTGATTTCTACATGGTGTTCTTCCTGTGTGCATGTCTGTCTCCAAATTTCCCCATTTTATAAGGACACAGTCATACTGGATTCGGGCTCATTCTAAAGACCTCATTTAATTTAATTCCATAAAGACCCTATCTCCAAATAATGTCACATTCTGTGGTACTGGGGGTTATGACTTAAACATATAAATTTTAGGGAGACAAATTTGAACCTCTAACAGTACTGAACATCCAGGATGGAAGAACATGGTATTAGGTTGAGCCAAACACAGTTGCTTACGTTTTGGTTTTCCTCACCAGGACAAGAAACCCCCAGTGCAGGAAAATTGGAGACATGGAAAACAGGGCTTAAGTAAACACGCAGATCTTTGCCAGAACCATGTTTGTCACACAGTGTGGAAGCAACGAATATCTGGTGAACAAATGAATGTGGACTTGTTCTTCTAAATGACTTGCTCCCTCACTTCTTCCAAGTCTTGGTTCAGATATTACCTTCTCAGTGGGAACTAGCCTAACTACTGTTCTTAAAACCACCATCTCCCCAGTACTCACCTTCTTTTCTGTTACTTTCTTTCTCTCTATAACACTGACCACTTTCTATCAAACTCTGTAATTCACTTATTTGTCATGTTAATTGCCCATCTCTCCCTACTAGAAGATAAGTTCCATGAACTCAGGAACTTTTCACTGTTGTGTTTCCTTCTCTATGTACCAGCACTTGTTACAGCGCCTGACACAGAGTAGGCCCTCAGTTTTGCTGAGTGAGTGAATGAATGAATGAATGCTGTTGAGAAAGAGCTCTGGAATCTCCTGGCATGCTATTTCAGGTTTTGCTTGGATCTCCCCTTTGGCCGTCACAGAACTTCAATGCTAGTCTTTAAAGGAAATCTCAAAGATCAAGCGCCTATCTCCAAAGCTTGAATTCTCTCTTAAACTGGTGACATCTTGATAACAAATTGCCTTTGAATGTAGAACCCCCATTTTAATAATAAGAGAGTAAGAGATTGAAACTGTTTAACAAGTAAAATGTGCTATGGTATGTGTGGTACGGGGAACAGAAGCAGAAGGCCTGCCATACGTTAGTTCAAGGGGTAGAGTCAGAGAAGGGTGAACATACTTTGGAGTGCAGCAGGGGCAGGATGGCACATAATTGTATGTCAATGCAGAGTAAAAGGACCAGAAGATGATAAGCCAAGCCAATGACAGTGAGCAGCATAGTGGTACAGAGCAACGTTTTCTAACTTTATGCATGCACCAGCCACTTGGGCATCTTGTTAAAATGAAGATTCTACTTCTGGGGTGGGGCCTGAAAGTCTGCAGTTCTAAAGTGTTCTCAAGGGACCGCTCTACGACGCCATGCTTTGCATACTAAAGAGCATGGATTTACTAGTTACCTGTGTAATCTTCAGTAAACGATTTAACTTCTCTGTGCTTCAGTTATCTCATCTATAAAATAGAGATCAGATGAACTAATCCCAGTAAAATGAATACCATTAAGTGACACTGATTATCAGTTACTTCACTTGCGGAAGAGTGGAGGGCATGACTAGGAATGGGGTGGGAGGAGGGAGTCAAAGAAGTCTTAGCTGAATTTTTTTTTTTTTTTTTTTTTTTTTTGAGACGAAGTCTCGCTCTGTCGACCAGGCTGGAGTGCAGTGGTGCGATCTCGGCTCACTGCAAGCTCCGCCTCCCCGGTTCACGCCATTCTCCTGCCTCAGCCTCCCGAGTAGCTGGGACTACAAGCACCCGCCACCACGCCTGGCTAATTTTTGTATTTTTAGTAGAGACGGGGTTTCACCGTGTTAGTCAGGATGGTCTCGATCTCCCGACCTCATGATCCACCCGCCTCAGCCTCCCAAAGTGCTGGGATTACAGGCGTGAGCAACCGAGCCCGGCCCCAGCTGTATTTTATACATTAAAAAAGAAAAGTATTTAGGTATTCATACGTGGGCCGAGTTTTCTCCTCTCTCATACAAGCACATTACACGCGAAGCCAGATTAGTTCATGAATGTGCTACTGCACGGGGTGGCTAAGAAATCCTGCTTGCAAACCGCTTTGGGTCCTGCGTGGAGAATGGTTTCGAGTGAGAGCCGAACCCTAAATCCGTCTTCCTTATGTGGAGCTCAACGCGACTCTCAGGTATTCAGGAAGAATACCTTTTGCTCAGCACCTGCGGAGTGGTGGCCACAGCGAGGCGCTCGGGAGAGGCGCCTGGAGGCCGGCAGTGGGGGCGCGCCGCCTGAGCAGGGGTGCGGGGCGGGGAGAAGGCCGGCCCACGTGGACCGCGGGGCCAGGCAGGGACAGGAGCAGCCGGGCGGCCCGGCCAATCAGCGCGTTCCGCGGCGGGCCCGGCCCCTCCTGGTCAGCGCGCTAGCTGGGCTCGGCTCCGCACTGCTAGCTGCGCGCCGCCCTGGACGGGGCGCACCGACTGCGCGCGCGGCTGCGGGCAAACATCGGGAGTCCTGCCTCAGCTGCCGCTTCTCCAGCAGCAGCTTCAGGCTTCTCCCGCAGGAGCTTCGGGCTTCTCCTGGTAGAGACGTGGGAACTTTTCTTCTCCTGGCGAGGCTGCAGAGGTGATGGGCCGCTCCCGGGGCTCCCGCGGGGAGGCGGCACGGTGAGCGTCCTCGGGCTCCGGTGCGGCGATCAGTACCTAGTTCCGGACGCGCCGGTCCGACTTGGATGCCGGCTCTAGTCGAGTAAGAAGGGTTGGAAGGGATAAGGAGGGGCGAGAGGATGGGGTGGGGGTGGATTTGGACCCTGTATTTAGGTGCTGTCTCGTGGGCAGCCGCTGCCTCTCGGCTGGTACCGAGTTAACTCAGCTCGGTGCAGCTCCCCTCATCCCGGCTCTCTGGGGCGCCGGGGAGAGTGCCTGTGCTGAGGTCGGCGTGCAACCCGAAGTTGGAAGGGGCACTCCGAAGTAAGGATGTGTGGCTGGAGAGAGGCAGCGGCCGCTTCCAGTTTCGGGGTTCATGTCTGACAGAATCCCCGGGGGTGCTCTGCTGATGCGGAGGAGGCCACTCGATGAATTGGTATAGGGGGTGGTGAACTCACCGTGAGCTCTTTTCTGGACAAGTCGACCTTAGCGCTTCATCCCTTTAATCTGAGCTAGGATCTTTCTAGGAGCAAGCAGGTGGGAGCCGGTCAGCGTCCCCCCGCCCCCACCCCCACCCTGAAGCTCTGGTTGCTAGGATCTTGCTTGAAGGGCGCAGCGAGCGCTCGGGAGGCGTCTTCCAGCTGGGAGCGCAAAGCTTCCCGCCCAAGTGGAGAACTGGAGCGGGTCTGGAAGTTGCGTCTCTTTCCGCGGGAGGCATCTCAGATTTGCCCACCAAGGTGGCATCTCTACATTTCTTTCGCTCTTTTTCCCACTTTGCCCTGTTAATCCGCTCCTAGAAGAGAGGGCATCCTTGACCCTACGCAAGGAGCTCGGGAGAGGATTGGAACTGGAAAGCTTGATCTCCTGCACCTGGTGAGGCTGCCCAAGCCAGACACAGTGCCGCTGGTGCGTTTTCTTCTCGAATCAGCATCATTTAACGTTTAGGGGCTCCACGGAGCCTTAGTAAAGCTGTGAATCAGCTCCTAAGCAGTATGTACATGCACGGGTTCACGGACTCGCCGAGACCTAGCCTGGTGCCCATCCCCCGTCACCGAGATTCAGGGACCCCCCTTTGGTTTAACGTCTTTATCCCTGAACTCTTTTCCCTTTTAACTTTTCAATGGTCTTCCCTCTGAGACAAGCAAGGTTGATGTGATGTGACAGGCGATCCCCGTGTGTGGGGATGGGCGCCTTCGAAGCTTTGGTCTGTTTCTGTCTCTAATATCCTTGGCATAAAGCTTGTCCACCATAACTCGTAGCTGCCACCTGCAGACTCGGTCACCCAAACTTGTGCACACTGATGGCCTAGCTTCCTAATCACACGCATCTTCGTTTGGCCCCCTCTAGAACACTCGCTGAGGAGGGAAGAGGTGGGGGCAGTTTGTGTCAGAGCCCAGTTCAGGAAGGCCTTGGATTTTTTTAAAGGCTAAAATAATTTAGGAACAGCCATTTTGCAATATAATTAGTGTTACCACTCAGTCACTGAGAACAAATGTATGACTTGAAGAATTCTTCAATAGCTCGCGTGGGTTTTATAGTGAGAAGAATTTCTGCTAAGTTTATAGTCATATCAGTGTGAAAGCCCAACACTTCCTCTAGATGGGAAATACAGGCCTTAATAAGGTAGTGTGAGAGCAGTTTTCAGAATCATTATGACGAATGATGACTTGTGTCCTCCCAAAATGACCGAGTGAGTTGGCATGGCTCATTTGTGGAAGAAGCTTTCTTCATATGCACGGACATTTCTTAATCAATATTCTCATAGCAGAAAGCCGTATTTCAAGGTTCCCTTCCTAAGTTCTTCTGTCTCATTGTTCTGCTTTGCGTGACTTTGCTTTCATCCCTCAGTACCATCTTAACTGCCCTTTGACACTTTAAAATTTATTATAAGGCTTCAAGTCACAATTTGACTTGGCCACTTTTCCCTGCTAAAGATAAGTAAGTTGTCCTGTCCAGAAAAGCAGTGGCTGCCAATTTCTCTATCTTTGAATGACTTTAATTGTATTACTTGTTCCCTTAGCACATACAAAAACCCCTACAAATATCTCTGCTTGATTATTGGATATTTTTCATTGAAGGCAACCATTTTTATATTTCTAGTACTAGAATATCCTAGGTCACTTGAATTTCAATATTCATTTTCTGATCTTTTTAGACATGTGTATTGTTTGATGACCTAGTTCCATTTAGTAATTAAAAAAGAAAAAGA
Organism: Homo sapiens; assembly: GCF_000001405.40. Lineage (NCBI taxonomy): Eukaryota > Metazoa > Chordata > Mammalia > Primates > Hominidae > Homo > Homo sapiens. The sequence goes on along the minus strand of NC_000003.12, from coordinate 68,930,133 downwards.
AGAAACTCCTTTGCTCCCCGCTACCACCTCCTTTTCAGTGGTACCTAGCCTTTTCCTAATAGCTGCTTTTTTTCTGCACCACTCATTTATTGTTACACTTAATATAATACTTTGCTATGTAAATGGCATGTTGATGCATGTGATATTAAAACTGCATTCACTGGGGATTAACCATTGGATATGACATCATCAGCAGCCAATCCTTGATCTGATTTGAACATGCATTGACAAAAGTCATATTATCATATTGAGCAAGTGATTCTATATTGCCTGTGATGAATAAGGGAAAGAAGGAAGTCTTTTTGGCACTTACTAACTCTCCGTTAGCTGCCCAGTTTGAGAGTTTTGGGTATTTCTATACTAAGAGGCTTAGCTTAATAATAACATTCTCAGATTGCAATTTTATAGATCTCTTTAGAATTTGCATAAGTAGATTTTCCCCCTTGTGCTTTCTTCCTCTTTGCGAGTTTTTCACCCTGTGTTCTGGCTCTGTTTCTTTACAAATATGTAAAGACATCACAGTAAATGGACTAATCTTTTGCTTTTATTTTTTGTCCTAGAGATAGCCACGTAGGTGATGGGCTAATTTGAGTACATGAGTTCATTTCTTCAGGTGTTGGCTATTAAATCACTCAGGATTAGCAAGATGACTTAAAGTCCTGAAGCCAATCAATCATAAATGATTGGGAGGCCATACAGTATATTTATCCTAATTTGTCAAGATTCAGGATTGAGGGTGGGGGATTGAGGCCATAGGAAACAAGATTCACGATTCAGGCAATAGGAAACAAAGATATCCACAAAGGTATTGGTGAAGCGATCTTGGCCACATTAATCACTTCATAATTATTTGTTTTGAAAATGTTATTTCTGAAAGCCATGTCAGAACCTAGACAGCCCTGACTTCGAGACTTAAGTATGGTATGGCAGCCCTGACTTAGAGACTTAAGCTGTAGTATGGCACTGCACTTTGTAATGCCTCACTCAATTTGTGATCTCCTGTAACCCACCTCTCAAAAGATAAAATTGACCTTGACTTCCCATCTATTTGGTATCTGCTGAAAAATAAGAGAAATTCTTCCTGTTGTACAGTTGCTATTCAATTCATTTCCCTTCAGTCAGTCAAAAGGGCTCTTTTTTTTTTTTTAAATAAACTTAATTGTAAAATCTGGTTTAAGGAAACGCTCAAAGAATTTTAAATCTAGAAAGTACCTCAGATTTCACCTTTCTAGAAGATCAGGGGTAGGAGGTGTTGTCCTACCTTGGATCTATTATGTTATTTAAAAAACCTGGGATTAGAATCCCGGAGTCCTAATTCCTAGCCCAGTGCACTTTCCAATGAAGACTGGGAGAGAATGACTCCTGTGATGTGGTGGGACCCCTTCCCTTGGCTGTCTCTGCGGAGGAGGGCCACATTGGCTTCTTGCACCATCAGTTTGCTGGACTACCATGCTAGTTGAGCCCACCTCAAGGATTGGACAGCTGTATACACCAGCTAGCTTGGGTTACTTCCTAGTAGCTGCGACAGTATCCACAGTTATAAACGAAAGGTTTAAAGGGGAGCTGGCGATGGAAGAGTATTGGGCAGGGTGACGCAATTTGAACCTAACTGAACACATGGAAAGACATGGATGTTAGAATGATGGTCAGGCAGTTTAAGATAATGATTTATGGTTTATTTGTGAAAGAACTCAGAATATCAATCTATTAAGTGATAGGCTGCCCTTTCATACTTAGTGCCTTTTAGTTGCTATAAAAGCCAGTACTAGCCAATAATTTGGTACAACATTATTTTCTGGCATGATTGTGAATAACGATAATGGTACCCCACATTTGTTGAACACTCAGTATGTGCCAGCTGTAGCGTGTTGATGTTATGGAAACATTCTGGTTACTAGATGGCTTTCTTTATATGGATGAACTACTGATTTTCAGAGTTATGAATCTAAGGCAACATTGAATCTTTTTTAGTCATTCTTTTTAATTCAAAAGCTGTCAGGATCTTAGAGTAGCAAATCATTAACACAAGCATAAATAATTTTAATTCAGAAGTATGGTAGCATCAAATATTAGGGAGTTCTTGTTAATAAAATGACAAGACACCATTTAGAAAGATAATAAAGACATGGGTAATTTGTTTCCTTTTATGAGATTGTGGTATTGTTAGTCCAGAAGAGTAAAATATCCTTTTTGGAAAAATAGGAAGATATCATTGTATTTCTTTTTTCTTTTTTTTTTTTGAGATGGTGTCTCTGTTACCCAGGCTGGAGTGCAGTGGTATGATCACAGCTCTCTGCAAACTTGACCTCCTGGGCTAAAGCAATCCTTCTGCTTCACCCTCCTGAGTAGCTAGAACTACAGGTGTGCACCATCACGCCCAGCTAATTTGTTATTTTTTCTAGAGACAGAGTCTCAGCATGTTCCCCAGGCTGGTGTCGAACTCCTGGGCTAAAGCAACCCTCCTGTCTCGGCCTCTCAAAGTGTTGACACTACAGGCATGAGCTACTGTGCCTGGCTATACTTGTATTTCTTATGAAGCAAAGAGAAAACACTAAGCTTTTTTTAAAAAGATAAAAATATGGCAGTACACACAAACTACTCTGTTGGCTTTGCTAGTGCTATAAGTTCATTTTAAACTAGAAAGCAATAGAACATTCTACAGTATTTCAGTTACGTTAACAAAAGGCGGAGCTGTCAAAAGCTAGAGTTATTATTTATTCATTTTTTTTAATGACCACTGTGTCTGTTTGGATTCTTTTAGTTTCACATCTGTGCCATGTGTTCTAAAGTTTTCTCTGAAAATTAGTAGTTTTATTTCTTGATTTTCTTCATTTCTATTTCATCTTTTTCTCTAGTGTGATGAAAATATTGATAAGTCTGCAGTACACTGTAGTTACTAACCTGGGAATCATTGGGCCTAAAACCACAGACTTTAAATACAGCTTCTAAAAATTAACAAAGGTTTTCAGCAAGGAAGAAACTTACAGACCACGAAGTGGAGGGGAAACTTAAAATTGCTCCAATGGGGGGCAATTTTGCTCCCCAGAGGAGTTTTGGCAATGTCTGGAGACATTTTTTTGATTGTTACAATTTGGGGCAGGATGGTATGGGAGAGCAGTCTCTCGTGGGTAGAGGGCAGGAATACTGGCTAAATAAACATCCTGTTGTGCACAGGGCAGCTCCCACAGCAAAGAATTATTATTTTTTATTTATTTATTTTTTTGAGACGGATTCTTGCTCTGTCACCCAGGCTGGAGTGCAATGGCGGAATCTTGGCTCACTGCAACCTCCACCTTCCAGGTTCAAGCGATTCTCTCACCTCAGACTCCTTAGTAGCTGGGATTACAGGCACCTGTCACCATGCCTGGCTAATCTTTGTATTTTTATAGAGACGGGTTTCACCACGTTGGCCAGGCTAGTTTCAAACTTCTGACCTCAGGTGATCTGCCCGCTTCAGCCTCCCAAAGTGCTGGGATTACAGGCCTGAGCCACCACGCCTGGCCGCAAAGAATTATTTGATTCAAAATGTCAGGAATGCTGCAGTTGAGAAACTCTGCTCTAATGGCAACTTTTAAGGTCCAGAGTAGTGAAAAGTGTCTTATCCAATGTCCGCAGCTCTTTATTTCTGTCGGGGAACCCAAGTATCTTGATGCATAGGCCACAGTTCTTTTCATCACCCTAGGCTTCTGTTTTGAAAATTTCTTTTCTTAATTTATAAAAATAGTACATACCTGGGGTAGAAAAATTCAAACATTGCAGAAAAATATAAAAGGAAAGTTAAAAAAAAGAAACCCACCCAATTTTGCCACCCAGAGACAATTCCTTTTTAAACTTTGGTAAACCTATTTCCAATTCCCTCCTGCTGCTTTTATTCACATATATTTAGACCTGATTTTTTTTTTTTTTTTGGAGACAGAGTCTCTGTTGCCCAGGCTGGAGTGCAGTGGCATGATCTCAGCTCACTGCAACCACCCCCTCTTGGGTTCAAGCAATTCTGCCTCAGCCTCCTGAGTAGCTGGGAGTACAGGCGTGCGCCACCATGCCTGGCTAATTTTTGTATTTTTAGTAGAGACGGGGTTTCACCATGTTGACCAGGCTGGTCTGGAACTCCTGACCTCAAGTAATCTGGCTGCCTCCGCCTCCCGAAGTACTGGGATTACAGGCATGAGCCACTGTGCCCGGCTTAGACCTGACAATTTTGAATAACGGGGTTCATACATCATATGATCTGTGTCCTGCTTTGTTTACTCAGCAAAGGCCCATTAGAGGGCTTTTGATGAACCTGTGGCTAGGGAAGGAGGCCGACATTCCTTGCCTGTAGAGACCTCCTACGTTGTGGTGATCATTTTACATGAGACCCAGATGTGCTCTGGAGTGATTCCAGGAAAGATGACAAATCAGTGAAGAGAGCTATATGTCATTCTTTTTCATGGCTATATGTTATTCTACCTAAAAATTTATCTTAATATTAGTCATAAAACATCCAAAAGTTAAAAGGGATTTTGAGTTTCTTTGTAATGCATCCTGTTTACCAGACATCAAGTTTCATATGTCAGTAATGGAGTAAGTCCTTCAATTCTACCTTTTAAAGTGGTGTCTAGTTTAAGATTTTAAGTAGTCTGAAAGCCATAAATATTTTGTACAGTGTGATGTTTAATTAAGGCCATCCAAAGAAAAAATTACTGGGGTGAATTCTTCTCTGTATGTATCGTTGGGGGCAACAAATCACTGGAATAGTAATCTTTGTTACTATTTAAATCATTTGGCAGCTCTTCCAGTAGGAGCCAGATTGTAATGTAAACATCTATTACCTTTTCTCTGCCTTCAGAACTGATTATGCAACTCGGCTTCACATCAGAGTCGCAGCTTTCTTCATCTATATTTTTGGATTAATTCCTTCTCAACACACACTCACACACACGCACACACAGAGATATCCATGGACCCAAATCAAAAGAGCCATAAAATTGGTTACCATGGGCTCAGTCCTCCCAGGATAAAAACCTCACATCTTCTTTGCACTCTGTCCTGCTCTTTGTCTGCTTTGTCTAGGTCTGCTTAGAAGCACGGAACTCCATTAAGCAAGCCAGAGGATGGCTGTGAGTCTGCCCCTTGGTACCAATCTCATTCTCCTTGTATGCGGAATTTCCCCCACCTCAAAGCTTAGGTGCTGATATGCAGCTGAGGAGATTTAGAAAGCTCATTGGTTAACATTTAAACATCCCCATGAAGGTCAAGGAGTGCCTACCAGTGGGGGTTAGAGAGGCAGTGGGGAGTGGGTAAGGAGATGTTTAAATGGAATTAAATCTTACTTAGCAAGTGTGTCTTTCATCAGAGCTTTCTCTGGATGCTGGCCATTTTTGCGTTGGAGAATGTTTGTTAATATTTGCCTTGTTGAGCTTTAAAAAAATTATAATAGTAACAATAGTTATCATTTGTTGAGTAAGGATGTTGCTGGGTGTTATACTAAGCATTTTTGTTTCAGTTTGGGTAAAAAAGATAAAATTTATCATTTTAACCGTTTTCAAGTGTACATTTCAGTGGCGTTAAGTACATTCACATTGTTAAGCTACCATTGCCCATTCCATCCACAGAACCTTTTTCGTGGTGCAAAACTGAACTCTGTACCCATGAAACATGAATTTCCCATTTCCCCCTTCTAGTTCCTGACAGCCACCTTTCTACTTCCTGTCTCTCTGAGTTTCACTCCTCTAGGTACCTTATATAAATGGAGACATAACATTATTCGTTCTTTTGTGTCTGTCTTATCTCACTTAGCATAATGTCTTCAAGGTTCATCCATGTTGTAGCATGTGTCAGAATTTCCTTTTTAAGGCTGAATAATCCATTGCATGTATAGCCCACACTTTATTTTTTATTTGTCCTTCAATGGACATTTGTTTTTTTCCACCTTTTGGCTATTGCACGTCATGCTGCTATGAACATAGGTATACAAACATCTGTTCAAGATGCTTTTAGTTCTGCCTTTAGTGCTTTTGAGTCTCTACCCAGAAGTGGAGTTGCTGGATTGGATGATAATTCTGTGTTTAATTTTTTGAGGAACCACCATGCTGTTTTTCTATGGTAGCTGTGCCATTTTATTGTACTAAGAATATTTTTGTGCTATCTGATTTAATTCTCCTGAAGTCCTACAAGGTAGACACAATCAATCATCACCCTTCTTTGCATTAGAAAAATGAAGCACTCAGGGTGGAAGCCACACTGGTAGTTTGTGGCAAGGACGCAGTATGAACCCAAGCAGTGTGGTCCAGAGACACAACTCTTAGTAGATTATTCATTCTTTGAACTCAAGAAACGTTGGACAAACTCCTCATGCATATGGCCCAGGCGTGGTTGGGAAGAAGAGGTAAATAACAAGTGTGTTTACCCTAAGGAGAAGCTCTAACAGTCCTCCTCCTGCCACACAAAGGAATTTCACCGAGATCTGGAGTTCCTGTAGGTCAGATGTTCATTGTGAAATTGGTATTTTATCAAAATAATAACAGGCAATAAATACACACTGTGGCTATTGAGGCTGTTAATATTAGTGCTGCCTCAAATCCTTTGTCAATTGATAATCATGCAGCCCATGGTTTTTTAAATGCCATGACAATTTTTGCTTCTCGTTGGAGTTGTGGGGGAGAGGTGGGTTGAGACAATATGAGGAAATAATCAAGATTAAGATAAGCCTTAGGTAGGATCTGACTGATGATTGCATTTTTGTTTTACAGAGACAGTAGGCAGAGGACGTGGGCATCCTTCCCACCCAAAACACAGCTTGATGGAGTTATTACAAAGGAAGGCACGTTTAGTCACTTTATAGAATTAACAATTGATCAGTTTTGTGGTGCCTCAGTCCTTTTTAAGCACCCCATGTTTATTCATTATTGTGATTACACAGTAGAAGCAGCTCTGCTTGATGTGATGAGCAATAGCAAGATGTGAAGACATTTAAATATACTTGAAATTAACGTTTGCACAAATAGGTGTCTGACAGGGTGTTCTAATTTGATTCTAAAGACCCAGAAATAAGCCTGTATGGGGAAGGGGAGTGGGAGAGCTGGGCCTCATGGAATCCTGAGTCAGATGTGTGTAGTTTATTTGCCAGGTTTCTTTGCTATTTTAAAGGAAAATGGCAATGGTTAGAACCATGTTCCTCATGGGTGAGTTGGGGGAGCAGACAGTGCCAGTAAGCTCTGCCATTGATACTGGCCTAGCATGTTAGTTAATCCTTTTACAATGGAGCACCAAGCTCTGGTGTTCTCAGTAGTAGGGGAAAAGTCATGAGCCAGCTTGTCCTGATGTACACATGTACAAAATATACTAATCATCCTATGAAGTATTAATCAGGAAAGGAAAAAATTCCTCAAGACTGAAAGTTAAGGTCATCCTGAGAAAAAGGAATGGCAGGATTCCTAGAAAACCGTTTCTTCGAGAGATTTTGATTCCAAGTTTACTCTTTTCACATCTACAAAAGACTCAGGATCCCAAGTGTAAACTCAGATTCTGGTTTGATGTGCAAATATTTCTGAACCACAGCATAAATAGACATGAACTTACAAGCAATTGACTATATCCATATGTAAGTTTCATGATCCTCATTTACTTAGAAGTAAGGAAGGAAGGGAGATGAATATAGGGTTTATGCTGATTGCAATTTTTTTTTGATCCTCTGCAAATTCTGAACTTTGTTGGATTTTAAAAATTGATTTTACATGATCGATCTTGTTTGGTATACCGGTCCCCAAATTCCAGTATTCTTGACATTCCTAATATTACCCTTTAGACCAATGCTGGAGCACCTGGAAGGCTTGTTAAAACAGATTCCCTGGCCTCACCTCAAGAGTTTGTGATTCAATAAGTCTGGGATGAGGCCTGTGAATTTCTGTTTCCAGGAGGCTCCCATGAGGTGCCGATGCTTCCAAGCTTTGGACCACACTTTGTATAACACTTTCTTACACAATACATTTTTCAGAGTTTAAAAATTTTAATACAGAGATTTTTATAAAAATAAGGTTGTTTTGATTAGGTTGAGAGTTTCTCATTTTGTCATATGTTGGTAAGCTTGTCTAAATAGTATGATTCAGAAGGTTGATTTAAATTACTGAACCAAAAGTACAAATTAAATGTTCGTTGGATCAGTGTTGTGCCCGAGAAACTGATTTTGATAATGTCTTGACGTTTCTTTTAGAGCATAAGATGTGTTTTCTGTAGTTGAGGCCTTTTAAAATAAGAATTGCATAGTTGTTTAAATGGATGTTGAGGCAGGTTTGCTGTACGTAGCATGTAACCAGCCTATTGCCAACTTCCGTCATCTGACTGATGTCTACATTGGACTAGGAAAAAACAAGGCTTCAATTTCCATATACTTTTGAGTCTGATTTAAATTGTAATCCTATCGGCAGGTGACATACAGGAATTCCGTTTTTGTTCCTGTATAGTTAAGACTCGGCAGATGTTAAAAGCTGATGTGGATTTAAGATTTCATTCGTTCTGGGAATAATCGAAGATTTAGTCAGGACCAGAAGATGGAGTTGTAGACAGAGTTATAGGACTTGAGGGGGTATGGAAAGTTTTGCACAGATGCCTGGCTTATTGCTTTCTCCTGCCACTTGGAGGAATAAATTATCTTCTGCATTTGCTTAAATGAAAAGCCTTCAGTGGATTTCACTTTGTCTTGCACTGTCTAAAAAGATTAAAAGTTTGCAAACTGAAGTCTCTTTTGAATAAGAAAACACATGTAAAGAGCTTGCTTTTTTTTCTTCACTTGTTTAAAAAAATTGGAAGTTTGTGAAATATTTTGGAGATAATCTGAGTTATAGAAATGTGTGGGTGTTGGCAGGAAGGTTAGAATTGGCAACCACCAAGCAGAGCGGATGGACTGGGTCAGAGTCATTTAACCTCCTTCGTCTCCAGAGCTGTGTTTTAATTACATAGCTGGTTTGTGGAACTGTGATCCCCTCTTGCGGGCAGCAGGGTGTTGCGTGCGACTAGGTTTGTACTAATACTTCCTTAGGAGCCATCAGTCACTGTTGTCCCCTCGGCAGGTTTTCACATTGGTCATCTCTGCCCAACTGTCAAGATGCTACAGTTCTCCTCCCTGGCTGCCGACCCTTTTGGCCTTTGTCCCCCCAGCACTCAACCCCAGACAGTTAGAAGATGAGGTTTCCAAGTTGAGTGGCAGACGAAGGCCCTGCTGGAGATGGCTTCTATGGAAGACTAAACAGCAGAAGCATCCAAACAACAAAATTGTCCTAATTTTTTTAAGAACAATATCTGCTTTTAGAAAACCATAGTCTTTGATTTACTGTAGAACATGGCATGTGTGGGTGGTACTGTCTGCTGGCTGGGAATGGCTGCTTAGTGTTATTACAGCCACTTAGGCTGCATTGTAGGGGATAGTGGTGCCACTGGTCATAATACAGGGTCACAGTGACTTTGTAGAACTCCTGCAGGGAATACACAAGTTGTAAAAAAAAAAAAAAAAAAAAAAATTAGAGAAAAAGTAAAAATCACTTCTAACTCTCTCTACAACCCATTTCTATCTCTCCCTTCTCAGATACTATGAAGAGTTTGGGCTTCTGCGCATATTTAAAATATTTAGTATACATTATGTTTCAAAGAAATCCAAACATGAGCAGGAAGAATGGACTGATGAAGACCTGGTAGATTCTCTCTTATCATTTGAAGTTGATTTGTATCAATGCCAACTAATCAACAGAAATAGGAAGCATATTTGGCATTTAACTTTATTTAAAAAGTATAATGTGAAAATATCAAAATATATTAAACTTTGCTATTTATGTTAGTTATGTATGGTTACTAAATATACAGTCTTGTGTGTGAATTTTTTCACTTAAGTAGTGTCATTTTATACATCTGATTCTATAGTTTGTATTTTTTTGCTTACTGGTGTCTTGGAGATTATCCACGTTTATACATACACAGGTCTCACTCATTCCTTTAACTACCATATAGTGTTCCACTATGAATGTACTGTATTTTATTTAGCTGTTTCCCTACAGATGGGCATTCAGATTTTTCCCAGTTTTTTCTACTACAGAGAGTATGATGATACCATTCTTGAACAAAGTCATATATGGTGTTAACTGAGATGTGGTGTTTACTGTTTAAAGCCTTCTCATAATTACAATCTCTTGGTACCCATGTGTTTGCATTTTTCTAGGGTAGAAGTGTAATTGCCTGGTCAGAGGGTGTGTTTTAGAGCATTAAAAACACCAATGCACTAGTGGCTTGGGAATGTGTCTGGAAAACGTGGGGACTGCAGAAAGTCTCTTATCATTATGTTCTCTTGGAATTCAGATATGTTAACTCCAGAACAGGTCAAGTCCTAGACATTATCAATAAAATCTGTAAGTAGAATCTTACAAATTCCTGTATGTTTCAATAGAACTTCCCTGTGATGGTGGAAATGTTCCAAACTTCTTGCTGTTCACCGTGAGAGCCACTAAGCAACATGTCACTTTTGAGTACTTGAAATGTGGTTAATGTGACTCAAGAAGCAAATTTTAAATTTTCTTTAATTTTAATTAATTTAGCTTTAAACTTAAATAGCCATGTATGTGTAGTGGCTGCCCGATCGGACAGCGCTGGTGCAAGGTATGCATCATCATAAAAGGTAAGGCCATTGTAATTTACTACAGTCCCAAAAAGTTTTAGAGAGTGACTCATGGAGAAATGGAAGTGTAGTCTATTTTGTTCGATCAGGGGCTCGAGACTCTTGAGCTGAAAATAAGGTGATAAGTAAGTGAATGAAAACAAGACGATGTCATTAAGATTTATCAGGCATTTTCCTCCTTGTTTAGAGACTCCTGTCTGCTCTGTCCTGACGGGGGCTGCCTGCTGGAGCTGCACAGTCCTACTGGGGCAGTTCTTTGTAAAGTGAATTGATGGCTATGTAAATACAGCCATTAACCTTAAGCACCTCAGACAGCTCCTTGGGCGCTGCTGTTTTCTTGCCCTTGAAAATGCTGGTTGATGGATGCCAAGATGTTTTTTAAAAATTGTTTTTCCTAACTGGTTGAAGCAGTGGACTTGGGAAGCTGCAGGGAAGGTGACAGAATTGAAGGCCTACTAAGTGTGAATCCTATGGCAGGGGTTTGGAATTTCGTTCTTACAGAGGGATATTTTGAAGGTTTACTCTTGGTATACAGGAAATAGGATGCTGTATATGTCTGTGTATATGGTATTTTTAAAAAACAAAGTGAATTGCAATTTGAAAGTGCTGGTTACAGAAAGTTTATAAAAATCTGGTTTTAAAGCAAATGGAAGAGGCTGGGCATGGTGGCTCACACCTGTGATCCCAGCACTTTGGGAGGCCAAAGTGGGCAGATTTCTTGAGCCCAGAAGTTCGAGACCAATCTGGGCAACATGGTGAAACCATGTCTGTACAAAAAAATACAAAAATTAAGCAGGCATGGTTAGATGCATGCATGTAGTGCCAGCTACTTAGGTGGCTGAGATGGGGGGATTGCTTGAACCAAGGAGGTCAAGGCTGCAGTGACCCGTGATTGCACCAGTGCATTCCCGCTTGGGTGACAGAGCAAGACCCTGTCTCGAGCAAATAAAAATCAAATGAAGTTTTATAATTTAGGAATTTTGTATATATTTTAAAATTAGACATAGCTTGCAATGAAAACAAGAGCTTCTTTTTCGTTTCTTGAAAGACATTTTTAGAAGTAGATTGAGTGAGGATGACAGAGGCAGAAGATGGATAAGATTCCCATGTTGAAAATCTATCTGGAGGTAGGACAAGCAAAAGTTACATTAGAAGTAGGGTCAGAGGATGACGGTTGACAGTGCGCTGATTTTTTCTCCAGTGTCATTTGCGACCTCTCCCCCTTCCTCTGAGGTAACCACACTGACCATCTCTCATTTCTTACCATACAGTGAATGTGTTCCTTCCTTGTTCGGTGGCTCTGTACCTGATTTCCTTTCCCTGGAATGTGAAATGTGTTTGTGTGTGTGTGTGTGTGTGTGTATGTGTGTCTGGCTTCCTCTCATTATTTAAGTCTCAAATGTTGTCTCATGAGAGAAAACCTTAAGCAATAAATCCCTAACCTACTCAAAGCTACAAAGATCTGGCCTGCTATAAAGTACTGATGGGAGTTTCCAATTGATGACTATGTGAAAATGCTTCGAAAACTACAGCTCATTGTATAAACGCACATTATCATTACTCCTAAAGATCTGCCAGAAGCCACGTTGCCATCTACCAACTTGTCCTGATCGTCCACAAACTGGGTGTCAGAGTGAAAACTCAGAAGTGTTGAATTCAGAGCTTAGGTTTCTACCTTCCCACTTGGTTCTAGGTAAATACCATTGTTCCTGGGAACTTTCTTTTTTTTTTTTTTTTTTTTGAGACAGAGTCTCGCTCTGTCGTCCAGGCTGGAGTGCAGTGGCGCGATCTCAGCTCACTGCAACCTCTGCCTCTCGAGTTCAAGTGATTCTCCTGCCTCAGCCTCCCGAGTAGCTGGGATTACAGGAATGTGCCACCACGCCCGGCTAATTTTTTGTATTTGTAGTAGAGATGGGGTTTCACCATATTGGTCAGGCTGGTCTCGAGCTCCTGACCTCGTGATCTGCCTGCCTCGGCCTCCCAAAGTGCTGGGATTACAGGTGTGAGCCACCATGCCCGGTCGTTCCTGGGAACTTTCAGTCTGTTCCACACTGACACACAGGGGGGGAGGTCTCTGATTCTGCTTTGAGCTTGGATGATGTAGAAACACCTGTGAGATTTTAAAGCCCTAAAAACTCAAACTGTAGAACCACCACAGTCTCATAGTAAGTGCAGTTGAGGTGCTGTTTATATCTGAAATCTGTCATTACATTAACCTGATGAGGAAATATGCAATACACCCCCATGTCCAATCTGAGAAGTACATCAGTGTTTCCTCACTAGGGGTGAAAGTTGCCCTCCAAGAGGTTGGGGTGGAATCTTCTGGAAGTTTCCCTTAGGTGATGAAAGGGCCCATGCTGGAGACATTTCTACATTTCTTTCAATTATTTAATTGTTGGTGGTCCATCTATACAAAATGGATATATGCAATACAGGGTGGAAGAGATGCTAGCTACGTACGTCACATCTATTCTTCCCCCTACCTTAGTAATTGGAACCCTGATTTCTAGTAAGACACAAGCTGTACAGAATCAGGACTATGTTTTACAGACTCTCTTTCACCAGGGTAGCCATAGGAGATATATGTAGAAGTTTTGGGTGGTTATTTCTAGTGAGTCTTCTAAAATCCAGGGGTAGAGCCCTTTCTGGATCTTCCTCCTTTCTAAGTCCTGGAATGTGATGTAATAGTTGGTTCTCCAACAGCTATTTTGGGCTATGAAGTGACCTTGAGGATAAGAGGCAGAAGGGAAAAAGGCAGAACAGAAAGACAGAAGCTGCCTGAGGCCCTGGTGATTCTGTGGTGCTGAAGTACCTGCCTTGACCGTTCTACCACTAGGCTTAATTTTTGCAAAAAGAACAACATTTTTGTATCAAAGCTTTTATTTTCTAGGGCATTGTTACATGTGGGGTGAAATGATACAGGCAGAATGCAGTCATAAATGAAGTTGGGACCTAGTTTTAATGAGGTAATAATCTGTAAATCCAGAATACTTCGAGTTACATGTAGATCTAACTTGAGTTCTGTAAAATCCGAGTGATGGGAAAGGAAACCACACAACGGATTTGGAATTGGAGGGATGGATACTACGAAGACAGATACTGAGGGCCATTTCTGGGAAGGATCAAATGGAGAGATACTCAGTGGTTTGGGGGCAAGAAGAAGAAAACTGTCAAGGCTATTAAAAGCCATCAGAGAATCCTCCAAATTGCCAATATTGAAGTGAGTTACAACTTATTCTCAAATAAATTGAAGTCTTATCCGTTTGATATGTTTTGACAGGAAACGTATATTTACTGCCTGAAATGACTTCACTTGCTGAGCTCTGAACCACAGTATTTCATAAATGATTAACATTAGATGGAGTCAGTGGGAACCTCACAACATTTCTTAAACAGCATTCCACAAGAAAGAATTTCTCACAATTGTAAGGTATTTACCCTATTTCCAAAAGTACACATTCACACTGGTAGGTTTTGAACTTGTCTGTCAAAAATAGTTATTGCCTTTGCAGATAGAAAAATAGTCACTTAAAGTCTAAGGAGATGAGCAGATAAATTCAGCATATCTTGGTCAATTCCATATTTATTGAATGGAGATAGAAATTTCTCTTATAAATTTTTCTTCACTTCATATGTATCTTAAGTGCCCATTTTGCACAAAGTGGTGGGCTGGGTATGATTATTAATTCTAATATGGATTTCATATTCAGTGAACTATCAGTTTAGTTAGGGAGATTTAGCTACAATGGAGACAGGAGGAAGGATATTCCCATGTGGAGGAAAAAATGCAGTCCCATAAAGTCACCTCCCTGTTCTAATTCTTTCTTACTAAGAGGCTATTGTCAAATACCCACCATGATTAACTTCTTGGCTCCAAATTCTGAAGCCTATTGAAAGTTCAGAGGTGGGAAAATTCATCTTCCATCACCATTTTGAGAGTTAAATTTTCTTATCACCTAATTAGCAGCCCAATTATTTTCTGTCTGTACATGTCCAACAATGACCCTAAATGTTTCTACTTTAAAGATGCAGTAATGACTTGAAAACATAGAAGAGGACTCTACAGTTGGTTGGTTTTAAAGCAAGAACTAACTTGAGAGCACAGTAAAAATTCCAGAAAAAAAGGACACTTTTTCAATGTGGTACAAGAGACTAACTCATAATGTTTGCTTGTGATAGTTTGTAATTGTATTGTCTTTTTTGGCAAAGATCTTGTAATAGTGTTCTAGTTGCCATTGGGCCAGAGCTTGTCCTAAGAACTCAGAGCTTAGACACTCACTGGGCTTCAGAATTTGGAGCCAAGGAATTAATCATGGTGGGTATTTGAGAATAGCCTCTTAGTACGAAAGAATTAGAACAGGGAGGTGACTTCATGGGACCGCATCACTGACAATGATGAAAGGTATCCACTTGAGCAGCAGGGATTGACAAACTTTTTCTATAAATGGCTATGTAGTAAATATTTATACTTTGTGGCCCCATGAACTCTGTTATAGCTACTGTTATAGTGGGAAAAAGCCTGCGATGGTATGTAAACGAATGTTGCATGACCATGTTCTAATACATTTTATGAATACTGAAATATGAATTTTATTTAACTTTCATGTATCAATAAATACTATTCTTTTTTTCCCCCAACCATTTGGGAAGGTCAACACGATTCTCAGTTTACAGGGTGTACAAAACCATGCAGTGGGCTGGATTTGGCCCATGGACAAAGTTTGTTGATCCCTGCTGGAATAAAGGACTGTGTGCCCACTTCTCCATAGTCTAGTGAAGTCCAAACGTCACTAATTTGCACACCGCTTCCATGGTTTTTTTACTACATTATTTATTAAATATGCTAATTGAAGTAGACATATTTGGTCTCATCTTAATAACGAGTTTGATGTTGTAGCTTAATTGATGAAGTGCATCACGAATGCATCACAATTTAAATAAACTTTAAAACTCTTAGTTACTAACTTTACACATAAGGTCACATCACATATACTGATTTAATACCTTTTGCTAATTAAAAAACTTGAGGTGCAATTTACAATAAAGTGTCCAAATCTTAATTACTAGAGCTTAGTGAATGTTCACATAGGTACATAGTCATGAAACCACAACTCACATAGCATGCAGAATTTCCAGCACCCAGATTGGTCCTTTGTAACCCTCCTAGTCATACACACCACTACCAGTAGAACTTACTTTTTTCTCTTTGACAGCTTCTTATAAATGGAAATATATAGTTTATATTGTTCCCTAAGTTTTTTGCCCAACTCTATGTCTGCTGTTACCTGTAACAGTAGTTCTTCTTCATTGTTGCATAGTATTTCGTTGTAAGAATAGGCTACTTTATTCTAGTGTTGAACATCTATTTTTTTCACCTAGGTTTTGGCTAGGGAAATAAAGCTTCTGTGAACATTCTCATACATGTTTTTGGCAGATGTAAGCACTCATTTTTGTTGCACTTCCTTGTTTTTTTCAGACTGTTGGAGTCAGGACTACTTCTTGCCAGAATTGATAATTAAAAGAAAACATAGCTACCACACATATAGCACTTATTTTATGCCAAGCACTATTTAAAATCCTTTAGATGTATTAACACACTTAATTGGGTTGGGTAGGATTATTGTCTTCATTTTATAGGTGAGGAAACTGAGGTATAGAATGATGAGGTATTTTGCCAGGGTCACACCTAGTGAGTTCTAGAGCTCGAATTTCTTTCTCTCTCTGTCTCTAATTGAGACTGTCTTTCAGACATTGATCAGATTAGTAACAGATAATTTCTCCAAATGGTTCTCATTCTGTAGGACTTGCATGCTGGAGAGAAGGCAAGCAAGGAACAAACAGCACTGTAAATTGAATACCAGCAGCTCACGACTTGAACTGCCATTGGAACCCAGGTGGTCCAGCTTGAAAGGCTCTGCTTTTAACCATTCTGCTAAATAAAACACATTTTGTCTTTGGCAGCCTTTCCCTGCCCCTTCCATCACATCTTTCCGCTTCTTCTTGGGCACTTTGCTGCCCTAGCTGGCGGTACCACCTCCTCCATGCCCTCCTTTCTGTTCCCTGATGGCCAGCTTTATTTTGCAACTCCGCCCAGCCACCGGGTATACAAGGAGGTGGAACTGGGTGGCCTTTAGAAAACTGGCTCTGGAGTCACTCTCCTGGATTTAAATCTTGGCTTGAGTCCTATCTGTGCAACCCTGGGCAAAAAAATGTTAGCTCTTTCAGGTATCCTCTGTAAAAGGAAGAAAATAACAGGTGAGGATTAGATGGAAGATGCATGTACAGCACACAGCACAGTGTTTTGACACAGGAAGTTTTCATTAGGTAGAAGCAGCCATTGCATTCATTATTTATTTTGGTGGTTATTCATATAAGTAATTAGGGCAGTTTAAATGAATTAGCAGCTGAAAGTCTTTTCGTGTTAATTCCTCTAGGACAGGCATTTCCTAAAGAACCCCAAAGAATTGATCTCTAATAGTATAACCCAGTTGGGGAAATATTTTGGGGCAGAATTCCTACCCCCACATCACCTTCAGTAACACTTCTTCCAGCAGCCATGCTCTATTCAGGAACCTGGGTAAATACCTTGAGCCTTAGAGTAAAATCTATATCTTACTTTTTATTAACATCCACCTAGAGGAAAATACTAGAAAACTCAGTTTTTTCCTTTTGACTTTGTTGCTCTCCAGTGGTTTTCTGAAGCCCCAGAGAGGGTATTCTTGGGGCTTTGCAATTTTCAAGCTATCACAGAAGTAAAACTGAGTTTGATCTCTTGGGGCTTAAAAGAACAGCCATGAATCTGGGAGCACTTGAACAGGAGCCAGCAGCACCTTGGTCCTCCCGGTTTTCAGCTAAGCCCGTTATTAATTCTCTTTGAATGCAGCGGCACACACAGATGAGTAAGACTTGATTAACGGCATGCCGCTCGCTCGCTCATCTGGTCCCCAACACTGCGAAAACACGGCAGGATCGGGGAGGGAGCCAAGGGGCGGCTCATTTTGCAGCAAAAAATAAAAACCCAATATAGTGTGGCTCATCCCATTTCAAATTAATGTTCCTGTTTTGCATTTAATTAGCGGCCAGTAGTGAAGTCAGGCATCTAACATTTTGGTTCTGTCCTTGAGTTGCAGCAGTCTTTTAATCATGGCTATTTCCCCCTTCTCCCCAATCTTTCTTTTGATGTACTATTCTGCAAGCAAATAAAAAGACCCAGATTAGATGAGACTGGTAAAAGTGGAAGGGGGATTTTGGTTTTCAGGTCTTCCCTGTGGTTTCATGATTAAAGGGGCCCCGGCAGGTGTAGAAAAGCAAAACTGGCTCATATTCCCCTTTAGGAGTGGGCTCCTCTTTCGTGGGATACAGACAATGGGGAAAATAACAGACTGACTCTCCCAGTGAGTTGCGGGGTGGTGTCAGGTGAAAAACAGAACGAAAGTACAGGAAATATTCTGTGAGCTCGGACCCAAAGAATGGAGAAGGATCAGTGATTCACTGGAATGCAGAGGATGAAGCATTGATCCAAGGGGGCTTATGAGGGGAGTGATGCTTCGGAGGTGAGGTGTGGAGAATTGAAATGATTTCCCAGCGCTTGGGCTGATGATCTGGGCACTAGAGCCCTCCGTGTGGGTCGGAAACGTATTACCACTAATAAGAGCTTTGAGCCCTGGCAGCCCCACTGGCTGACGCACACCCAAACGTATGCACACCCTTCCTAGGAAGGTTTGTGGCATTTTATTTCTGTTTGACCGTTTCTGACATACCGACTTAAATTAAGCAGTTTTCCCTCCTTATCCCCTCCCTGCTAACTCATGGTTACAGGTGAACTTGTATTTTTGTGTCTCCCTTCCTGATTTGTTCTCCGATTTAGGTATAAGCCATGCAGTGGCTGGTGGTGTCCAGCCCATAGAAGACTCAAATATTTTTTGAACAAATGATTGGTTTGGGCGATTTG
Organism: Homo sapiens; assembly: GCF_000001405.40. Classification (NCBI taxonomy): domain Eukaryota; kingdom Metazoa; phylum Chordata; class Mammalia; order Primates; family Hominidae; genus Homo; species Homo sapiens. The sequence goes on along the minus strand of NC_000003.12, from coordinate 68,911,543 downwards.
TGTGGCCTTGAGCAAATCATTTAACCTCTCTCACAGCTTCTGTTTCTCTATCTGAGTTGATCATACCCATCACCTGGGGTGTGTGAGGTGTAAATGAGCTAGCATGGGACCTTGTTGAGCACAGTGCTTGACACATAAGTCTTTGTTAGTGTCTTTTCCATCAAAATACACAGGGAATGTAAATCTCTTGGAAAAGAACATTTGATTCTAATTGGACAGCACCTTTCTGTGGTTGATGTTTTGTCTTTGCCTTACGAGAAGATGATAGAAACATGGGGGAAAGCTGTTAAGTCTCCAAATGCAGTCTTTTATAGGAAAAAAATGGATCATGGAGGATTCATCTTTACAGTTCATTTTATCGATTGGCTTGGCATAATTGCTCTCCTCCCAAACGTCAGCAGTGTCTTTGCTTTCAGCAGCGAGCTGTTTGAATGTGAACCGTGCCCTTAACATGTTTTGGGGCTACAGTTATTGAAATGTAAATTCAGCAGAAGAGAAAAATTCAAAGTTTGACCCTCTTTTGGAGAATGCAAAATTAAAATGAACTAATATTTCAGGCAAAATCTATCATATCTTTTTTACATGCTTTGTAGTTTAATAGGAGGTAAGAGTTGATATTTATCAAGCACTTAATTAAGTACCAAGCATTGTGTTAACCTTTTATTGATGTTTTATTAGAACAAACCTATGAGGTTGGTACAATGGAATCTGATTGCACATGAGATTTGGTGCTGAACTATGCAAAGAAAAATCGTATATAGTCAGAATAACTCCCTGCAAAATCCCATAAAATATTTTTGTGTACAACCCTGCAGAACAATTCTTAGCCCTAAAGTTTGAGAATTGCTGAGCTAGTCCACAGGAAGGAACAAAAGGAATGTCTACGTGCAGAAGTCTGGGCATTCAAATTTGTTGAATAAATGAATGTTGAATGAATTCTGCTTCTATCAAAGTTCTATAGAGTGGATGATGGCTTGAGAATTCTTAAGTATATCTCTGGCTTAAAGGGTTGGCTCGCTTCTCTTTTAATCTTAAGCCTCTTTAACCTAAATCTATCTTACTATATTTGTTGTTGTGAGGTTTCAATGCCATTGAGGAGACAGACCTGACTCTGGTTACATCCTAAAGTGAGTTTGCATATTTAGGGTGCCTATCATGATTCCACTGTACTATTAGTTGCCTCATTTTTATAGATGAGAAGCTGGAGTGTGTTAAGTGACTTGCTAAGGTCACTGTCACAGACAGATACCAGGGTGGGCCCCTATGATCCCCACATCTGAGTGTTCTCACATTTGTATAATCACCTCCCCTTGAGATGGGTGGAACCTGACTTGCTTCTAACCAATAGAATACAGCAAAGGTGATAGGATGTCACTTCTATGATTATGTTATATAAAACTCTGCCTTGCTAGCTGCCTAGCTCTAGAGACTCTATGATGGCTTGAAGAAGTGAATGTGTGTGTTGGGGATGCCCATGTGGTAAAGGACTGCAGGTGACCTTTAGGAACAGCTTAACCTCTGGCTTAGAGCCAGCAAAAACCCCTGAAGCTCTCAGTCCTACAGTCACAAGGATGAAGGACTGAATACTGCCAACAACCCTGTGAGTATGGAAGTCTTCCTCCCCCAAGCCTCCAGGTGAGAAAGCAGGCCTTCCCAGTGCCTTGAGTGCAGCTTCTTGAGACCCTAAACAAAGCATCTAGATAAGCCACACGCAGGCTTCCGACCCAAAGAAACTGTGAGATAACAAATGTATATTACTTGAAGTCACTAAGTGCATATAATCCATTATGCAGCATTAGATAAGTAACACAGTCATGTGAATTACGTGTCAGGATTTGAACCCAGTCCCATCTGATAGTAGAGGCAAAAGGCTTTTAGCAGATCTGGAAAGCACTTAAAGGCCATTTAGTCCAGCTACCTTTTGGTGGAGCCTGGATCTTCCATAGTATCCCTAGCAAGTTGTCAGCCAGCTCCTTGGGGCTCCTCCAGATTGGGGAGGCGGGGAATTCATAGTCTTTTGAGGTGTTTATGTTCCATTTGGACAGTTTCCTATTTCATGGGTTGATTGAGCCATTCACTCATTCAGTAGATATATTTACTGAGGGACTACTTGGTGCCAGGCACTGTGTTAGGTGCTAGGTGGTGAGTATGGTGACGACAGGTCCTGCCCTCATAGAATTGATATTGTTGTAACTGTTAAGCTGTTACTTCTTCAGCGCCATGGATATTCTCTTACTGTAATTTCTCTAAGTCCTAATTCTGCCCGGTGGGTTGCAAACAGTATTTCTAATTCCTCTTCCACAAGACAGAACTTCAGATACTAAATTCTGTTGTCATTTTGTCCCCAAATCCCTTTTTTTTTTGGGGGGTTTGCCATCCTTTGAGTTACTTCCACCATTTGGCATATGGCGTTGTCTAGAGCTGTGCAGCCCGACTTGGTAGCCCCAAGCTACAAGCAGATACATAAATTTAAATGAATTAGAATTAAACAAAACTAAAAATTCAGTTCCTCAGCTACAGTAGTTACATATCAGGAGCTCAGTAGCTACATGTGGGTAGTGACTACTGCATTGGAGATAGAGAATGTTTCATTGTGGTGGGAAGCGCTGTCAGATGGGGCTGGTCTGGCTTTTTGACCATCTGGGCCATGGATGCTGAATGAACCCTGGATCGTTGTCATGCTTATTAAATGGAACTGAAAAATAGGATATTGTTGATTCTGGTCTAGCTACTTCGGAGTATAACTGAACTAGCCCTTCTGTACTTTTGAGTAGTATACTTTTGTTAATGAAACATAAGATGAATGTTTTTACCAACCATATTGTATGACTTACTCATCTTGAATTTACCATCAAGACATTCTATGTGCAGTCCTTTTCCATGCGGAGAGCAGTGTTTCTTCTCTCCACTGTTTGTCCACTTATAGTTTTAAACTCATGCTTAATGTTTTGCATTTACCTCTGGAGAATTCCATCTTACTTTCTGTGAATTGGGCACCTTGATGGATATTTTTTTTTTTTTCACTTTTGCTTCTGATTTTTTAGAGTGGCTGTTTCCCTTCTTAGCTTCAGGTCATTCCCAAATTTAGTGGAATGATGGCAATATCGCCATCTGAGTTGTTGATAAGAACGTGAATAGGACAGGCTCTGGATAGAGCCTCGTGGCTTCCCACTAGAGATTAGGGCTGATTTAACAAAGCCCTAGAGCTGTTGTTAAGAGAAGGACTCTGGAGGCAGACCCTCACAGGTTTAAATCCCAGCTTCCCTACTTATCAGCTTTGTAACCTTTCCCAAAATGTTAACCTCTGTGTCTCTTAGGGAGTCTCTAAGAGGGACATTCTAAATTGATGTAGATATGGTTAATCAGTACTTTTAGAGCGTTATTTAGTCTACCTATTTTCATTACGTCCAGCCTACATTTTAAAATATTTTTGCATTGGAGTCAGTTATATGAAAAACCTAGTCAGAATGCCTTGCTGAATTCCAGATTTTATAACCATAGTAATCTCTTGATCACCAGCTTCAGTGAGTATGAAAAAATGGAATGAGCATTGACTGGTATGAATTATTTTTAGCGAATCCATGCTGATTCCAAGTAATCGTTGCTGCATTGAGTGTTCACCCTGTCCCCCTTGTTAATAATGCATTACAGCAGTCTGTCTGGGATTGGCATGATGCTTACTGATATGTGATTGGCACAACTTGTATTTTTATTCCTTTTTATTCGCTGGTACATCTCCTATTCTCCTGGATTCTTTAGAGTTTACCATCGATGTTGTGGCTACTTCAGACTTCATGCCATGAGTAGCCTGGGCTTTAATTCATCAGGGCCAGGAGCCTCAGACTTATTTAGAGAGGGCAGGCACTCTGACAATCGTGGTACCTTATTTTGGATCTCACTTCCCTGAAACAGTGTCCCCTCTCCCCTGTATGGAAAGCATCTCCTCTATCTTGAGGGAACACAGATGCAGACTGGAGGCTGAGTAACTGCACTTGCTGTCACTGTTAGTATCACAACACCCTCTCCAGGCGTCAGACCTATGTCGTCTTGTTGTTCTCCTTGCCCTGAGCATAACAAAAATAGCCCTTTTGTAGCTCTTTGCATTTTCTGCCGGGTTCAGCTCATTCTAGCCTTTTGCCTTCCTGACACTTGTATCAGCAGCTGAAGAGTTTTCATATGAGGATCCAGGCATTCTCCAAAGCAGGGGACTTTAAAGAGCTGGCTAGAAACAAAGCTATTCTACTGAGAATGACAGTTGGTGCATATCTTTGCCTCCACCTTCTCTTTGGACAACAAGCATTAATTTCTGTGGCTACTTTGGATATTAGCAGAGAATCAATTTCTCCAAATCTTCTCTCCCTTGCTTTTTTGCTTCCCTCCCTCTTGGCTAAAATCACGTTATTGAAACCTTTTCATGATGGGTGTAATGTACCATGGAAACTGGTTTTTAGACAGCAATGAGTTCTTTCTCCCCTTCCACCCCTGGCTTTTTTTTTTTTTTTTTTTTTTTTTGAGACGGGCTCTCACTTTTATCACCCAGGTTGCAGTGCAGTGGTGCAATCTTGGCTCACTGCAGCCTCCACCTCCCGGGCTCAAGTGATCTTCCCACGTCGGCCTCCCAAGTAACTGAGACCACAGGTATGCGCCACCATGCCCAGCTAATATTTTGTATTTTTGGAAGAGATAGGGTTTCTCCATGTTGCCCAGGCTGCTCTCAAACTCCCACACTCAGGTGATCCACCCGCCTCGGCCTCCCAAAGTGCTGAGATTACAGGAGTGAGCCACCATGCCTGGCCCAGATGACAGTGAGTTCTGTACAAGATAAAGGGTGCTGTCTACATACAGGCAAGTTTTAAAGGCAGCACCTTTAAAACACCAGCGCCTTGGAAAGTCCACTCTCTGGTTGACACTGATTTAACAAAGTCCTAGAGCTGTTGATAAGAGAAGGACTCTGGAGCCAGACCCTCACAGGTTTAAATCCCAGCTTACCTACCTATCAGTTTTGCAACCTTTCCCAAATTATTAACCTTTCTGTCTCTTAGGGAGTCCCTGTCTCAGAAGGCTGTTGCAAGATTCAAATGAACTAATGTAAACAAGTTTTCAACATAGTATTTGGTACATCGTTAGTGCTAAATAAAAGCTGTCTCATAGTAGCTATTATTATTTGCATACTGAGTCCCTCAAGAGTAAAAGACCCCGAATAATTGAAAGTAAAAAGCAGTCAACTGGCAAGGTCTTCAATTCTAATGCCCAGGGAGGGACATGTGTAATCAATACCTGATTTTCTGTTATGCCAATCAATGTATCATCGCCCAGGACATGAACAAGAGACAGAGAGGCAGTGCCAGCTTTGCCATTTTGAGGAACGACACTTGTTCCTTTGAAGAATGTCTACTCCACATCCTACTTCCACATCTGACCTGCTGTGTACATACAACATTATTTCACTTCATGTCTATGCATTCCCACTTGCTCCTTTTCTTCCTCAGATGGGAATTTACTTTATTGTTTACTTTTGCTTTTACCTTTCCCAAATGCCCTGGGACTCAGGCAGTTTGGGATTTTCACTTCGGTTTAGGCCCAGTTAACACAGTGAAACTTCACGTTCAGTGATCCGTGGATGGCAGTTTAGCAAGAAACAAAGAAAGCAACAAAAGCTTTGGCTTGCTTGGAAGCCTGCTCCAGGAGAGGACCCTGTTTCTTGTACAGATCTTATCACCATCTGAAAATAAATTTCCATGGTACGTTTACCCCCTGACCAATGAGAACTCCTGATTATAACAGATGTTCCCTTCTCCCTACCTTGTGGGAGATCGCACTGACTAGTGATCTTTACACCTCAGGGCCTTTGAACATGCTGTTCCCACTGCTTAAATGCTTTTCTTCCACATGTCCCTGGTCTGTCTCCTCCTTGTCATTTAGGCTCCAACTGAAAATGACAATCCCTGACTCCCCTTGCTAAATTATCTTCTCTGTGTGTTTCCCTTTCCTCATCACTCTTTCTTTGATCTAATTTTAAAGTCAGTATCTGACATATTAATTTTTTATGAATTTAAGGAGTATGAAAGCAGAGACCGGCCGGGCGCAGTGGCTCACACCTGTAATCCAAATACTTTGGGAGGCCGAGGCGGACGGATCATGAGGTCAGGAGATCGATACCATCCTGGCCAACGTGGTGAAACCCCATCTCTACTAAAATACAAAAACTTAGCTAGGTGTAGTGGCAAGCGCCAGTAGTTCCAACTACTTGGGAAGCTGAGGCAGGAGAATTGCTTTAACCTGGGAGGCAGGAGGCGGGAGGCGGAGGTTGCAGTGAGCCGAGATCGCACCACTTGCACTCTAGCCTGGCGACAGAGCAAGACTGTCTCACAAAAAAAAAAAAAAAAAAAAAAAGGCAGAAATCTTGCCTGGCTTGGTCATTGTGCTGTCCCAGTGTCTGGAGGTAGTGTGTAGCACATAGTTGGGGCTCAAAAATGTTTGGAGAGTGGATGGATTTTAAAATGTAATGCAGGGGGAGCTGCTATAGAGGAAAAAAAGCTTACATTCCGCATTTGGTTATGGGTAGCAGCCACCTGTGTTACCTCATGTTACATCTCCTCAGCCTCCACTGATTTTGGCCACAGCTGCAAGGCCAGTTCCCATCCCTAGCATTCACCAATTCTCTTGCCACCTTCCTCACTGGGCATTCCCCAGGGCACTGGTGGACCAGCAAAAGTAGCCCATGAGTTAACTGCCATTAACCTGGAAGTTAATGCCCCTGAGTCAGCAGAAGTGAGGAGTTGATAAATAAATGGCCTCACCTCCTGTCCTTCGGTGGATGATTCTGGGAGCATCTCTATGCTTCTTGGGAGCCCCTGGTGGCATCCAGCTTCCGTTGCTCATATCAGCAGTCTTGATCATGCATTCTTCTGTTAAGTCCTTGTCCCAGGCTCTGCTTTGGGGAAAACCTACCCTAAGACCCCATTCATATTGATAATTTCACTTCATTGTTGCCTGTCCTTTGTCATAGCCTGCGTAGACACTTGCAATATAAATTGGGAAACTTTTATGAACCTCTTTACTATTATTTGCCTGCTTACGCATTTTATCTTTCATAATGACAAAGATCTCTTTGTCTGTGGACTTCTGACACCTGTCATCCTAAATATCTTAGAAACGTCATCTCCTTTTTCTCACAGCTGTTTACTGAGCAACTCGCTAGCCTATGGCTCTCCCGGTTTCCTTCTTAAAGATGCAATCATGGAATCAAGCTTGCTGTTGCTTTCCCAGGGCATGTGTATTTATAGCACAGGCTTTTAGATTGTGGGCTAACTTTCAGAGGTGCTTGCTTTGAAATAGGCTTTCTGAAGGACCTCTGTGGGGATAATGAGGCCATTTCTACAGTAGCAAGTTGGAATACATTATAGGATAGTGGTTGCAAGAGGCACTTGAAACGATGGAGCTTTCTATACATGGCAAATTGTTTTTTTTTTTTTTTTAACTTTCTAAAAACCATTCTGCAACAGTTTTCTGGTGCTTTTGTGACTGGTGTATGCCTTATACAGAAGTCATTGCATCATCTGTCAGTTTTCTTTCCAACTTCTGGAAGGATTAATGGGTTATAGGTTAGGCTCACATGGGATGGAAAGGAGGAAAGAGGGAGGAGGCAGCTGTGATATTGCGCATCAAAGGTATAGTTTTGTCACCTCTGAGGATGGAGAGTCCTGAACCTTTTCTGTGCCATCGGTCCCTTTGGGAGTTTGATGAAGCCAGTGGATCCTGTCTCATAATAATGTTTTAAAAACACATAAAACAGGGTGATGAAATAATCTGTACATCAAACCCCTGTGACACACAATCCACTTATATAACAAACCTGTGCATACACCTCTGAACCTAAAATGAAAGTTTAAAAAACCCACATTAAACAAAATTCACTGGCTTTCAAAGGAAGCCATTATATGGAAATGTAGTGATCAAAACATTAAAACATTTTATGATATAGAATATGTGTGCTTCTGTATTCATTTAACAACATGATCTTCAAGCAAGCCTGTTAACTACATATAATTATGAGGTTGTTGATGGACACACATTTTGAGGTCTTGCTGATAAACTTTAATGAGATTTGAAAGTACCTATGATTTCTATTTGCGGCCAAGTCATAGGAACTGCTAAATGGTTTGTTGCTGACGTTTATAATTGAAGGAACAGATGAATTTCAAATAGAGGCTCATAAATATTAAGATGTCATTTTTTTTTCTCATCCCGGTTTATGGACCCCTGATTCTGTGCAAGGACCCCAGGTTCAGAATCCCATTCTCGAGGCTGGCAGTTGCTTTATAGCCTATGCTGAAGCTCCTGTTTTCTAGGTGGGTGGGCGACCCTTTGCTCCAGCTTCTGACTACCAAGAGATGCTAGGAAGGAAGACATTGGTTGAGTAAAAGCATTGGCTAGCACTGTGCCTGCCATTGTTACAGGACAGATAAATGTTAACAAGAAGAGGGAGGGTGCTGGGATGCTCTCCAGAGTCCTGTCCCTGATTTTTTTTAATTTTTTCAGTTCCTTTCGTCTATTATAGAAATGGCCATTGATTGGGAGAACCAATGATGTCTGAAATTACTTATTAGATTGAAAATACTTTGGAAAGTGATTTTACTAACTTGGGTTGTCAGGTTTTCTCAAGCAGGATCTGTTTGCTGATTGCTACTTTGCATAATATTGTAGGATGAACAGGCCTGCTTCTTGTTTGGATGTCAAGTGTTTTCATGTCTGATAAGGTTCTGGTTGTTTCTCATACCCATGTACAAAAATATATACATATAAGGGAAACATGTTAATAGAGGAAGACCAAAAGACAAGGTTGTAACTAGAGTGTGCATACAAAATATGAATGAGGCTGGACACAGTGGCTCATGACTGTAATCCTAGCACTTTGGGAGCCTGTGGTAGGTGGATTGCTTGAGCCCAGGAATTCGAGACCAGCCTGGGAAACATGGTGAAACCATGTCTTTACAAAAAATGCAAAAGTTTTTCAGGCATGCTAGCATGTGCCTGTAGTCTCAGCTATTCTGGAGGCTGAGGTGGGAGGATCACTTGGTCCTGGGAGTTCAAGGCTGCAGTGAGCCATGATCATGCCACTGCAGTCCAGCCTGAACAACAGAACAAGACCCTGTCTCCAAAAAAAAAAGTGAATGATATAGGTATTATCTGAAAGAAAATGGTGGTATGGGTAAAAGAGAGGGAAGAGTGAATGCATTGATTGTGGAATACCTGCTTTGAGATCTTAGAAAGACAGAGTTGCCCGATGGTTAAGAGGGCAGACTTGGGAACCTGGCTTCATATTCTAGCTTTGCCACTTGGTAGCTGACCTTGGACAAATCACATCACCTCTCTGCCTCCACATATCCTTCTTTGTAAAATGGGGATACTGATAGCAACTGCCTCAAAGTACATTAGAGGGGATTAAATGAGTTAATGCATTGAAAATTCTTACAGCAGAGTTCTTATATAGGCTCTAGAAATGATTTTAACTGCTGCTGTTATTAATGATAACAACTATTGTTAGTACAGGTGCAATTTACAGAGCCCTTCACTATACCATGCCTCATTTGAACATTGGACGGACCCTGGTAGTTATTTCCAAATCTATTTTCAGATAAAGAGCTTGAGGTTCAGAGAGGTCTAATGATTTGCCCACTGAAAGGATGTAAACAGTGAGGACAAGAACCCAAGCCTTGGGTTGGCAAGATCTGCCCTCCTTCCAGTGTGTTCCACTGTGTTTGGTATCAGCCAAAGTCAGCTTTTGCAGTTTGTTTCAGATTTTACAAATAGAGAGGGCTTATCCTTCAAGGATCTAGTGCTATTCAATATAACTTTCTGCAGTAGTAGAAATAAATGTTCTAGAACGGTACTGTCCAATATGACAATATTACCATATGGAGCTATTGAGCACTTGATATATCGTTCCTGGAACTGATGAACTTGATTTTAAATTTTACCTAGTTAAATTTAAATTTAAATAGTCATGTGTGGTTAGTAGCTACTAATTGGGTAGCATAGACAGAGTTTCCCTTGTCTCAGAAGGCTTGGGTATAAAGCCCAGCTCTACAACTAATTAGCTTTGTAACTTTGGGAAGGTAATTTCTGGGGGCTCATTTCTTCCTATCTATGAAATGGGCTAATTCTATTTAGATCAATACAGAACTCCAGCGAGGCCAAGCAAAGATAAGAATTTTTTTTTTTTTTAAGTGAAATAGCTGTAGGAGTTCTTGAGGAATTCAAGGGAAGGCACAAAGGCAGGCCAAGGAAAGTCTTGGAACTAAAAATAGAATGACCTTCAGGGACCTGGATCATCCTCTTCTAGTCTTATTTCTGTTTTGTGTGCATCTGTGTCACTCTTGTCTCTGTGAAGTCTGGCTTTCTTTGTACCCCCTGCATGGATGAGGAAAAGCTGGCCACCTCATACCTCCTAAATTTATATATTTCTCCCTTGACAGCTAATTCTGGAATTATTAGCTGTTTCTCATTCTCAATTCTAAGTTGCAGGAAGAGGAAAGTTCCCTTGGCTTGGCTTGAATTAGCCATGGGTGGCTGAACTACATAGCAAACCATGCTGCCCTGCCCTTTCTTAGAAGGTTTGATGGGGGCTGGGGATGTTCCTTAGTGAAAGCAGTAGTTGTGAATTGGGTCAATGTCTAGGAAAGTATCTTTGGTTAAAAATTTCACTGCAAGGTGGAAACTGTGATTGCAAAACCAAATTTATTAGGTAAAGGAAATGGGATAGCCTGATTAAGTTTAGGTGTTCAAATCCATTCATTGATTCAGCAAGTATTTGTTGAGTGCTTTGAACTTGCTCTGTTAAGGGCTAGAGATGAGAAACAATACTGAGAGAAGAGGCCTGATCTTTGCCCTCACGGAGCTCCAGTTTGATAGGGAATTCTCACGAGAGTATAAAAAGGCAGTTCTAGAGAGTACCAAGAAGAAAAGACTAAAATTTGGGATTTTAGCTAGTGAGTAGAGAGTGCTTCTCTGAGGCAGTAATATTTGCCCTGAGATATGAAGGATGAGTAGGAGTTAACTTAGTGGAGGACAGAAGAATGTGTTTGCCTCTGAACAGAAGGACTGCCATGTGCAAAGACCCTGTGGCAGGAAGGCTGGAAAAAGCTGGATACTATTGGAATTATATTGCTTCTGTTCCTTCTGGCCCCAGTTACCAAAGTTACTATGGAATTAATGGTTTCCAGGCAGCTTTATTATTATTATTATTATTATTATTATTGTTATTATTATTATTATTATTATTATTATTATTATTATTATTAAGAGAGAGTCTCGCTCTGTCACCCAAGCTGAAGTACAGTGGTGCAATCTCGGCTTACTGCAACCTGTGCTTCCCAGGTTCAAGTGATTCTCATGTCTTAGCCTCCCCAGTACCTGGGATCACCACAGCCAGCTAATTTTTGTGTTTTTTTTTTTTTTTTGTGTGTGTAGAGACAGGGTTTTGCCATGTTGCCCAGGTTGGTCTTGAACTCCTGAGCTCAGGCAGTCCCCTGCCTCAGCCTCTAAAAGTGCTGGGATTACAGGTGTGAGCTACCATGCCAGGCCTATTATTTTAATTAAAGGTTAAATGTCTTTTAGGTGGTGAAAATAAATTTGCTTTCCAGATATTAATTTTTATGTTACACTGCATATTATGGTGATCTGAGTTTTTATATGCATTTCTTCTTTTGGGGATGAATAGTACATTTAATACCTTGAAGGCATAAACTAGGAAGAGAGGTCATTCTCCCTAGTCTCTTGTGTTTTTCTGCTTTGGAAGTCTCCTAAAGTGTGTGGTGCATCTCTTGTGTGTTGGAGTTATGGGATCGTGACCTAATATTTCCTTATATAGGTATACTTGCTGCCAGGATGTTTCCCTGATGCCTGAACAAAGCCTTGATGAGTGAATTTGCGTTTGAAACTGTGGACTCGACATAGAAATTTCTTAGGCCTCAAGTTCTGGTTGTAATGCGTTATAAATGTGAACTGCTGCTTTTTTAGATCCTGAATAGGAGGAATGGCTTCCTAGGCCTTTATCTGAGTCAATGATGTCAAACCATGGAAGAAGTTTAAGAAGCCTTCCGTAAATGCCAAAACTTTTTTTGAAATGAAGAAAAAAAAAAATCCAGGGTATATTATTGTCTGTGGAAAACCACTTTTGGTTATACCAGTGTGCCTGAATTTTATGTTTAATTTTCATATTATATTTTATTTAGCTGGCTATGTCTAAAATAATATTTCTACATGGAATATTAAAAATTATTAATGAGGTAGTTCTTTTTTCTACTAAGGCTTTAAGATTTGGTGTGTATTTTACACTTAGTATCTCAGTTTGGATGCTAAATTTTCTTTGGAAATATTTTAAAGGTATTTCATTTATTTCATAAAGTTTACACATGAAAAAGTAGATATGTGGCTGAAATTTATGTGATGTATTTCCTACGCAGCTATGGCCAGTGTTGGGAAGACTCCATCTTTAACAACTGCATCCTCAACCTGAGAAATACTCTGAGTTGGGCTTTCTGTAGTGTCCAAACTTCAGTCTTCGGAAGGTCTTGGCTGACCACTTACTACCCTACTTCAATTCCCCTTCTTGTTTTCTCAAGCTTTTTTTCTGGTCGACACTCCCTTTTCTTCCCAGGTAGTGGAATCTCCCAGCCTAGTTTGGAATCCTGAGTCTACCACTAATATTGTATACTTGGGTAAGTAAACGGGTTTACTTATTTTCTCTCCTGTTAAACAGAGATGTAAACAAAACAAAACAGACTTCCTTACAGGGTTATTCTAAGGATTCAACAAGATGAGCGATAAAGTGCTTGATTGGTCCGATATTTGACCCAGAGTACACATCTGCTAAATTATTATTTTTTATTTTTTTGAGATGGAATCTCATTCTGTCACCCAGGTTTGAGTGCAGTGGCACGATCTTGGCTCACTGCAACCTCTGCCTCCCAGGTTCAAGCCATTCTCCTGCCTTGGCTTCCCTAGTAGCTGGGAGTATAGGCGCATGCCACTATGCCTGGCTAATTTTGTGTTTTTAGTAGAGATGGGTTTTCACTATGTTGGCCGGGCTGGTCTCCTGACCTCAGGTGATCCGCCCACCTTGGCCTCCCAAAGTGCTGGGATTACAGGCATGAGCCACAGGGCCTGGCCCACATATGCTAAATCATTATCATTATAACAGATTATTTGATTCTCTTCTCTTGACTTAAACACGAGGGCAAAACAATCAGATATGCCTTTCCATATTTTCTAGGGCCTGTGAAAACTTTTCCGGATTCTTGGATCATACATAACAAGTTGATTTTAATCTCAGATGAAGCGACTGGTTCTGAATCACTGCTGGTCAAGACTGACCTTTGCTCAAGCTATAAAATGTATCTCCTTGGGGTCCTTTCCCATCTCACCCCTTTTTCACCTTGTCCTTCTCCAGCTCTCCTGATTGCACTCACTTCCCTGTGCCACATGTCCTGGACCTTGTTCCTCCCATTCGTATTTACCTTAAACCAAACCTGACCAGTCCTTTGTCTCATCCCCTTGCAACCTTGCTGTCTACCAGGAAATCAGTCAATGAATCCCAATGTGATCTGTTGTCTGTGACTTCCTGTGAGGTACAGTCTGGGTAACATTTTTCATTTGGAAAGAATGCTTTCACCTGAGGTAACCATGTCAAGGGGGAAGTGTTGAGTTTTGTTCTGGCAAGTAGGTTGGGTAAAGAAAAGGGGAGTCAATGAAGAGACTCTTAGGACAATCTGAACTTTGGACCGGTTAGTGTGTGGTGTCTTGTTGATATATTCATTTATTTGTGTATGTCTTCATCAAAACAGATTTGAGAGTGACTTTAAGAATAATCATTGAAATGAGAGATAAAGGGAAAAATAAATATTTTTTTTTTTTGAGATGGAGTTTCGCTTTTGTTGCCCAGAATGGAGTGCAATGGCATGATCTCAGCTCACTGCAACCTCTGCCTCCCGGGTTCAAGCGATTCTTCTGCCTCAGCCTCCCAAGTAGCTGGGATTACAGGCATGTACCACCATGCCCGGCTAATTTTTGTATTTTTAGTAGAGATGGGGTTTCACCATGTTGGTCAGACTGGTCTCAACCTCCTGATCTCAGGTGTCTGCCCCCCTTGGCCTCCCAAAGTGCTAGGATTACAGGCATGAGCCCCCGTACCTGGCCAAAAATAAGGATATGCAAAATTAAGCATAAGATTAATATATAAAAGGCATGGTGAAAGGTCCTGTTCACTTACTGAAGATGAACTATAAATTTGGCTGTCAGCTTCCTAGCAGCCAAAGTGAAGAGTGAAAAACAATAGATTAGGCCAGGCGTGGTGGCTCACACCTGTAATCCCAGCACTTTGGGAGGTCGAGGCGGGCGGATCACTTGAGGTCATGAGTTCGAGACCAGCCTGGCCAACATGGCAAAACCCCATCTCTACTAAAATACATAAGTTAGCCAGGCATGGTGGCGTGTGCCTGTAGTCCCAGCTACTCGGGAGGCTGAGGCAGGAGAATCACTTAAACCCGGAGGCGGAGGTTGCAGGGAGCCAAGATCGCGCCATTGTACTCCAGCCTGGGTGACAGACTGAGACTTCGTCTCAATAAAAACAAAACTAAACAAAAACAACAGATTGTATGAAGTACAGTGTCCATAAGATAAAAATGAGTATTGTTGAAACTTGGACCTTATAGTTAGTTCGGTAGTTTTCTCCCATATGGTAGTTTGCTCCCACATGGAGTGTCTGAGATACCCAGCAGGGATGTGAGAGGACCCCATTTAGAGGCCTGGGCTTCACAGGTACCCTACTCTCCAGATAGCTGGCCAAATTCATTCTCTTGTACTTCTCGTCACAACCTTAGCCTGCGAACAAGCAGTCAATAAGGTGTTTTGCCACTTTTTCTTCTCTTGAGGCCATCTATGTCAGTATTTGTTGTATTTGCCCATGAGACAGACATCAGCTCTAGAGAGAGGTTAAAAAACCAATGGCATATTGCAAGACTGGTAATAACATTTTGCTCACTTACTCAAGCATTCATTCATTCACAGACTTATTGAGAACCTGTTGTGTGCTCGGTGCTACTTTTGGCCTTGGAAGATCAGTTTTTCTTGGGCTGTGTTGTCACCATCCTGCTCCAAGCCATCACCATCTCTTGCTTGGATGGCTGCAGTAGACTCCCTGTTTCCGATCCTGCCCCCACATCAGGACATTCTCTACCCAGCAGCTGGAGGGCTCTTGTGAAAACCTAAACCATCTCCTGTTTCTCTCCTGCTTAAAACTCTTATACCACATTTGGAATAAAATTCTAACAGCACACTATGGCCTACAAGCTTCTGCCTGGTCTGTCCCTGGATACCTCTCTGCCATCACCTGCTACCTAACATTACCTCCTACCTCTCTTTGCCTTGCTTACTCCCCTCTGGCCTCCCTAGCTACCTCTCCGCTCCTGAACACACCAAGCTTATTTTAGCTTCAGGCTCTTTGTGCTGTCTATTTACCTGGAATATGCTTCCCTTGGAAAGTCACATTATGTAATTCACCATGATGTCACAGTCACCTTCTCAGTGAGGCCAGGCCATCCCTGAACACCCACTCCAAGTAGCTAACCTCTTTTCCTCCAAGCTCAGCTAGTCTCCATCACATTGTTCACTTTTGTTTTCTCTGTAATGCTTCTCTCAGTCCACAGTTAACCTTATTTATGCTTGTTTACCTGTTTGTCTCCACATGCTATAATGCAAGCTCCAGGACACTGGGGATCTTGTCTACCCTCTGTGTCCAGTACTCAGCACAGGCTCTGGCACAGAGAGTTGATTAAAAAAAAAATCCTTGTTGAATTAATCATGCAGAGGTGACCCATTGAACACAGAAATAGAGCATGGATGCTGTGCTAGCTCTTCTGTCTAAGTTCCCTGTGCATAGCTAATTCCCCCTACCCACTGTATCTCCCCTTCTCTTTTCTCTACATGAGTTCTGTGGTTTCCTTTAGTGGCTCTTCCACTTCCCCCACCTAATCAAATCAAAACAAAACAAACCCATGCACATATACAGACCTTTTCTGTCCTAAAGAACAACAAACAAAACCAAAAACAGCTGGGCACGGTGGCTCACACTTGTAATCCCAGCACTTTGGGAGGCCAAGGTGGGTGGATCACCTGAGGTCAGGAGTTCACGACCAGCCTGGCCAACACGGTGAAACCTCATCTCTACTGAAAATACAAAAATTAAGGCTGGGCGCGGTGGCTGACGCCTGTAATCCCAGCACTTTTGGAGGCTGAGGCAGGCGGATCACCTGAGGTCAGAAGTTTGAGACCAGCTTGGCCAACATGGTGAAACGCCATCTCTGCTAAAAATACAAAAATTAGCTGGGCATGGTGGCGGGCGCCTGTAATCCCAGCTACTCAGGAGGCTGAGGCAGGAGAATTGCTTGAACCCAGGAGGCAGAGGTTGCAGTAAGCCGAGCCTGGGCGATAGAGTGAGACTCCATCTAAAAGAAAAAAAAAAATTAGCCCAGCATGGTGGTATGCACCCGTAATCCCAGCTACTTGGGAGAAGAGGCAGGAGAATTGCTTGAACCTGGGAGGTGGATGTTGCAGTGAGCGGAGACCACGCCATTGCACTCCAGGCTGGGCAACAAGAGTGAAACTCTGTTACAAAAAACAAAACAAAACAAAACAAAACCAAAAACACCCTCAAACTTCTTTTACTCCTTTCCATCTTTACTTTTACTGTTCTGTGCTGTTGCCTCTTCCAGGAAGTTTTCCTGGATTACAGCAGTCCCCAGTGATCTTACCCTTTTTCACATGGTTAAAGTATTCTTTTTCATTATGCTAAAACACACTGCCAAATATTGAATGGCCTACTCTGTTGGCTGCTCCTTGTGTGTTTTTGTCTTTCCAGTTAGATTTGTCTTGAATTGACAAGAATCAGTCTTGTTAATTTCCCCCAGCATGTCCCAGTATAATGCCAGCGCTGAGTCTGCTTTCAGTACACACAGGCTGGATGTTTGAACATCTTTAAATAGCTGAGGACCTTTGATAGTTTGTAGCATAGACTTGTGTTATAGAAGTAACATGGCCAGGCGTGGTGGCTCACGCCAGTACTTTGGGAGCCCAAGGCAGGAGGATCGCTTGAGCCCAGGAGTTCGAGACCAGCCTGGGCAACATGGCAAAACCCTGTCTCTACTAAAAATACAAAAAATGAGCCAGGCATGGGGATGCGTGCCTATCATCCCAGCTACCTGGGAAGCTGAGGTGGGAGGATCACATGAGTCCCAGAGATGAAGGACGCAGTGACCCCTGATTGTGCCACTGCACTCCAACCTGGGTGACAGAGTGAGACTCTGTCTCCAAAAAAAAAAAAAAAAAGTAACAAGTAACAGGAAGAACCAACAAATACTGAATCCCATTAAGCCTGCATTTATTATGTGTAGTATTCCATAGAAATAATTACCATTTTATTTAGAAGCTGTTAGTATATTTTGATTTAACTTTTTCTTTTGGTAATACTATTTAGTGTGATAGTGTTATTTAAATTATATCTTTTGTTTATTTAAGGATAGTTTGCATTCTATTTATAAATATGGCTTTATTAAAAATTTAAAGGTGTAATTATTATAATAAAAACATACATATTATAAACCAGTTAAAAATGTTAGCATAGTCAAAATATTTCCTTGTTTTGTCCACAGGAGGGCACCATTGTCAAACAAAAGATGATTTTAAGGTTGAAATGTAATACAGGTTTAGATTAAGCTTTTAAGAAGCCTTTATCCCACTAATAGATTAGAAAGGCCAATATTGTCTGCGACGGGCTTTGTCTTGCCATGTAATCCACTCATGGCTGCATTTACTGTGTATATATGTCCATGAGCTGTTTGTTAACAGTAGCTAAATCACACTGTACTTTTCCTAAAATGCTCTGTGAGTTATTGTTACAGCTGGAAGGCACCTCGGAGGTCATCCGGTTAAACTGTATTTGTTTACAGATGAGGAATTTGGGAAGCATAGAGATTAAATGACCATTCATTTGGGAGTGAAACTGGGGGCTTACATTTATTCATTTATTAACAAAACATATTTAACTTCCACGGTATGCAAGATATTATACTAGCAGCTGGGGTAGAAGAGAAATAAGACATTATTCTCCCCTCAAGAACTTTACATTCTGGTTATAAGTAAATAGACTCCCACTTGCCCATAGTAATGATGATAGTATTAGAAGACCTATTATTTAATGTTTACAAATATTTTTTATGTAGAAGTTAGATCCTATCATGTAAAAACTTTTCAGATAAAATTCAAGTACTTGGCAACTTGTAGATAATCTCCAAAATTTATGTTGGCTATTGATTATGTTAAATAAAATCCTTAGACATTCTGTTTTGAATATTTGAAAAATGAGAAATGAGAGGAAAATTTCCAATTAAAAACTGGTCCAATTAAAAGAAATAAACCCTCTGCAGTAAGGATAATTGGGCCTTGAGAGATTTATGGCTAAATTGTCATTACCGTTAACATTTGTTCAGCCCCAGACCTGGGCAATTTCACTTGGACAACAAGTTGTGGAGCCATGCTGGGTGCTGCTGATTTTGGTGAGCGCATTTTATTTTATGTAACTTGCCAGCTAAGTTTTCAGTTTTATGTATACTGGATCTCAGTTATTCATTATTACTTAGCAATGATTGCTTTTGTACTTTTTACTTCACGGTCACTTGAAGGCTAGAGTTTTTCTTCATTAACGAAATGCGTGGTTTGACCATATATCCATTAGGAAGGAATTTATCAGTGCACTTAAATGAAGATGCTGTGTGGTTTTAAGGAATTTCTCAGTTCTTAAAGTGACAGAGTGTAAACCATATATAAACATAGCATGTCTATTTATTTAAATCATCTCTGACTAGAAGAGCGTTTTTTAAAAATGGGAGAAGAATCTTATTTCTTTCTTTGTACATATTTATGGGCATATGTACAGTTTTGTTACATGTATAGCTTGTGTAGTGGTCAAGGCAGGGCTTTTAGTGTATCCATCACCTGATTAATGTACGTCATACCCATTAACTGATTTGTCATCATCCACCCCCCTCAAACCTTCTCACTCTGCTAAAACAACTCTCTACCACCTAATTTAGATGAGATGGTATTGGTAACACTTGAAATTAAAATGCCATTTATAAAATTCTTTAATATTTAATAGACAGTTATTGTCTTTAATGGCTCATTTACAACATACTTTAGCATGTTGTAAAATGGTTCAGTAGTAAATTCTTCACTGATGTTTTTAAGGAAGCAATAAAAAGCAATTTATGACAGGTATATACCACATATTGGTGGGAAAACATGTCTGCTTTAACATGTAACAATGAATACTCTCTAAATTACAAAAGTAATTCCACATATGTGATCATTATAAATGATGGCTCAGTGGAGGTTCTGCCGTGTATCAGGTGCTTGAAATATATTCACATAAACGTTGGTAACCTGTTAAGCACATTTACTTTCATCAGCACACTCTTTAATATAAGAAGATCATTAATACCTGCCTTATTTCAGGATATATTTGTCAAGAGAGAAGTTACATTTCATTGTGCATGCTTTGGTGGAAAAGCTGTTTGCAGATTTCTAAAGACAATTCAATGTGATTGTGTTATTTAAGCAACTGGAAATGGAAACATATTACCTCATTTCTGTCTAGAGAAATGATGAATGGTTTTATGTAGGCAAGTTCTGCTTCGAGATTTCTATTGATTATCCCAGAATGGAAAGACATCACTTAGTGGGATAGTCTCCCCCCATCCCTACCCTTCCACTCATAAAACCCTCTAGTTACTCCCCAAACCCAGATTGCTGCTTTCTGAAACATTTTTCACTTCCATCATCTTCTGTCTGGGTGGAAATTAGTGTGGAAAAATGATTTACCACAATATCTAAACGCTTTAGGGTGTCACCTCTTACATCATTAGCTGAAAAAATTATTCCTACTTGTGCCCTAGTACTCAAGGGGCTGAGTACAGAAGGCACCAGGCTATCCCGGTAGATCCCAGCCCGGGAGGTCAGAGATGAACTGATGGTGAGTCTGGAAATAGCTAATTATCCAAACCTCCTCACTCTGGAGGTGATGCAAGATGGGCTTGGAGGTTTCCCTGGTGAGTGGGCAGGCGGGAAAGGGCAGTGTGGTTTAGTAGCACTTGGGCTATTTGTTTGTTATTAAGCAGATTCTGTTTTGCTGTGTACTTTTGCAAAAATGCTTTTGAATTCAAATGTGTTAGGAGATGAGTTTGAGTGGATGCACAGACAAAAATCCATTTTTAATGTTTTGGTGCTGAATTCCTTCATAGAAATCAACCGAAGTAATTTAGCCTTCATGTATGATGTTCTGGCTCTGGTATATCTTCACTGAAACGTTTTAGAGAGTTCTATTCAGAAGTGCAGCTGTTTTCCATCTGTTTAAAAAAATGGTGGTGAAGGCCCTCAAGCTGTATATAATTCTTGCATACTTGGTCTTAATTTGGGAAATGACATTAGTTAACCTTTAATAAATCTGTAGCAAATGAGAAGCCTGTGCCACTGTTTTTCACTAGCTTTTCAGAGATGAGGCAATATTTATTTAGGCATTAATGTAAACCATCATAGGCACAATCCGAGCATCTGCTGACAAATTCAGTCCAATTGTCTACACAAATTCAGCCACAGACAGAATTTTTAATGTCAGATTGATGACCAATGTCTTCAAGTCCTGAAGAAAGATTTATTTTCCTCCTGTTTACTAAAGCATGAAAAGGGACTGGTATTTTTTGGAAATACTTTTACTAGAACTGAAACTGTAGGTACCTTGGTACCAGACAGCATAAATTAGAATCTTGGCTCAGCCACTTACTAGCTAAGTGAGCTTGGACAAGCCACTTCTACCTATGCCATATCGTGATGTAAATAAATCCTTCTTTTAAAGTGAGTTTATATTTTAAAATGACTAACAAGTGCATGGTTCCTAGCAGGCGCTATGTCAGTGTTTTTAAAATAAAAACAAATAAACCTTCTCTGGAGGCTTGGATGAAAGCTCAGAGAGTTGAATTAACCACAACATTCAAACTTTCACTCCCCTTATTGCTTAGAATTGGCAATAAGCTCTCAATCATTTTAGTATATTTTATAAACTGAAGGCTTTTAAGTACGTATGTAATGTCTTAATTTGGTATAATTTCCAATTTAATGAAAAGTTCATAGAAGAGTACAAAGAATTCCCATATACCTTGTGCCCCGATTCACCAATTGCTTACCTTTTGCTTATTAGTTTTTGCATTCATTAATTCCCTTTCTCTTCTTCGTTCCCTCTATCCTGCTCTTCTGTCTCTCTTTCTTCTTGACTTCTTCCCGCTCATGTTTTCTTAAAGTCATTTGAAAATAAATGGGAGGCATTTGCCTCTTTATTCTTAAATATTTCAGGATGTATTTAATAACAAGTGCATTTTCTTTCTTAACTACAGTATGAGGATCAAAATGAGGAAATTTAATGTTGATAGAACACTGTAATGCAATCTACAGGCTATATTCAGATACTGTTGATTTTCTCAATAATGTCCTTTATGGCTACGTATATGTGTCCTTGTTTTTGTGTGGGTGTACAGTTCATTCTGAGGATGACTATTTTTTCCTGGTCCAAGATCCAATGTAAGATCACAGTTGCATTTGGTTGCCATGTTTCTTGCCTTTATTTGAGACAATTCTCATGGTTATTTTAATTTTTTTTGTCTTTCATGACCTTGATACTATTTAGGAATGCAGAGAAATTATGTTGCAGGATGTTGCTCCAATTTGAGTTCATCTGATTTTCCTCATAGTTAGATCCAGGTTTAAGGTCAGTGTGTCTTTCAATTTTAAGAGGAACTGGTATTTCATCATTGTAGAGTTTTAGAGTGAAAAGATGGGGGAAATGTGATGCCCTGCAGATTCATATGTGGAGTGAGGTGGGTGTAGCAGACCGAAGAGGTATTCTGAAGGTGCTCATCTACAAGTGAATGACTGTATTCTGAAAGAATAGTTCTCTGAGGGAATTCACCTCACCAATAATGAAGGCAAGTAGATCAACAGACGAGGAAGGCACAGCCTCTCTATTTTCCTTGATAAGAAATCAAGTGTAGGTAGAATTCTTTCTTGTGTAACATGGAAATAAATTAAACATTTGAAGAATGGGCTCTTCTGCCTGGGAACCTCAAAGTTTCTTGGTACCGGGAGACATAAATAGGCTTTCTGCTCTTTTGTAGTAAATCAGTAACTGTCTCCACATAATACCCACACATCGGGCAGAAGATGAAAAATGCAGCCCAGCATCCACCATCTTTTTAGTTCATTCCGAGAATGACCAGACATGTTCTAAAAAAATTCTCTTAGTCTAGATATGGGCAATGTCTTTCATCATTGAAAACACTGAGACTCTTTAAAAACACATGACTTTTGAAGCAGACTGATAGAAAGGACTGTGTTATAGTTGGGAACAACAGAGGAATAAAATGATTGCAAGTAAATGCTTTCTTTTGGTGCCATGCACAAAGTTATCGATCTTGAATGTACTGAAGTTAGAAGTGACACAGTTTGGTTTAAATGTGCCTTCCAAAACTTATGTTGAAATTTAATTGTCATTGTGATGGTATTAAGAGGTAGGATTATGAAGAGGTGGATTAGGTCATAAGGCCTCCACCCTCATGAATGGATTAATGTCATTATCTCGAGGGCCGTGTTCCTTATTGTGAGAGTGGATTGTTATACAAGCAAGTTCAGCCCTTTCTCCCTCTCTTGAGCACTCTTTCCCTTCCATCTTTTGCCATGGGATAATGTAGCAAGAAGGCCCTCACCAGATGCTGGCACCTTGATATTAGACTTCCCAGTTCTGGAACTATGAGAAATAGATTTTTTTAAAGGTATTCTGTTTCAGTTTCAGGTATTCTGTTACAGCAGCAGAAAACAGACTAAGGCAAAAAATTGGTACAGAGAATGGCGTTATTGCTATAACAAATACTTGAAAATGTGGAAGCAGCTTTGGAGTTGGGTAATGGGTAGAGGCTGGAACAGTTTTGAAGTAAATGCTGAAAAACTGTATTGCTGTGAATGGAGTGTTAAGGGTGGCTCTGGTGAGGGCTCAGAAGAGAATAGCTGTAGGGAAAGTCTGAGACTTCTTAGAGATCACTTAAGAGGTTGTGATCAGAATGTTGTTAGAAATATGGACGGTAAGGGCCATTCTGATGAAGTCTCAAGCAGAAATGAGAAACATGTATTGGAAACCAGAGTAAAGGCAATCCTTGTTTTAACATGGTAAAGAATTTGGCTGAATTGCGTCCATGCACTAAGGTTTTAGAAGATGGAAGTGTTTTATAAGATTCCATTAGAAGATGGAATTTAAGAGCAATGATCTAGTATATGTGGCAGGAGAGTGTTCAAGGTGCTGCATGGCTTCTTTTGGGTGCTTACAGTAAAATGAGTGAATAGAGAAATTAGTTAAAGGCAGAATTTACAATTAAAGGGGAAGCAGAACAGAAAGATTTGGAAGACTCTCTGCCTGGCCATGTGAAGAATAAAACAGCATATTTGGGAGAGAATACTAAGGGTGTGGTCAGGCAAAAGAGATTGCTAAAATGATTGATACAGCTGGAATGGAGCCAGGTGCTTGCTGTTCAAGACAATGAGAAAATTACCCTGATGATATTTCAGAGATCTTTCAGGAAAGCTAGCACCTTGAGGGCAAGATTTCAAGAGGGGTACCTGTGGGACCTCAGCATTCAATGCCCTATGCAGCCTTGGAATTCTCCCCAAATTCCAATGCAGCACCCCTCAAGCAGGCCCAGGTACAGCTAGTGCCAGAGCTTCAGAGGGCACAAGTGGTATGCCTTGATGGTGTCCACATGGTACTGATCCTGTGGAAGTTCAGAGTGCATGAGCCTTGGGGCCATAGTCACCTCCACATAGATTCCAAAAGATGTATCAGGCAGTCTGGGGTCCTGGCAGAAAGTTGTTACAAGGGAGGAGCCACCACAGAGAGCATGTACTAGGGGGCAGTCATGGGAGCGAGGCTACCCCAGAGACTCCCGAAATGTAGAGCTGCAGGTGTACAACTCCAGCCTGGGAGAGCTGCAGGCATAGGACTCCAACCCAAGAGAGCTGCTGAGTGGATCGGGTCCAGCAAAGCCACAGGGGCAGGGCTGCCCGTGGCATTGGCAACCTAATTCCTGCTGTAGCATGTCCAGGATGCAGGACATACAGAGCCAAAGGACATTATTCTCCAGCTTTAAGACTTGATGTTGTTTTACCTGTTGGGTTTTGGACATACTGAGAACCAGTTACTTCTTTTCTTTTTCTATTTCTCCCTTTTGGAATGGGAATGTCTGTTTTATGCCTGTTCCATCACTGTGTTTTGGAAGTAGATAACTTGTTTTGATTTTATAGGCTCACAGCTGGAGGACATTTGAGGTGGGATGAATCTTGAGTCTCATATCTGATTTAGATGGAACTCTGGACACTGGGCTTTTGAATTGATGCTTTTGGGCTATTGAGATGGAATGAATATATTTTGTATGTAAGAAGAACATGAGTTTTGGGAGGCCAGAGGTGGAATGTTATGGCTTGAATGTCTCCTCCAAAACTCATGTTGAAATTTAATTGCCTTTGTGCTATTGGACTTCCTAGCCCCTAGAACTGTGAGAAATAAATTTCTTGGTAAATTACTCAATTTCTGTTCTGTTACAGCAGCAGAAAACAGACTAAGACATGACAAGAAAGAGTTAATTCTTTCAAGTAAGTGCCTCAGGTACACTCTGGGAAAATATGACTGAATGAGTTACTGCTCAGCCTAAAATTAAACTCCTGGCTTCTTGTCTTGCATATGAACTATTAGGTCGCATTACTTTCCACTGATGGATCTATTTTTTTAATGAATTGAAAAAAGAATACCCAGTGGTTCCTTTTGTGTGAAGAAAATAAGAAAAATATTAGCCAGGAAAGGTCATTTTGGTTTCCAATATGTGGGGAGTTCATTATGATGAGTTCTGATGAATTATATTGTGTAGTTCTTTCTGATAGCAGAAGGTCACATCATGCCGTTGGGTGGACGTAAGGACAAACACACTTAATAAAGTTGGAGGATCTGGGAGATGAACATTTTCAAGTTGTTTTTTCTGAGCAACTTGTGTTTATACAGCTATTTAAAGCCATTTCTCTCTTGTTGAACTAATTACTCAAGGCCCATACTCTCTTACATGCAGCCCCAAAGTGGTGAGTCTTCAAATTTATCACCGAAAGTGTTCTCTAATCAAACTTGTGGAATTATCTTTGGGTTATCTAAGAGAAAAATCTCAGTTGTGCTTGGTGGTGGATTCTTAATTGGTTCTACAGGATTCTAAAGTAATTAGACTTCATTTCAAAAATCATTTTTATGTTATATTTGCAACTTGAATATTTATTAACACATATCATAATTTTTCTCTGATCTTTACCACTGGGAGGGATGTATTTAACTTAGCATCTTTACAAATGGTATAGTTTCATGTTCTGTTTTTTTCTTAAGATGTGTTTGCTTTAGGGTCATCTGAGTCCTTTTACAAATGTGTTCACTAAGTAGAAAAATCCTTTTAGGTTTATGCGTTGAGGGAATGTCAACTACAGTATTCACAAGTGTTCTTTATATTTTGGTATGGTGGATTATATTGGAAACACTTTTTCTCTTGGTGTCCTATTAATATTTTTTCAAAAAGCAACCTCATAGATTGTCTAGCATCATCTTCAGGCTTATGTCACACAAATCCAGGAATTCAGATCTTCGTGCTGGCTTTTCCACTGCTCCATGGGCTTGGGCAAATTGCATGTCTTGGGAATGCATTATCTCTAACTTCCATTTTTCCTGATGGTCAATGAAATGGGAGAGTGAAATTTGTGCATTTCAAATGATTTGGGACCCTCTGTTAAATTTTGAATACCCTTCCTGCTGCAGAAAGTTCTTTACAACTATGTGGTGTTAACTAATATGTGGCTAATTAATGACTGTAGAATTCTATATCTTTTCCTCCCTAATAGTAGGACACCTTACAACTATGGATATGTTTGGCTGTCTGCCACTTGCCTGAAACTGCAGGTGTCATGGTTAAAAACCATTATTTTGCTACTGGAAATTAGTTTCATTTTAACATTAAAATGCTAATTGATTCCTTTTTTTTTTTTGGCCTTTTTAACATAGGTCTTCTGAGCTACGATAATTTTTTGGAACGGCAGAAATGATTGGTTCTAGCAACAGATGGGAATTTGGAGTCACTCTGAAATATATCCTGGAATAAGTGTGTTTGACTAGAACCACATCTTATGAGGTCCCCAAGGTAAGATTATTTTAACGTTCACCTGGACATGATATCTTTACAAAGTATTGAGAATTTAGCAAAAGTGAGTATCCTGGAGTTGATGATCCGTTTTAGAAGCCTGCTTTTACACTTTTTGGGAATTTGGGGAAATGTTGATTTTTTCATTTTAGCTTTCATCTGTGAAATGAAAATTATTTCAGTTTGCAAAATAGTACTTTGGTTTATTCAGTAGAGGAAAAAATGAAGAAATACAAATCTATTGCTGAAGAGCTTTCTGGCCCCAACCCTACCACTCTGCCCTGGCATTTCTCTGGGGGAATGGTTGTTGAGCTATTGTTAAGTGAATACTTGTTTTAGAGACAGGGAACTTATTGCTACTAACCCAGCAACTTGTTACATAGAATTGTCCACGTAAGAAGAAGATAGATTAGGGATCATTGCCCAGGATTTGGAATGTGTGCCCTTGAGACTTTTGATTTAAGGCATTTGTTGTTGGAATCCAACCAGGAAAACAGAAACCATTCTGCTGGCTTTTTCACTGCTCTGTGAGCTTGGGTAAATTGCATGTCTTGGGAATGAATTATCTCCAACTTCCATTTTTGTCCAGTGGGAAGTGAATTCAGGAGACTGGTTATACATATGATGGGAGAGTCAGAGAAACTGAGCGGAAGATACACAGGAAGCCACTGCCATCCCCTGGCTGGGAACCATGGAAGCAGTTAGACCGTGGGGAGGCAGTGCCTAGAAGAAGGAAACTAGAGTGGAAACTAGAACCACAGTGGACCCTTCTGGCAGGAACTGGAGCCATGGTGGAGAGATGGCCACCCCACAGATCCTGCCAAAGACAGAGAAGGCGGGGAGAAATGTCCTGGCCTATCCCTTTTCCTATTCTCCAGGCTCCAGCTGTTGCGTTTCCTTGACTGAACCCAGCCAGTAACCAGCTGACCTGGGAGCCTGGGAAATGCAGCCTAGAGGGCCCTCCAGCCCTCAATATAGGGGAAGCGGGAGGAATGGATCTGAAGGCAAGACAGGCCCAGGCTGTCATATAATTCATATATTTAAAATAAACTTTTGTTTCTTTTTAATAAACTTGTTTATTTTCATTTTATAATATCACTTTCATTACTGAAGAACATCCCATCTTGTGGCTGTGTCATAATTTGTTTAACCAGTCTCATACTGTTAAACATTTGGATCATCATTTTTTTTTGTCTTTCCCTCCCTGCCTCCCTGCCTGCCTGCCTGCCTGCCTTCTTTTTTTGAGACAGGGTCTCACTCTTTGCTCAGGCTGGAGTGTGGTGGTATAATCATAGCTCGCTCCTGCCTTGAATTCCTGGCCTCAAGCGTTCCTTCCACCTCGGTCTCCCAGTGTGCTGGGATTACAGGCATGAGCCACCATGCATGGCCAGATCATTTTCAATAGTATAAACAATAAAAAAAAGTCCCATACGTTGCTGGTTATTTCTTTAGGGTTAAATCCTATAAGTGATCTGCTGGATTGTAAACGTTTGACATACATGATCAAATTATCGATCAATTTATGGTTTTATCAAGTTAAACTCTTTCTCTTTGTATTAGAGATATTTCATTCAATTATTGCCAACAGTGGGACATTATTTTAAATATTTTAATTGCTTTCCTTTGAGTGTGGGTGGCATTGTGGTTTTGATGAGTTTCACATCTTTGATTAAATTACACCTGTAAGGCATAGATGAAGGGATTTCACAGGTGTTTTTAAGGTTTCACATACACTGAATTTAGTTAATCAAAAGAGAGACTATCCTGGGTGGGGCTGACCTAATCAGATAAGCCCTAAAAGGGGACTGAGCCTTTCCTGGAGGAAGAGATTCAAACCATGAAGGAGCACGTGCAGGGGCCATGTGGCAAAGACATGAAGGGCTTGAGAGCAGTTCCTGGTCAATAGCAAGAATACGGGGAATACAGAGAGTCCCAAGAAAATGGCTTTTGCCAACAACCTGAGAGCACTTGGAAGTGATCCTTCCCCAGTTGAGCCTCCAGATGAGGACACACCCAGCTGACACCTTGATTTTAGCCTGTGAGTTTCTGAGCAGAAGACCCAGCCAGAACATGCCAGACTCCTGACTTACAGAAACTGTGTGATAATATATCGGTGTTGTTTCAAACTGCTCCTGTCCAAGCTCTAACTAGGCCCGACCCTGCTTAGCTTCTGAGATCAGGTGGGTTGAGGGTAGTATGGCTATAGATTGTTGTTTTAAACTTCTAAGTTTGGTAATTTGCTTCAGACATTGCTAACATTCTAAACTTACACAGAAACATGGAGCCTCTCTGCTTTGAAGGGCCTTTCGTTTCTCAAAGCATGCCTTCCATCTCCACCTCAGTGTACACACATGAAGAGGACAGAAACTCTAGAAACAGCTTGAAAGGTGGCAAAGAAAATAATACGTGGATCTTACCTGAGTTCTAGATGCTATTATCAATCACATAATTTGGGGGAAGTCCAGAGGCTCAAATTCCGGTATTGGATGATTTATTTTTTGTTAATGTAACACTCTGTCTCACACATAATGTTTTAAAATTCCAGTTATTACCCCAATATCAGCTATCAATCTATTTGTTACAAAGGCTTATTCCTCTTACCCAAGGATCAGAAGTTCAAATGGCCACATGTAAATGAGTTGGGCTGGTTGGGCCCAAGGTACTGACTAGTGGGAGGGACTGTGGAGACCCTTCTAGGGGCAGCTGCGACCACGGCAGCCTGTTACTCCCATGTGGAAATGTGAGCCCGGGGATGCCAGGAATAATTTTTCAAGAGAATCTGGATTCTGATTTGCAATCTGGACATTGTATGTGTTGGCAACCAATTCAATTTCTTTCTTTTTTTTTTTTAAAGCACAGATCAAACAAAACACATTTGCAGGCTGGATCAGATACCCTGGCTTCCAGTTTGTCATAATTAGTGGCCCCAAAAGGGACAATTTCAAGGCATCACATAAATGAAAGATTAATTTTTTATTGCTGCATTGCAAATTACCCAACATAGCCGTTTAAAACCATTTTGAAACAGTTTAAAAGGGCAAAAAGAAGCCAGTGCTTTTTGTTGCCTTTAACACCAAGTTCTTCAAACATGATTGGCCTGGCTACTTAAAAAGCAGACCAAATCTCAAATCAATGAGCAATACACCCTTTAACAAGATCTATTTGACGGAATTGTGAGAGGTCACGGAGAGAGAATGTTGGCAGCAGAACATGTGTGTGCCTCGGCGTATGGTGTGGCATTCAATTCCCCTGAGGCTTTGATGTGTTTTCGTGGAGTAGGGGACTGGGACTTTCGTAGAGGCACTGCTAGGTTGCTGGGAGCTGGAGATGCTTCCTTATAGGACTTCCTTAGGGGTCTTGCCTATAGTGTGACTCAGGCAAGAAGCCAAACTCAGGTACCATGTTTTTATTGTCGGCCCATAAGTGTGTATACATTTGCATATATTAAACAGGGGTTTCTTTGATCCATTGTGGTAATAATAGATGCCATGAGGCATGTGTAAGGAAGAACCTATTAGCACCGGAATTTCAGATGCCAAATGCGGTGAGTTTTGCTTCAAAAGTTAATATAAAAAAAGCAAACAAAAAAAGTTAATCGAGTTCTATCTACTTAATTCCCTTCTGATGTTATAAAATGGCAGAAAGTTAGGCAGCTGGGAATAATGTTTTTGATATCTTCCTTTTTTTTACTCTTTTGTTTTAGAATAGACCATGCAACTGAATTGTCATGTGAACGGAATTGTTTTTGAGCAACTGTTTTGATACTGTCCATCATACGAAGTTAAATTTATTTTATATTCACCTGTATTTGCCCATACTCCTTCCCAAAGGAGGAGTTGAGATTGGTTTAATCAACTATGAACCTAGTCTTCCAGACCAGAAAGCCTTAGGGTACAGTCAGAGAAACCAGGAGAAAGTTCTTGGACCACATGTGCAAAATCTCCATGGATTCTTTCAGATCCAGAAAACATATATATTTTATTTGGATCTGGCTCTAAGTGTGTTGCTTTTACATCTCATGGTATAAAATAGAATAAAATCCCCATGCTCTATTAGGGTAACTCAGGCAACAACTTGCAGATTCATAAATAAGCTTCTCACTGATGCATAGTGCTAACTTGGAAAACTCTTAATTATCAAAGGTTTTTATTGAAAATTTAGTTAATGCTAAGTGCAAATAAGGTTTGATTGGTCTTCTGTTTTCTTGGGAGAAAGGAATTCCAGCTCCAGGGATCTGCCCCTGCTTTCTCCCGCCTTCCTAGAATGGTGCTTGCCAGGGAGTCTGGCCTTCCTCAGCCCTCACTGACTCCAGCCCTGCTTTTCCTCCAGGATGAGAGTCTGTGCTAAGTCAGTGTTGCTGTCGCACTGGCTCTTTCTAGCCTACGTGTTAATGGTGTGCTGTAAGCTGATGTCCGCCTCAAGCCAGCACCTCCGGGGACATGCAGGTAAGCCCTTTAAGCTCATTATGCACTGCTGAGATAATAAAACCCCTCCAAATGTCAGAGTCCACATTTTAGACACAGATAACTGATGTGAGCTTCTGATGGTGTGTAAATAACTAGAGGAAGCATGAAATATGGCGGAGTAACACAGTTTAATGGTTTAGTGCTTTAAGAGTCCTTTAAAAATATTTTTCAGGCTTTTAAAAACTTTTGTTTTCTTGGGCACACTTTTATTTTTATAGCAGTTTTTCTCAAGGAATCCCAGAAAACCATCAGCAATTTGTGTGGTTGGCGTGTGTGTGTGTGTGCATACATGTCAGTCCATCTGCCCATCCATCCATCCACTCCTGCAGCTTCCTTAGAAGTAGAACATCTTTATGATAAACTTAAACTAACACTTACAGGGCTTTAGTGAAGGGAATAGTCAGATAATTTAAGATCTTTTTGAGAGATGTGGAGAAAATATGCTACATGATTTTTTAAAAAAAGAAAAGAGAAAAAGCTGTGGTAACTTTTGTAAGGGACTTAAAATGGGTGTTGTCTAAAGATTTAGAGGCAGTCATTCTGATAACTTCTAGTGAGACTCATATCTCTGCATTGCTGATTTTTAAAGGCGAGATCAAAACCATCAGCTACCGATCAGTTTGTGTGTTTGTGTGTGTGTGTGTGTGTGTGTTTCTGTCCTTTCTTTCTTACATCAACATTTAAAGTGACACAGTGGAAACTCCCCAGCAAATTGTGTTTTCCTGAATAATTCATATGTGTCAATGGACTTGTTGTCAATTAATTTACTCTCTCAGCTTTGGTAATCTGAGGCGTGGCAGTGCCAGAAATGTTTTGACTTCTTTGGGAAAGAGTGATGCCTGAACCCTAAATCACGTATGGGTCAGAATTATAAATTCTGTCTCCAAAGGTCTTGTGTTTGGAAAGTTCATGAGATATTCTTACCACCAAATATATAACATGTCATACTTTCCACTTCGTTATTCTGATATTTTAAGGTTAGTCATAATTTAAGGCTCAAGATAATTTTTAAAATCTCACACAACTCAATTTTCCCTCCTCAAGTGACAGTTCCAAGAAGATGAGAAAAATAATGATTGAAGTTTCAGCAAATCAGCATAAAATCAATACCATTTGGCTGCTGTGAAGTGCCCACAGCTAGTTGGTTATTGTGCTGTGCCTATTTTTATGAGTTTGTTCACGAGGATAGTGTTTGAGGTCCTCAATCTTATCTCTTTTCTTGAGTGGAGTTTAAGAGTCAGATTAGTTGACAAGTGAAGCATTTCAGTAGGATTACCACCCACTCCCATTCATGCTATAAATTTTATCTAATGATCTTCAGGGAATGAAAGTCCATGATCCTTGCAATGTCCATGTGGCATTTTTGTCCCAGTTTAGTGCTCAGCTGATGGAGAACTCAGGATCACCAGAATTAATTGGGGCAGTGCACCGAGATCCTGAGAAACTCTGGTCAGATTTTCACTCTACTGTGGGTATATTATAGGAAGTCTGACAGCGGGAGCAAGTTGCAGAGTGTTATCTGCAAACGGCTGTGTCTGAGTGTCCAGAGAGGCTCCTGGCACTGTCCCATGGGCTTCATGGTTAGTGCTGGCCAATTAAAGAAATGATGGCACTAGGAAACCCTAGTTAGAAGTTGGATGCTTTTTATGGCTTGGATTAGAAGAGTGGATGTTGATTGCTGTGTGTAAACAAGGAGGTATTTTACAACCCTATCTCCACCTACCTGGCTAAGAGACACAGAAGAAAGGTGGGAATCTCCCCCCCAGTTTTGGCAGATGGGTGTTACGGTAGGTGTGTATCAGAGATGTAATTTTAGTTTAAGCATTAAAAAAACCAAAATGAAAACCCACCTAATTTTCACAGGTTGGGTGGTGAGACTCTTTCTTGAAGACAAATGGCATTAATACATTTCCACAGAATCCAGTAGTATTTTTAAGCAACTAAAAAACGCAAAAGACAGGTTTTGTTGTTTTTAAAGTCTATTTTCCATCATAATTGAGCAGGCAGGAGATCACATACACATATGGGACTGTGTAGCTTCAAGCTGTAGAAAAGGTGAAGGGGCCAATTGGCAGGTTCGTTTCTTTTAAAAGGAGGCCAGGGCTAACTCTTGTTATTTCTTCAACTAGCAATTTGTCCTTTTGTTCCTTTTTTTTTGGCTGTAAGCAGTGCCTTATTTCCCCACAAGAGGGTAGCAAATATGTTTTGTGCAGTGGAAAGATGCCTTCTGGAAGGAAGTTTCAGAAACTCAACTCCTGTGGAATTAAAGATTTAGGGATCTTCCTAGAAATTTCATCTGGTATAGACACGAGTAGTTGGGACACAAAGCATCTTACAACTTTAAGATTTATTCCTGTGAATACTAGGAGACTTCAAAAATTCAGATTTTTATCCTTTAAAGATGGAGTCATAGCTAGTTTTCTGATGGAGCTGAGAAAGTTGAGAACTTGGGTGCTATTGATTTATACGTTCACTTTAATAGTTCCATTTCCCTAGAGAACTTTGAATATAACCTGGACTGCACTATTTCAATTCCACAAAATGCTGTGGTGCTTGGTGACTATTTAATAAAATCTGTTGGCATAAAGTCCCTGGAAAAACTGGGGCACACCTGGAAATGAGGCAGGAAAGGAAATCAAATGTTGGGGGGTCTAAAGTCAAACCTAATTCTGGTTCTGGTACATCCTGGCTGTGTGGCCTTATCCAGGCCACTTAACCTCTCTGAACCTGTTTTATCATCTGTAAAAATGGAATGATATCCATGCCTATTTTATTTGGAGTTATTGGGATAACTAATAAGGAAAAATAGGTGAAGGGATTAGCACATAGTAAACATTCCATAAATGGCAGCTGTTTTCACATTTGGAGGCATCGAGAATGAGTGTGGAAAGGTTCGCATTCCAGGAACAGCTGAAGACTGTGAGCATGGGTAGGTAGATGTGGTCAGAGCCTTCAGGGTTTGAAGATTTCTCATGCATAAGAGAAAAAGGCTTGTTTTTTCATTGTTCTAGTAAGCTGACTGTGGCGAAGAAAGTTGCTCTATGAAGACTGAGGTTTCAGCTCAACCTTAAGGAGAGAAAGGCTTCAACAAGCTGGGGAACAGAGTGACCCAGAAGGGTGTTGAGAGCCCTTTTATTTGCTGGCCTTGACCTAAATCTGCTGTAGAGAGGATGTATCACTGATTGGGAAGTAGTTAGATGTCAAGAATTGTGAAGGGTCTGAGCTTTTACCCTCCTTGCAAGCTAACAGGTTAGCTGGTCATAGTTTCGTGGATGCTGGGCAGAAGGCATGAGATGCTTGGGTCAGAGACAAAAGATTTTACTTTATTTTAATTAATCAATTAATTTTTTGAGATGGAGTCTCCCTCTGTCACTTATGCTGGAGTGCAGTGGCGCAGTCTCGGCTCACTGCAACCTCTGCCTCCCAGGTTCAAGTGATTCTCCTGCCTCAGCCTCCTGAGTAGCTGGGGTTATAGGCGCCTACCACAGCGCCCAGCTAATTTTTGTATTTTTAGTAGAGGTGGGCTTTCCCCATGTTATCCAGGCTGGTCTCGAACTCCTGACCTCAAGTGATCCACCCACCTCGGCCTCCCAAAGTGCTGGGATTACAGGCCTGAGACACTGCGCCCGGCCCGAGACAAAAGATTTTATTACTCATGGCAGAGGAAGCAGCATGAGCTTCAGTTTTGCTTCAGTTCTTCTTTCATTCTTGGGCAAGTTATGAAACCTCTTCGGGACTCAGCCTCTTTCTATGTAAAATGAGAATAATAAAAATAATAAAAAATAAGTCTCACGGTTATAATAAGGAATCAATTAATACCTGGGAAATGCTGAGAACTGTGTTTGCTTAGTGAGTGCTCAAATGCTAGTTATCCTTATTTAGAGCTGTCTTCTTCTTTTGAATGTTATCTGTTTTGTAGAGGTTCTGTACTGTTCAAATTTATGGAAATTTAGGTTTTCTGTTTTTTTTTCTGTTATAAATGATTATGCAAAATATGCATGTTGTGATTGTGTGTTTTGGTGGTTTATGTTATTTTTAACTTAGGGTAAATTTTTTGAAGAGCAGTTGTTGCATCCAAGTTTGATCCCATGTTTTCTGTCCCCTATGATGGCTGAAATTTATAGGAACCCTGCAAATACTCTTGACTAAATAGCATACGCTGTTTTAGTTCTAATTTTCTACAATAAACCTGGTAATTTCAAAAATACTAACTGAGTGGGGAATATAACATCTACTACAGGAGTCTCTCTGAGGCTTAAATTTGAGATAACATTTGTGAAAATGATAAAATTGTATGTACAGGCGGCTATACTTGTACTTTGCCGGCAGAAATGAATTGTACTTAACACAGATGCGTTTGAAAAATGATTTGCCTGCATTGCCTAAGTTCTGACACTAGGGGGTAGGCAAGGCTTATCATAGCTAAATAGAGCCACATGTAATTTTGCATGTTATAAAGCTGCGCTGAAAAAAGTAAAAGGCAACAGAGGAAATTAATTTCACTAACACATTTTATTTAACCCAATATATTCAAAATATTATCATTTTAACATGTGACCCTAGCCACGTTTCAAGTGCTCAATAGTCACATGTGGTTAGAGCCTACTATGATAAGTCCCATGAACTAATAATGAGTTAGGTCTTAATGTTGCTTTTTTAAAGATTGGAATTATGGGTTATTTTAATTTTCATGGGTCAGTCATAGAGCACATTGTTTTATCTCTCTTTATTTCACTTAATTTCTTTTATGTTTTATTTAGTTATTTAGTTCTCTCTCTCTTTTTTTTTTTTAAAACAAATGACTACTAAATTTAGAAAAAGTACCAGGTAAGTGGGATTCGTAACCTCAAGTAATAAAGAATGGGGAAGAGTTCTGTTTCCTGATGAATAGCTTATGCTGTTATTCTCTGCAAGAGCATATTTTTAGGGAGAGGGAAGTGGCAAAAGTAATTTGACAGTGTGTGTGTGTTTATGCATGTGATATCAACCATTAAGTCTTAAAGTTACCCACTAGCAAACTTATTTTGATCAATAATGAGCACTTACCCACTGGGGTAAGTGAAACCTGATGATACCATTTTAATATGGTTTCTCCTGTACTTTTCTCTATCTTCCTTCTTCCTGTCCCACTTCCAGTGAATGGTTATTTCAGTAAATCTATGGATGTATTGCTATGCAGGCAACTCCACAATAGCATACACTATTTTATGAGCAAGAAAAAGAAAAGACTGTGGAATGGTTTAAAGGTCCTATGTTTTGGTAGCAATGGAAAAAGGCATCCATAAGATAGTGGTTACTTTATTCTCTCCCTGGGGAGCTTTTGCACGAAAAACACAGAGGGCCCACTGCAGCGAGATTCCATCTGAACCTTACAAAGTAGAGTGCAGGCACCTGTATTATTTAACAACCGTACTATTGATTACTCAGACCTGCAGCCAAAGATGAGAACAAATGATTCAGAAGTTAAAAAAAAAAAAAAACTGGAAGTTTGACTCTAGCTCCTATCAAGGTACAGTTTGATGTGGGTGGTGATGTCTCCATTTCAGTCTTGCTATGACATAGTTAGGCTGAGGAGAGTTGTCACCCTGTCAAGGTGACCTCCATTTCCACCTCTTGGGAAGGACTGTGAAAATACTTACTCATTTTGTACCAGCTCAGCTTTTTGAATGCTAAAAGCTTCCATGGTGAGGGATTCCACTAGCCTCCGTTGTACCCCATATTATATTTCTTCAGTGCCATCTTGATGGGCTCAGCTTTTAATAAGAAGGGAAAGGAACACATTATATGCAGTGTTCATATTTGGCTTCTTCTCACCTCCTCAGCTGCAAGTTCAAGTCCCAGTGCCACTGGCAAGTTCAGCTTTGTGAAATGTCTGACAAATGAGCATGCTTTACATCCTTTGTGTGTGTGTGTGTGTGTGTGTGTAAAGAAAGGGTTGTATTACTGACGGGAGTAAAGAATTTCAGTTCCTCAAATGAGCTTGTGAGCCATCCTACTTGGCAGAGTAGGCTTTTTCACCCTTCCCTCTTTGAGTCTTTAGGGCAGAACAGGCAACTGTCTTTGAAGAGTTCCTCGGGTAGTTTGGGAAAAGATTCTCCTTACCCTTGAGAAGAAATTTCCCTTTTTCTTCTTTCAAGCCACGGCCTTAGACTCATCTAAACAAAGCCTACAATTTGGGGTTTAAAAAGCTACAGGTCAATACCTCATCTGTATGCCAGTGCTATACGAGGAAATTGGAATCATTTGTTCCCTATAAGGAAAATAAAATCATTGGTAAAAAGAAACAGCAGGGGTAGAGACGGGGCAGGAAGAAAAATGACGTTTTGTATTTTCCTAGGTGTTGCTTGGATGCTTTAAATATTTTGGTCCATATGGTAGTCTCAGAATAGAACACTGGAAATAATATTTTTGAAGGGACATTTAAAAACCCATTACAAAGGATTGATTGTGAGAAGACTGTGTTTGCAAGAGTTAAAAACAATTTGACTACTAAGGCCAAGTACCATCAATGCTTATATTTTAGGGTATGTCTGAAATCAGATAAGAACTATAACTAAGTCCGACAGGGTTAGAAGGGCCTGAGATTGTTGGGTGTCTCCAACTGGGCTCTGTTTTTTTCTTAGCTGTTGGGGATTGGGTAATGGGATCCTAGAAGCAGAGAGGGAACAATAGAGAAATTTGTTTCAGGAAAAATATAATATAGGCATGAAATGAAAGAAGTGAATAGCAACAGTGTTGTTAGCAGCAGGCAATTTTTCAGTAGCTCATCACTGACATTGCACAGCTACCTGGGAAAGGGCTGGGAATAAATACCAGCCATCCAAGGGTGTGGGAGATTTCAGCAATCCGAACTTGGTTGTGCATAAAGGAGTCAAGAGGTGTGTCTTCTTCCCCAAAGTCAAACAGTTACAGATTTTGGAAAAGTCTCCTTTGCTCTGGAAAGTCTTATTTGTTGTTTAGAAAGCATTTGCAAGAAATAGTGGGAGGCTTGTCTTTCAAGTGGCACTTTCAAAGGCTGGTTGGATTTGAGCTAGAGAAATGAACATGTGAACATGTTGCTGTTTTCTGCCCTCCCTGCAAGTGTCCTGTGGTCATTTTACAGGCTTTTCAAGTAAGTGTTGCCCCGTGGAGGACAGTGATTTCTAACTATGCATAGTCTATATGTTTGAGCTGTTGCCGGCTAAACATATCCAATAGGAAATAATACCCAAATTGAAAGGGAGAGAGCAGCTATTAATATGAATTACTTGTCTAGTTAGTTGCTTTCAGGATACCATCTAGAAATTGGAAACATTCACAGAATGGCTAGGTCAGCATTTTTCTGGCCCAGGGTGTGTGTGTGTGTGTGTGTGTGTGTGTGTGTGTGTGTGTATGTCTGCGTGTGTCTGTCTGTTGTGTGTGTGTCTGTGTCTGTTTCTATTTGTCTTCTCCTGGAAAACAAGTATGACGTTGTTTGATCTCTCCAGGTGAGAGCAAGGTTGTTAGCCTCTCCTACCTTATGTTGTACTGATCTGGAATTTGTTTTCTAATGAGCCTGATGCATGCCTCATAGGTGTGTGACACATCAGAACCTGGATTGTTTCTATAAGTCACTGAGACCTAAGTTTGAACCCTACTAATTTTAGAATTTGTAATGGAATGTGTGATGAAAGATCAGCCTTGAGATGATACGGCTGATATTTACCCATGCTGTCTATGAAAAGGGATTTGCTAAGCAAATAAATGGTGTAAATATATTTACCAAGGAGCTGTTCACGTTATCTTAAAAAATCGTCAAGTGCTTTGGAAGCATTTATTTAACATGAAGTCAAAATGCTTGTGCCTTCTCTCTGCAAAGTCCTACCTATGTGACCCTGGGCAAAGTTATTTAATCTCTCTGAGCCTCAGTTTCTTCTTCCTGGAAGTGAGTATTACAACATCCCCTACCTAAAAGTATTTTTGTGACATGAAATGAGACAATTTATCTAAAGAGCTTGGTATTATGTCTGGAATTTAATGCATTTTCTTATTTATTATTGCTACATAATAGTTGTGCATATCTTTGGGGTACATGTGATATTTTGATACATATATACAATGTGTAATGATCAAACCAGGACAGTTGCAACATCGATCACCCCAAACATTCACCCTTTCTTTATGTTGGGAATATTGTGATTCCTCTTCTCTAGCTATTTTGAACTAAAACTAAATTATTGTTAACTATAGTTACCGTACCATACTATTGAACACTACCTCATATTTCTTCTCTCTAACTGCATTTTTTTAAACTATTAACCTCTGTTCATCTCTCCCTCCTCCCAACCCTTCCTAGCCCCTGGTAACCACCAATCAACTTTCTACCAGTATGAAATCTACTTTTCTAAGCTCTCACATATGAATGAGAGCATGCAGTATTTATTCTGTGCCTGGCTTATTTCAGTTAACATAATGACCTTCAGTTACATCCGTATTGCTGCAAATGACAGGATTTTATTCTTTTTTATGACTGAATAATATTCCATTATATATATATATGTACCACATTTGCTTTATCCATTCATCCAGTGATGGACACTTACGTTGTTCCCATATCTTGGCTGCTGTAAATATGGCTGCAATAAACATGGGAGTATAGTTATCTCCTTGATATTCTGGTTTCCTTTCTTCTGGATAGATATCCAGCAATGGGATTGCTGGATCATTTGGTCCTTTTAGTTTTAGTTTTTGAAGGACCACTGTATTGTTTTCCACAGTGGCTGTACTAATCTACATTCCCCCAATGATGTATGAGTGTTCTCCTTTCTCCACATTCTTGCCAGCATCTGTTATTTTTTGTCTTTTTGATAAAAACCATTTTGACTGGGGTGAGATGATATCTCAGTGTGGTTTTGACTTGCATTTCCCTGTTGATTAGTGATGCTGAGCATTTTTTCATATACCTGTTGGTCATTTGTATGTCTTCTTTTGAGAAATGTTTATTCAACTCTTTTGCCCATTTTAAAACTGGATGGTTTTTATTTTTTGCTGTTAAGTTGTTTGAGTTCCTTATATATGCTGCTTATTAATTGATTGTTGGATGGATAGTTTGCAAATATTTTTGGCCTTTTCATAGGTTATCTTTTCACTTTGCCGATTGCTTCCTTTGCAATGCAGAAAATTTTTGCTTTTGTGACCTGTGCTTTCAAAGTCTTACTAAAAAAATTTTTGCCCGGACCAATGTCTTGAAGCATTTCCCCAGTTTTTGCTTCTAATAGTTTCATAGTTTCAGGTGTTAGACTTAAGTCTTTACTCCATTTTGATTTGATTTTTGTATATAGTGAGCGATAGGGGTCTAGCTTTGTTCTTCTGCATATGGTTTTTCAGTTTTCCCAGCACCATTTTTTGAAGAGACTGTCCTTTCCCCAATATAGGTTCTTGGTGTCTTTGTCAAAAATGAGTTGGTATTGTAAATAGTGCTGCAATAAACATTCGTGTGCATGTGTCTTTACAGTAGAATGATTTATAATCATTTGGGTATATACTCAGTAATGGGATTGCTGGGTCAAATGGTATTTCTGGTTCTAGATCCTTGAGGAATTGCCACACTGTCTTCCACAATAGTTGAACTAATTTACACTCCCACCAACAGTGTAAAAGCATTCCCATTTCTCCACATCCTCTACCGCATCTGTTGTTTCCTGACTTTTTAATGATCGCCATTCTAACTGGCATGAGATTTTGGAACCAACCCAAATACCCATCAGTGATAG
This sequence comes from Homo sapiens, assembly GCF_000001405.40. NCBI lineage: Eukaryota > Metazoa > Chordata > Mammalia > Primates > Hominidae > Homo > Homo sapiens. The sequence goes on along the minus strand of NC_000003.12, from coordinate 68,870,977 downwards.
ACTGGATAAAGAAAATGTGGCATGTATACACCATGGAATACTATGCAGCCATAAAAAAGAATGAGTTCATGTCCTTTGCAGGGACATGGATGAAGCTGGAAACCATCATTCTCAGCAAACTAACACAGGAACAGAAAACCAAACACTGCATGTTCTCACTCATAAGTGGGAGTTGAACAATGAGAACACATTGATACAGGAAGGGAAACATCACACATCAGGGCCTGTCGGGTGGGGAGCAAGGGGAGGGAGAGTATTAGGACAAATACCCAATGCATGCCGGGCTTAAAACCTAGACGGTTGGCTGATAGATGCAGCAAACCACCATGGCACATGTATACCTATGTAACAAACCTGCACATTCTGCACATGTATCCCAGAACTTTAAAGTAAAATAAAAATTAAAAAAATGAGTTGGCTGTAAATGTGTGGATTTATTTCTGGGTTCTGTATTCTGTTCCACTGCTCTATGTGTCTGTTTTTATGCTAGTACCATGCTGTTTTAATTACTATGGCTTTGTAGTATATTTTGAAGTCAAGTAGTGTGATGCCTCCAGCTTTGTTCTTTTTGTCCAGTTCGGATTGTTTTGGTTATTTTGGGTCTTTTATGGCTCCACATGAATTTTTGCATTGTTTTTTCAAGTTTTGTGAAGAATGTTACTGGTTTTTGATAGAGATTGCATTGAATCTATAGACCACTTTGGGTAGTATTGACATTTTAACAATATTAATTCTTCTAACCCATGAGTATAGGCGTGTTTCTTTTTTTGTGTGTCTTCTTCATTGACTTTCATCAATGTTTAATAGTTTTCTTTGTAGAGATTTTTTGCATCTCTGGTTTAATTTATTTCTAGGTATTTTATATTCCTTGTGTCTATTGTAAATGATGTTGGTGCCTTGATTACTTTTTCAGATTCTTTGCATATAAATGCTATGGATTTTTATATGTTAATTTTGTATCCTGCAACTTTACTGAATTCACTTATCAGTTCTCAGTGTTTTTTGTTGGAATCTTTAGGCTTTTCTAAATGTAATGTCATGTCATCTATGAACAAGAATGATTTGTCTTCTTCCTTTCCAATTTGGATGCCCTTTATTTCTTTCTCTTGTCTAATTGCTGTGGCTAGAACTTCAAATGTTATGTTGAAAAAAAGTGGTAAATTTGTGCATCCTTGTCTTATTCCAGATCTTAGAGAAATGTCTTTCAATTTCCCCCCAAGCAGTATGTTAGCTGTGGGTTTGTTACGTATGGCCATTTTTGTTTTGAGGTGTGTTCCTTCTGTACCCAATTTGTTGAGAGTTTTTATCATAAAAGAATGTTGAATTGTGTTGAATCCTTTTAAAACATCTGTGGAAATGATCGTATGGTTTTTGTCCTTGATTCTGTTAATCTGATGTATCATGTTTATTGATTTGCATATGTTGAACCATCTTTGCATCCCTGGGATGACATTGATTATTTGATCATGGTGAATGATCTTTTTATTGTGTCATTGAATTTGTTTTCCAGTGTTTTGTTGAGGACGTTTACATCTGTGTTCATCAGGGATATTGGCTTGTAGTTTTCTTTTCATTGTGTCCTTATCTGGTTTTGGTGTAAGGGCAATGCTGGCCTTGTAGAGTGAATTTGCACATATTACCTCTTCTTCATTTTTTTGAATAGTTTGAGTATAATTGGTGTTATAAGTAGTTCTTTAAATATTTGGTGGAATTCAGCAGTGAAGCCATCATGTCCTGGGCTTTTCTTTGATGGGAGATGCTTTATGACTGCCTTAATCTCATTATTTGTTATTGATCTGTTTGAGTTTTCTATTTCTTCCTGGTTTAATCTTGGCAGGTTGTATGTGTCCAGGAATTTATTCATTTCTTTTAGCTTTTCGAATTTGTTGGCATATAGCTGTTGATGATCCATTGAATTTCTGTGGTATCAGTTGTTATGTGTTCTTTTTTTTCTTTCTGATTATATTTATTTGGGTCTTCCCTCTTTTTATTCTTAGTCTAGCTAAACGTTTTTCAATTTTTTTATCTCTGCAAAAAAACAACTTTTTGTTAATCTTTTGTATTTTTTAAAGTTTCAATTTCATTATTTCTGCTCTGGTATTATTTCATTCCTTCTACTAATTTTGGATTTGGTTGGTTGTCTTCTAGTTTACTGAGATGTATCATTGTTTATTTGAACTTGTTCTACTCTTTTGAAGTAGGCATTTATTGCTATAATCTTCACTTTTAATGCTGCTTTTTCTGTATCCCATAGATTTTGGGATGTTTGTTTACATTTTCATTCCTTTCATGAATTTTTAAATTTCCTTCTTGCTTCATTTTCCCATTGATCATTTAAGAACATGTTGTTTAATTTCCATGTGCTTGTATAGTTTCCAAAGTTCTTATTACTGATTTCTACGTTTATTCCAATGTGGTCAGAAAAAAATACTTGATATCATTTTTAGTTTTTTGAATTTGTTGAGACTTGTTTTGTCACTCAACATGTGACCTGTCCTGGAGAATGTTCCATATGCTGATGAGAAGAAGGTGTATTTTGCAGCAGCTGGATGAAATGTTCTGTAAATGTCAGGTCCATTTTGTCTAGAGTGTAGTTTAACTCTGATGTTTCTTTGTTGATTTTTCTGTCTGGATGATCTGTACATTATATATATATTTGGGTGCATATATATTTACAGTTGTTATATCCTCTTGCTGAATTCACCCCTTTATCGTTATATAGTGAACCTCTTTGTCTCTTTTACAACCTTTGACTTGAAGCCTATAACTGGTATAAGGTTAGCTACTCCTGCTCTTTTCTCATTTCCATTTGCATGGAATAGCTTTCCTTCCTTTCACTTTCAGTCTATGTGTGTCTTTATAGGTGAAGTGAATTTCTTGTAGGCAGCTTATAGTTGGGTTGTGTTTTTCAAAAATCTACTCAGCCACTCTATGTCTTTTAGTTGGAGAATTTAGTCAATTTACATTCAAGGTTGTTATTGGATATGGAAGTACTTACCACTGTCATATTGTTATTTTCTGGTTGTTTTGTGACTCCTCTCTTTCTTCCTTTGTTACTGTCTTCTTCCTCTGTGGCTATGTGATTTTTTTCTCTGGTAATATGTTTTAATTTGTTGCTTTTCATTGTTATTGTATCTATTATAGGTTTTTGCCTCGCAGGGTTTACCATGAGGCTTACAGAAAACTTCTTATAGATATAACAAGTTATTTTAAATAAACGATAAGTGATTACAAAGAAAAGAAACAAACAAATGAAAAACAAAAACCCTGCACTTTAACTTCATCCCTTCCACATTTTGACTTTTCGTTGTCTCAATTTTCATCTTTTAATATTGCCTATCCCTAATAAGTTGCTGTTGTCATTGTTACTTTTGATAGATTTGTCTTTTAGTTTTCATATTAGTGACATGAGTGGGTTACACACTGTAATTACAGTATTAGGATATTTTGAATTTATCTGTGTACTTACTTTAGCAGTTAGTTTGTTACCTTCAAATGTTTTCTTTTTGCACATTACTGTTTTTTTCTTTCAGATTGAAGAACTCCATTTAGCATTTCTTGTAAGACAAGTCTAGTAGTGCTGAATTCCCCCAGCTCTTGTTGTCTGGGAAAGACTTCATCTGTCCTTCATGTTTGAAAGAAAGCTTTTCTGGGTGCAGTATTCTTGGCTTATGGTTTTTTTCTTTAGCAGTTTGAATATGTTGTCCCATCTTTCCTGGCCTCTGTGGTTTCCATTGAGAAGTCTGTTGCCAGACGATTCAGAGCTCCTCAACATGTTATTAGCTGCTTTCCTCATGTTGCTTTTAGCATCCTCTCTTTTTCCTTGACCTTTGAGAGTTTGATTATTATCTGCTTTTTTGGTAGTCTTATTCGGGTTGGTTATATTTGGTGATCTCTGACATCCTTGTACCTGGATATTTATATCTTGCTCTAGGTTTGGAAATTTTTCTGTTATTATCTTTCAGAATAAGGTTGCTGCTACCCCTTGCTCTTTCTCAATTCCGTCTTAGACACCAGTGATTCTTAGATTTGTTCTTTCGAGGTAATTCCTCATATTCTGTAGGTGTCCTTTGTTCCTTTTCATTCTTTTTTTATTTTTTCTATTCTGACTGTATATTTTCAAACAGCCTGCTTTTGAGCTCACAGACTTTTTTCTGGTTTTATTCATTCTGCTATTGAGAACTTCTAATGCATTTTGTGGTCCAACACATGAATTTCTCAGTTCCAGGATTTGTTTTTTGTTGTTGTTGTTGTTCATCTGATACATTTCTGAGTTTTTTTTTTTGTGAGTTTGCAGAGTTTTTTTTTTTTTTTTTTTTTTTTTTTAGAACTGCTATTTTGAATCCTTGATCTGAGAGCTCACACATCACCATCTCATTAGGGTTCATCCCTGGCTGCTTGTTTTGTCTGCTTAGGGAGTTCATGATTCCTTGTTTGCTGTTATTTCTCGTGAATATATGTCTATTGCTTTGTATGGAAGAGTTAATTATTTATTTCTGTCTTTGCTCCCTGGCTTGTTTTGGTCTTTCTGGGGTATGTTTGCTTAGAGGTTCTTTGCAGTTGCCTGTTGAGTTCCCTTAATCCTAGATTGCTGCTTCCTTTTTGGCACTAGATGGTGCCTGAAGCCCAGATTTGCCTCTAATCTCACTAAGGTTCAGAGCTCTGCCAGTCTTGAAATGGGAGTGTGGGTCCCAATGGGAATATCCTGCCATGTGAGAAGTATAGCTAGGGGTTCATGCCCAGAAGAACTGTGGAATGTGCCTTCTACAGTGTGGTGCTGCTGAACAACCACTCTAGTTTGGCATCTTTTTTGGCTAAGATAAAGGGCTGAGTTTTGTGAGCTGAGGTCACTAGTCTTACATCCTCTATTTGTTTCTAGCACCCTCAGGGGATTTTCTCCCTACCGGCACTTGCTGTGTTTCCTGTGGGTTGAAGCAGGAATAGTTTCCCTGAACAAGAACCCAAGATGGTTTGGAAGCTGGCTGTCCACCTCAGTCTCACTTTTTTCCAGTGTAGAAATCATAAATCTGGGTGAATTTTTTTGCACATGGTGCTTGGCAGATTTGAGGGAGGTGCATTGCAGATAGAAAAGTCCATTTCTCTTACCATCTGTCTGGAGTTTTTCACCTGTCTGTGGTTTCAGGGAACATCTCAGCCTCAAATTTGAGCTCTAGCTGGTGTGGTAAGTGCCTATAGTTCTAGCTACTTTGGAAGCTGAGGCAGGAGGATCACTTGAGGACTGGAGTTTGAAGCAGCAGCACACTATGATTATGTCTATGTATAGCCACTGCATTCCAGACTGAGTGTATTCATCCATTTTCATACTGCTATGAAGCAATACCCAAGACAGGGTAATTTATAAAGAAAAAGAGGTTTAATCGACTCACAGTTCCACATGACTGGGGAGGCCTCACAATCATGGCAGAAGGCAAAGGAGGAGAAAAGGCATGTTTTACATGGTGGCAGGCAAAAGAGATGTGCCAGGAAACTGCCCTTTATAAAACCATCAGATCTCGTGAGACTTACTCACTATTGTGAAAACAGTACAGGGAAAAACCTGGCCCCATGATTCAATTGCCTTCCATCAGGTCCTCCCCATGACACATGGGGATTATGGGAACTACAATTCAGGATGAGATTTGGGTGGGGTCAAAGCCAAACCATATCACTGGGCAACATAGAGAAAGCCAGTGTTTAAAGAAAAATTAAAAAAAAAATAAATTGTGGGATATTACTGGTGATAATCTGAGTGCTGAATATTTGTTTTTGGTTTCTTGTGGAGTAGAATGAAGCCAGATTGCTTCTGCCATTGTCAATGCACATATTTTATTTTTGTTTTTTAACAGCTCTATTAAGGTATAACTGACATAAAATAAACTGCACAAATTTGAAAGTGTACACTTTGTTAAATTTTAACCTATTTACACCCATGAAACCATCTTAATAATAAAAGTAATGAATAAACCCTTCACCCCAAAAGTTTCCTTATACTCTTTTGTAATCAGCTCCTCTTTCCTTCCCACCATCCCTAGGCAACCACAGATTTTTTTTTGGTCACTGTAGATGAGTTTGCATTTTCTAGAATTTTGTTTGTGGAATCATCTTCTTTTTCATCTGGTTTCTTTCTGCATAATTGTTCTATGATTCTTCCATGTTGCTGCATATATATGGGTTCTTTTTTTAACTAAAACATTTTAAGTTGACACACAACCTCATTTCTTTTTATTGCTGAGTAGTATTCCATTATGTGCCACACGTTGTTTATCCATTCACTTGTTGATAAACACTTGGAGTTTTTCTAACTTTGGCTATCATAAATACAGCTGCTGTGAACATTTTGTACAAGTGTTACACAGACATATGGTTTCATTTTTCTTTGGTAACTACCTTGGGAGAAGAATGGCTGGTTCATATGGTAGGTGTATGTTTGACTTTTAAGAAACTGTTAAACATTTTTAAAGTGATGTACCGATGCGTGCTCACCAGCAGTGAATGAGAGTTTCAGTCCCTTCATATTCTTGCCAGCACTAAGTATTGTCTGTATCTTTAATTTTAGCCATTTTTAATAGGTGTGTGGTGATATCATATTGCAGATTTAATTTGCATGAACCTAATGGCTAATAATGTTGCACATCTTTCATTTGCTTGTCACCTGTCTATCTTCTTTGGTGAAGTGTGTTCAAATTATTTGGCCACTTTTTAAAGTCACATTGTTTGTTTTCTCAGTATTGAGTTTTGAGAGATCTTTTTATATTCTTGATATAATTCCTTTATCAAATAACCAAACTGCAAATATTTTCTCCCAGTATGTGGCTTATCTTTTCACTCTCTTAACAATGTTTTTTGAGGAGCAGAAGTTTTTATTTTGATAAAGTCCAATATACTAGTTTGTTCTTTTATGTATTTTACTTTCGGTGTCTTAGAAATATTTGTCCCAATCCGAGATCACACAGGTTGTTTTCTGTTTTCTTTGAGACAGTTTTTAGTTTTTGGCTTTATATTTAGGACTGTGATCCATTTTGAGTTAATTTTTGTATATAAAACATGTAATGCATTTTTAGTAGGTAAAAAAGTGCTCATTATACATTGTTCTCTTGTTACTTAGGTGAAGTTGCTGAGAATACTTGAAAGTAATAGATTTATTTTAAAATGCCTTAGGCATTTTAATAAGTCAGATTGGTATTCCCAGACTAATTAGTTTGAATTAGTGAATTAAAATAAAGGGTGTAATAATTTCAGCCATAGAGCTTTTCAGATAAGAATATTTTAAACAGATCACATCTGTGCAGCTCTGAATAATAAGAATATCAACCCAGAAGCTGGAAGACTGGCACTTCTTCCACAATAGTTGTGTAGACTATGAAAAATTACTACAACAAATTGTTTACTCTCTTGGTCTCAGTTTTTACAGCTGTTAGATGAAATTTTAAGTTCACAGCCTATAGACTTTGGACTATTAGGGATGGGGCAGATTCTTAAGAGTCCTCATGTCCATCTTGGGATGAATAATTGACTGGATTGGATAAAGTGTCTCTTGTCTATACATTTCTCATTTTCCAAGCATGTGTTGATGGCATTTTGATGGAAAAAATACAAATAGACTTAAAAGGACTTATGACTTCCTATCAATGGTGTATCATTTATGCATTTTTGAAATCGGTGTTTAAGAATGCAACTACTTTCTTACTGGAAATATACTGTGAGCTTTATCTTATTTTTCTATCTTTTTTTTGAGACAGGGTCTCACTCTGTCACCTAGGAGGCTGGAGTGCAGTGGTATGATCATAGCTCACTGCAACCCCCACCTTCCCGGGCTCAAGTGATCCTCCCACCTGAGCCTGTTGTGTAGCTAGCTGGGACTATGGGCACGTACCACCATGTCTGGCTAATTTTTTTTTTTTTTTTTTGTAGAGATGGGGTTTTCCTATGTTCCCCAGTCTGGTTTTGAACTCCTGCTCTCAAGCGATTGGTCAGCCTTGGACTCCCACAGTGCTGGGATTACAGGCATGAGCCACTGCGCCTGGCTCTTGAACTTTATTCTTACTAGTAAAATGTATTCTTACTCATTTTAGCTGGGGAACCTCCAGCAAAATGATTGTGTGTGTGTGTGTGTGTGTGTGTGAAAATTCTTTTAAGCTTGGAGGCTGAATGAGGCCATGATGTAACAAATTGCTTAGCAGTTGTGGCTAGTGGTGGTTTTAGTAGCACTGAGATAGATGTCAGTTTCCAGACATCTCAGACGGTACCAGCCCAAGGGGGTTTAAATGACTTGACTCTGCTCCCAGGCCCTTGACAGTGGTCCTCACCCTGCTCAATCATGCTGTTGATAGCTCAGAAGGTGGCAAGGGTGGTAGAGTGGTGCACATCACTATTGGAAATACGTTTGTAGTTCAGGCCTTCCTGAAGGGGTAGAAGAGGAATCTCTGTCGATGACTATCCCATGTTATGTGCTAAACTGGAAATGCTCAGGAACATGTTAATAAGCAGGTTAATTAGGCTAAAAAGAGACATCCTTGTGAGAACCATTATGTGGTATGCTGCTAAATGCTTGTTGGCACGAACAGCAACACATCTGTCTACCCGCAATCACCCTATAAGTGGCATTTATAAATTGCTTAGATTCTTAACTTGGAGTGTTTTAATGTAACCAGTTTCCTTTTCAGTCCTATGAATTTTGTTTTATGCACTTACAATATGTGTTTGGAGAAGAAGTTCATAGGTTTCACCATGGCATAAAAAAATGAAGAATTGCTGTGAGCGTTTGCAGGAAATCTTAGCCTACCTGCCTTTAGCAAGTCCCCTAACTTGTTAAGTGTCGGTGGTGGCCCAGACATCTAGTGGCATCATCAGAAAACTATTTCCCCACAGGGAAAGCGTGTGGTGGTCACTTGGGAAGCTGTCCTGTCATAACCTCAAGTTCACCAGCTTACCTATGTGGCTGAAAAAAAGGGAGAAGAGGAAAATATGCTCAGCAGGAGGCAGATGTGGAACAAGTTGCATAATATGGCAGTGTGGGGACCTGGAGCTTGCACGTGAATGATGTGGGGATATGTTATTGAAGGTTTTGTGGCAATATCCCCTCTCCCCAGCACTATGTCTAGTAAATCACATGTCCATTACCCACCTTCGTCTTCTCAGTGTGCATTTCCAGCCAGTGAGAATCCAATGACGGGTCACAGGAGGCTTGATTTTCCACTGCCTTCTACTTCCCTTTTCTCCCTGCTTGTGGAGTGAGAAGTAAGTGAATGTTTGAAGTCTTCCAAGGCTGTGGTATTTTTCCCTGAGGGTGTTGAGCTGGGCTGGGGGGGTTGGCTCACTCTGCTCTGGGGTGAATTCAACCATGTCGTCCTTTCTCTGTGTCCTCTGGCACAGGCAGCACCTTGGGTGCTTTGACTACATGGGTCCATGCATCTTTTGTGGTCTTTATTATAATATTATGTGAAGAAAATAATTTGTGTCTGTCTCCCTTCCTGGACAAGAGTTTCTAAAGGTTAGGGGCAGGTGTCTTGGTTTTGTTTCATAAGATGCCTGGCAAAAGAAGATTAAAAAACGAAAACTAACTGAATGAGAGAATATTGAATCAAACAGGACATTTTTCTTTCCTAAAGTAATTTTTCCTGCAGCCTGTCGTCTCAGCTTTTCATATACAAGTGGGAAGGTTTTTCCAAGTTAGTTTTTGGTAGTGAAGGATGTACTAAGATTCCAATTGCTGCAGAATACTTCACAGTGAACCCTCATCGCAGGTAACTTCTGGATTCCCTTAGCAATGGACACTTAGGTTGCTTCAGCTCCCCACTACCCCCGAGAGAAAGACAAATGGAAACAATGGCAACAACAAAAATGCTTTGGTGATCATCCATGTAAGTGTCCCTTTAGGAAACTGTTCAGGAATTTTCCTGGGATGTACAGATGGGAAGGATTGCTGAGTCGTGGGGGCGGGGGGGGGGTGCATATTTAACATCACAAAATGCTAACAGATGGCTGACCACAGTGACCATTCCACTTTAGAGTCCCAGAAACTGTGTGTGAGATTTCTTCTTTGAAAGGAAGAAATTTAAAGGCAAGTATTTTAGAAAATAATTTCTCTGCTTCACTTAGTTTTCGGGTCACAGCCCAATGATGATGTGATTTAGCTTATTGGGTTAGGGACCTACGTGTTAAAGAAGTAACGTGGACTTGAACTATCGTTTATTTGTATTTTAAAATCTTCATTTAATTTTTATTTTTAGCTTTGAAATGCATTTTTTTTGATTCTTGGAATTCATCTTCCATGAAATTTTTGAGTAGTGTATTTTAAATTAAGCTCAAAAACATAACTGCAACCCAGTAGCAATACATATAAGAGGTTTTCCATTCAAATTTACAAAAGCATTATTTGTTAGTAACAAAAATATAGAAGGGATTCAGTTTTCCTTTTAATCCAAAGTTTTTATTTTTAAAAGACCATTTACCAACATCCTACTTAGATAGTTCAACAGAGAGAGAGAGGAAAAGGAGCACTACCTAACTAAGATTATTATAGCTGCATCATCCAAGTTACCCAGTAGCTTGGTGGGTGGATATTTCAGAGTCCGCTGTGGTTTTAAATGTTTTCTTAGCAAATACATTCATTTGTATGCTAGATTTTTAATGTTTTATAGGTGAAAACCTAAAGAGTGACAATAGTGCACTTGATATTCATAACTAATAATTAAGTGAATAAACCCTTCTGTTCATTAGGTAGGTGCCATGTGGAACAAGCTTTCGCCTCATCAGTTTACTTTGTTTTCAGAGAAATTGATACACTAATGACACAATAATGGGAACATTTCAGCAGGTTACCAGGAACTATTTCAAGGGGAAAGGAAGTCGATAAACAATTACAAATTGACTCTGTCAAATTGTAATTTGACAGTTATAATTAACAATATCTTAGGTTAAAAAGCTCCAACACTAAGTTGGGACCTTAGGTCCTAAGGCCAACTCCCCAGTCTAAGATGTTCAGGAAAGGTCCCACTTCCTAAAATCTCAGGTACAATGGAGTACATGTTACTGAGAGTTGAACTATCTTGCAGAAGATTCTTTAAAACCACAGGATTCAAGGATCTTACCTAAATATTAGCCATACAATTTTAATTTTGTGGTATTCTAAGAAAACCTCTTGCTAGGCGTGCAATTGGTGGATATTCATTATTTGTGTTTGAAACACTGGATCCTCCTTTTATTAGCATTCTGGGTGTCCATACTGGTTGGTGAGCTCTGCTTGCCAAACCCGGGCCACAGCCTTAGTGCTGCTTTCCCTGCGTGGCATTCAGTTCAAGGTTGATGCATGGCTGAGAAGTTCTCAGCCTAAATTATTTCCATTATTTCCCAAGTCTCAGTCCATTAACCAACTTGGTCAAAAGGCCAGAAGAGAAATGGCATTCTCGAAATATTATTAGCATTTTGTGGTGAATGCTAACTACTGTACATTTACAGCTGATTAAGTTTTGCCCTCTCTATTTTATTATGGATTATGACAGGGATTTTGAGACTGAGTTCTGTTAAACAATAAACAGAACTAGCAAGGTCATTTTCTACCTGACCAAAGGAAAACTTCGCAGCAAGGAGACATGAATTAAGAAACAGGTTAAGTGTCTCAGGGGGAGGAAGGGATTCAAGTTTTTCAGAGCTGCTCAAGCAGATATTTGCAATGAAATGTGAATATTATCAATGATTTATTGTCAGTGATACATAATTTTTCCACAGAAAATTTGTTCAAGGCCTGGGTTGAAGCAAAGCTCTCAAAGTGGTGGCTGATAGGTAATGTAGGCCCACAGATATGTTTTGTTTGGCTCAGATTATGTTTAATAACTGTTTTTTGAATTGGTTGCATTGTGTGAAAATCACAAGATTTGACATAATAATCCTAAATTGGCACAACACTGAAATAATAACAGATTATTTCTTTTTTTTTTGTAGCAGTCCTCTGCAGCTGGCTTCTGGCTGCCCCCCAGCTCCCCACCCCAACTCTTGCAGATGGGACATTTTTCATTCTCTATGTCACCCTCAGGCCTGTCTCTGTCATTTACATTGACCCCTTGAAACTGCAAGTGAATTTGAGAACTTTGACTCAGATATTCCAGAATGAAGAAAAAAATAATTAGATTATATTTCAAATTTCAAGTTTCTTTGTCACCTTAGAACACAGTGGTTAAGAGTTTGGGCTCTAGGGTCAAAATAGCCAGGGATCAAGTGCTGGTTCTGCACAGACTAGCTGTGTGACGTTACACAGGTTACTTAACCTCTCTGAACACTAGTTTCCTCAGTTAAAAGGGGACAACAGTGTACCTACATTTTTATGTGTAGAATTCCACTTGCATCTATGTGAATGCATACGCCTTAAAGACACACACACACACACACACACACACACACACACGTCACTTGGAATAGTACCTAGTACATGCTAACCTGTCAAATATTTTTATATTCGGTTGAAAAAAAATTTTCAATTGGTCAAAAAGGAAAATTGGTAAGTAAAGTGATGATTTCTCTTCCTTTTCCCATCAATTGGGAAAAGCAAGTAACATTTTGCTTTACATAGACATTCATTAAAATAGGAGGTACACTGCGTTAACGGTGTTATTAATCTGCGTTCCAGCATTAATAACTACAAAAGAGAAGTTGTGTAAGCTGATGGATACTATTCTGTTCTTGATGTTTTTCATAGCAGAGAGACTTGAGGGGATGGTGCATGTAGAAAGGATGCCGTGCATTTCCACGATGCATTTGCTCATGAGTGAGCCTTCTTTCTTACGAGTGAATCACATGACTTCACTTGATCTTAGCCAAAAGGTGGAGAAGCGATGAATCAGATGACTTAAGTGCTGGCTCCCTGGCTCCACCTGGAAAGATGGCGACACTGCCATACTGATTGCTGAAGTGAGTGGCATCTGACAGTCCACAGAGGGGAGGAAAAGCAGGGCCACTCTCCCTGGAGACTTGATGTTTGACAAGCAGATGGAGAACCAGAAATCAGATTTAAATTACTGAATGATGGGATGAGATGGAGGTCAATTGGCCTGCTCTAGGCATTACAACCTCTCTGAACTAGAATCAGAGCTTAATATGTTGTATTTCTTCAGGTAATATGGCTCTCTCCCACCTCTTCTTTTCTTTGTTTTTTTTTCTTTTTGTTTTTTTTTTGTTTTGAATGATGTTAGTTTCCAAAGCTATTGAGTGCTAAAGCCATGTCCAGTGAAATCTTACATTCATTGGTCGGAACAGTCTTGAACACTTTGGAACAAATTATGTTTGTGATGGCCAGTGCTATGTCAGAGTGGTCTTCATCTCAGGACTTGTAACATTCAAGGAAAATTAATAACACTTTAATATATGTATATGTATTTACATTTCACAATGTATTTATACATGTATCTTTAGATAATGATAAATTAGTAAAGTATTCATGGTTTTAAAAAGCTGATTGTAATTTCAATGATTTGTAATCATTTTGATGGCAATTGAGAGCATTTTCTGGGTGATCAAAAGTTGCCATCCATTGGTCCTCATTACCTAACACCTAACATTATTTCCTGTTTATCTTCTTTTCAAATTATCTCCATCCTCTAGGGTACAGGCATTGTTTTTCTATGTTTGCAGTGCTCCATGTGTGCTTAATGTACTTAGCAAATCAGCAGGCCATGATAGTCCCTTATTAAGAGGAACTATTGTCCTTTAGACATGCTGCAGTATTTAACATTTGTGCCACCCAGATAGCTGCATGTTTTCAGAAAGCCTACATGACAACGTTTGGCAGTTTGCACAAATTGGGAGAAATCGTTAAATGCTGTTTTGAAAGGGAATCTGATTGCCACATTTCGAACATATAAGGATAACAAGAATGCTCAGGAAATTTAATTCAAGAAAAGTGTTTTAAACATGACAAGTTTAATAGTAATTATTATTTTAGTATTATTAACAGGCACTGGGTCAAATCCTCTACCCTGCGTGTTGTCCCATTTGACTTTATCCTTGATCCTGGAGGTCTGTTCTATTATCCTGTCATGTTTATGTTGAGGCTCAGACCCATTCTGTGTGTAACTCAAGGTCACCCAGCCAGCAGATGGTGGAGCTTGGATTCCAGGTGTACCCATTTTCTTCCAAAGCTTTATCCTTCCCCTCCATACAACAGTGCTGCTCCAGCGGTAGGTTTTGTTTCTGTGTTGTGGTTCCTACCTGCATGTCCCTGAGTAGGAGTGAGGTATAATTCTTGTTGTTATTCCTTCCATATGAATGTGGAAGCTATAACTTGGGTTGAGCGACTTTCCATGTAATCATTAGTGCTAGAAGCGAAAGTGGAACCTGTAATATCTGCTTTTTATCTCAAGGTTCCTGCCTCATTATCACTATTATGGAGCTAATTTAAAGATCACGTGAAGGTTGTTGTACCTATGGAGCCTGCTGAAGTTACCCCAAGAGGATGCCTAATGGGTTAAAAATACAGGCCAAGATGAAGACTGAAAGACTCTGGAAGTCTTTTCTAAGAGGGAATAGGTAAAGCGTTTGGGAATATAATCTTTGGAGAGTAATGTTGTATAAGCAACTGTGGTGCCTATCTTACACTTTTGTGCCATTTAGACGTGGAATTTCAGAATGGCATGCCTACTTTATTAATTTAAAAATGACACAAATAATAAAGCATTCTTATTTTAAAACATTTTGGAAAGTAGATAAAGTTGCCTTAGACCTCTCAATCTTCCTCTCCCGCCATGCTCCTACCTAGTTTTCTCCTCAGGGGTAACCACTACCCTGTTTGGATTGTTAATCAGTTAGGGTTGTGTTCATCTGCATGGAATCAACTGAGTAGTTTAACCAAATCAGCATGTTTTTTCCTTACACCACGGAGTCTGGGTGAGGGTAGTTGTACCAGCTCTGGACGGGTAGTCCAGAACTGGTACAAATATTAAGGATCCACACTCAATCTTCTTTTCTGCCTCACCATCTTAGTTTGGGAGTTTTGTTGTGGTGGGAACACAGCTCTTTAGTTTTAAATATCGTGTCTGCATTCCAGCAAGAAAGACAGGAAAGGGCAAAGGAAAACAGGTACACGGCAGTGAGCTTGGCTCTTTCTGTCAGGAGAATGGTACCTTTGTGGAAGTCACGCCCAGTGAAAGCTGACGGCATTCGGTGGTCAGAACAGGGTTACTTGACCACTTTGGAATGAATCATGTTTCTGCTTGCAGGGAAGATGGGGAGAAGGGATGTTGGGTTGGCATTTACCTGTGTCTGTTTATCTACTCAGTCATTTTCAGTGAATTTATATACACGTATATACATATATAGAAGTGTCTCTGTCTTTTAAGATACATGACGTCTACTCTAGATATTGTTCTACAACTTTTTTCCCCCCTACTTATCAGTTTGTCTTAGGGATCAAACGCTACGTCAGTACATGTTTATCAGTTTCATTCTTTTCAGCAGCGGCTGTTTTTCCATAGTATGTGTGTACTGTAGTGCATTTAACCCTTATTCTCTTGATGGGCATTTTGGGTTTGCTAAATTTTTACTATTATACAGAATGTTTGAAAGTACATTCTTATAACTGTTGTGGAATTAAATGAAAAGTTGACTCCCTGACATATGTTCTATGTTAGCAATTTATCTGGCTTCATTATTGAAACCAAATTGTCTTCCCATTATGTATAAAGTACAAGAATAAATCAAGGTGTTCTTACTATATACCAAAACTTTGCTGATTTTAACCACTTTGCATAGAAGTAATCTAGATTGTATTTTTTCTTTTTTGTAAATTAGAAGATACAGAACATAATTGAACTCTTTGGTGTTGGTTTAGAAACATTTAGTTTTGAGTTGAGTTGTATAAGCCAGCATAGTTCTGTTGTGACTTACATTTTTTATTTCTTACTTAGCTTTCATACAGTCATTTGTTACTTATCATTGTCATTGTTCTGGCCCCTAAGAGTTCCACTGTCCCCTATTATGATTTTTACTCTGCTATGGGTTTGGAACCAAGGGTGTTAGAATTATATGTTAACTAAGAGTGAACTGCTGTGTATCCAGACAGGTACAAGTGAAATATAGAGGCTTTGTGTTGGGAAGTTGTGATTGATTTTTGGAGAGCTCGGTAAAATATTTCTTTTCTGTTTTTCAAGTCTGTTTTCCAGAAGCGTAAGGTTGTTGGAAAGCACACCTCTGTGAAGGTAGAATTACTGTTCAACTGTCTTTGCAAATTGGTTAGGTAAAGAAACAAACAAATTAAAAAAACTAATAAAATACACAACCAGAGAGAAGAATGTATTAGAGGGTGCTTGGTGATTAAAAAAAAAAAAATAACAAAAACAAAACCAAGTCAAATGAGAGGCTAAGGCCACTCATCCAATTGGTAAGGCTTTAACCATATATTTGTTCTTTATTCTGTGGAACTGTATGACATTTCAAGACTCCTAAGACTTGGTGCTTGCCCAGAAAGGAGCTCAGATAACTCACAAGAGCAGCTGTGAACACACGGCCTTTTGACCATTAGTGAAAATGTATATGAATCTAGAACATTTTCCACATAGCTGATCATGTCACCTCCCCTGCTTGCAATCCTCTAGTGGCTCCCATAGTCCTTAGAATAAAGTCTGTAGTCATTTTCATGACCTCCAAGGCCCTGTGCAGCCTGAGTCCTGGCTCTATCCCTGATGTCGTCTGCCATTCTCTTCTTGTTCACCTTGTTTCAGCCACACGAGCCTTCCTGCTGTCAGAGAACATTCTCGTCTCAGGCCTGTGTTCCCTCCACCTGGAGCCCTCTTTCATGGTCATTCCTCCATTGCATTGAGAACTTGGCTTAAATGTAAATGTCATCTCTTTAGGTGTCTCCTCTTCCACCAAGTCACTCTCCCATACTCCTGCTTTATAATTCTTGATATAAATCATAATTATATGACATCCTATTATATTTTCATTTATTTTTCCAATGAAAATAATTATATTTTCATTTATTAGTTTCTCATTGAAAGAGGATTTTCCTAATTATATTCCCTGTGCTTCATACATAATAGGTGCTCAGTAAATATTTGCTGAATCACTGAATGAGTTTGAAAATATGACAGGCATCATGCCCTGTTTATTTCTGTATGCTCTGAGCCCAGGAATATGCTTAGCAATAATAATAACAGTAACAACTGAGACACAGCAGTTGAACAGCTAGCCAAAAGTCACACAGATAGTAAGTGGAGGATCCAGAATGCCTCCAACTTGGGGCCTTCTTACCTGCCCTTAGCTACCTTGTTGTGCCTTTCTTTGCCTCTAGCAGACAATCAGTAAATATTTATTACATTGAAATGAATAATTAATAAAGGGGGCATATTATGGAAAACAGATGGTAAGACACTGGAGGAAAATGTAGAAGGGTGCTAACTGTATTGTATAAATGAGAAGTAGGATAGGAATTAGCAAAGAGAGTGACCCAGGGAAGGGAGAGACCCATCCTCTCCTTCTTCCCAGACCTTCTTCAAAAGAGACATGGGACTTGCCTGGGTTTTAAGAACAAGTCTCTACCAGTAGGCAGAGAGGAGGAAAGGTAGGCATTTCGGGGAAAATTAATCAAAAATGATAAACCATGCATTTAAAATATTACTTAAAATAGATTTGAAGGTAAGGGAAGGAAGATAGATATTACGGAGTCACACTTTCCCATATTCAAAACACAACTGACTCATGTCTATTAACACTTGAAGATTTATTTTTAGAATACTAGCAGAGAAAAAAAAGTTTTTTTTCCTTAACTCTATAGTAGATAATAATAGTAATTAAAGCTAATAAAGATATAAACATTGTGACACTCTAAGTTTATATCTATCTGACATCATAAAGTATAATTTACTTATTCAGGAATCATTGCTTTGTACTTTATTACTCTGTTCTTGCAAATGATTCAAGTGAATCATAATTGAACCTTTGCATTTCTTGTTTAAGAACCCTCAGTTTTCCTGAGAAGAGAGAAGAGTTTATTAAGGAGGAATTACTTCAGAACACTATTGGGAAACATGTAAGATTTTAAATCCAAAAGGATTAACTAGTCTGATCTTGAATATGAGATGAGGTAGATGAGGTAGATTTTCTTTTTCTTTTCTTTTTTCTTTTTCCAGTGCTCACAGGATCCCAGGATTTCAGTCTCATTGGTTTGCTTTATTTATGTATTATTTTATTTTTAGTAGGTGACAATGCTAAGATAAGGGTGACATAATAATGTTTGGGAACTTTGTTAGTGAATTTCAATGACTAAGGATTTAAGGCTAGTAAATTGGAAAAGAAATTGATCATGGGTGTGTATTGACTTTTATGCTGAAGCTAAACTTGGCCAATTCAACTCAAAAGTTTTAATTGGGGTTTTGGGAGGCCTGGTAAATTACACCCCCTACCCTGGGTTCTCCATACCCTGAGTTGGTTGAGACAGTCATGGAGTCAGGCAGGTGGAGGTGAGTATATCACCTTACGCACTGTTGAAACAGGCTGCCTTTAGGTTTGCAGCCAAGGAGCCTCGCTAATGCTTCTCTCTGGAATTTGGTGGACTTTTATACCTAGTTGCTGGCAGAGCTAGGCAGCCACAGGCCTCCACACAGGAATAGGCCCCACTTGGCTCAGAACTGACCAAATACGAGTATGTTCTGGGAATGCAAGCCCCAGAGAGGGAGAAGAAAGTCCCAGGCTCAGTTTATCCTCCAAACTCATTAATTCTGTCAGCCACTCCTCCTTTAGATGCATGGTCCCTCCTAGCATTACATGGCACAAAAGAGTCCTCTCTCTCCAAACTTTGGTCCTACAGATCTCCTTCTTTCTGTATTGGCCTCCGTCAGTCTTGAGATGCAAGAGTCAGTGTGGACTCTTCATTTCTTCTCATCTTCATCACGTATCAGTTGTTAAGACTTCAGGTAGGGACTGTTAAAGTGTGGTCTTTGGCCACTTGCATCAGAATCACTGCGGAGCTGTTAAAACACATATTCCTGGGCTCCCACCCAGACAGATAGAGTCAGAGTCTCTTGGTGGGAGTCCAGGAATCTGTACTTTTAAGGAGCCCTCCTGGTCATCTGAGGCAAGCTAACCTTTGCTCACCCTTGTCCTATAGATCTGATCTCAATATTGTCTCCACAGTTCGTTTCCCTACATTGCTGGTGCCACCATCCCAGGATACAGCCTCATTGATCTCTCTCCCATTTTGTTTCCTCCTCTGGTCTTGTCTTCCTTTGATTCTTTCCCGCCTACTATAACCTTTCAATGAGTTTTGAAATTCTAGTTTCTAATCCTATTAGCTATCAGGTAATGGCAAGTTGTGCAATCTATGTCTGGGAGAGTGTGCATATTGATAGATTTGAGATGGTAATATTTGCCTAGCAAGTATTTAAAAACTTTATTTTCCTTAGGGAGGTCTTTCCTGGCTAAAATATCTCTCTCTTTTCACCCAGTTTCTACGGTCACCATGCTCTGTCCTTCATAGTAGCATAATTTGAATTTATGTTTATTATTTTTATTTTAAATTCTGGGGTACATGTGCAGGCATAGGTAAATGTGTGCCACGGTGGTTTGCTGCACCTATCAACCCATCACCTAGGTATTAAGTCCAGCATGCATTAGCTATTTTTCCTAATGTTCTCCCTCCCTACACTGCACCCCCCGACAGGTTCTAGTGTGTGTTGTTCCCCTCCCTATGTCCATGTAATTTCATTGTTTAGCTCCCACTTATAAGTGAGAACATGTGTTTGGTTTTCTGTTCCTGCATCAGTTTGCTGAGGATAATGGCTTCCAGCTCCATCCATGTCCCTGTAAAGGACATGATCTCATTCCTTTTTATAGTTGCATAGTATTCCATGGTGTATATATACCACATTTTCTTTATCCAGTCTATCATTGGTGGACATTGGGGTTGATTCCATGTTTTTGCTATTGTGAATAGTGCTGCAGTGAACATATGGGTACATATATCTTTGTAATAGAATAATTTATATTCCCTTGAGCATATACCCAGTCTACACAGTACCATTCAGTACATAGGCATGGGCAAAGATTTCATGACAAAATTACCAAAAGCAATGGCTACAAAAGCAAAAATTGACAAATGGGATCTATTTAAACTAAAAAGCTCCTGCACAGAAAAAGAAACTATCATCAGAGAGAACAGGCAACCTACAGAGTGAGAGAAAATTTTTGCAGTCTGTCCATCTGTCAAAGGTCTGATACCCAGAATCTACAAGGAACTTAAATAAATATACAAGAAAAAAAAAACCCTGTTAAAAATGGGCAAAGGACACGAACACTTCTCAAAAGAAAGCATTCTTGCAGCTAACAAACATGAAAAAAAGCTTGACATCACTGATCATTAGAGAAGTGCAAATCAAAAACTGCAGTGAGATAATATCTCACACCAGTCAGAATGGCAATTATTGAAAAGTAAAGAAACGGATGCCGGTGAGGTTGCAGAGATACAGGAATGCTTTTACACTGTTGGTGGGAGTGTAAATTAGTTCAACCATTGTGGAAGACAGTATTGTGATTCCTCTAAGATCTGGAACCAGAAATACCGTAATTTGAAATTTTCATGTTTTTATTTTACTTATTGTCTGTTTTGTCCCTCACTAAGACATATACTCCATGGGGATAGGGGCTATATTTTATTTACCTGCTGTGTCCCTTGTCCTGAGAACAGTGGTGTGTACATTGTGGATGCTTGGTAGTTATTGTTGAATGAATGAAAAGAAATGAGCAACTGAAACAATGCCTGGAGTCCTCAATTCCCTACCTTAGGCAATATTACTGTTGTATGATACCTACCCCTGAGTGTTTAGTATAAATGAGTTGCATTTATTTGAAGGTTTAAGAGCGCTTTGTGCGTCAGGTAGTATTTGAGGAAGAGGAGGGTATAGATTCTGGTTGTTTCATGGGAAAAGAGGCAATTTTGCAACTCAATGGTAAATGGCAACTGGCAAGCCAAAAACCTTGACTGTGGTAATCATTTCTCAATATGTACCTTTATCAAATCATCATGTTGTACATCTCAAATTTATACAGTTTTACTGTCAATTATACCTCAATAAAACTGCAAGAAAAAAAATCCTTCGAAGGACTGAAGAATGGGGCTGGCATGTGATTAGAGGAACCTGTTGAGGGCTGTTGAAGTTGAATGAATTTTCAGTAATGGATCCTTTGTGAGAGAAGAAACTGAGTAAGATACAATGTGAATGAAGGCTGGGGTTTTGTGAAAGGGCTGGTGTTCAGTGTTTCATTGCTATGTAAGCAACCACTCCAAAACTTCATGACTTAATGTTGTATTATACGTCATGATTATAGATTGGGAATTCTGGCAGACCTGGTTAGGTGGTGGTTCTCCACAGGGACTGGGTTGCTTGGTGATAGTCAGCTGACACCTGGGCTAGTCCGAAGGGTCCAAGATGGCTTTACTCATATTTCTGCTACCTTGTCAAGGACAGCTGGAATGCTGGGCTCAGCTGGGTGCCTCTGCTGATCTGTGTAGTCTTAGGGCCTCTCACAGAGTCTCTCCAGCAGGGTGACTGTACTTCTTGTTAGTGGCTCAAGATTCAAGAACAAGCATTCCAGAGCCAGGAATTGGAACCTGTTATCTCATGAAGCCTGGGCGATAAATGGGCACAGTGTCATGTCTGCCATATTCTATTAATGAAAACTTTCACAGAGCCCATTCAGATTCAAAGGAAGGGGGTATAAACCTCATGTCTTCATCAGAGAAGCATAGAAGAATTTGTGTCGATCTTAAATATGGCACAATGAATTACCACCTTTTACATCAATCTACTGGACAAAAAGAGTTTAAGAGATCTGAGAAGAAGGAAATATGTGTTATTAGGCAAGGATCTTACTGCTAGAAGAGACAAAGAAAAATATATCATGGAAAACTCTATATTTATCATTGTATTTTTATCAGGAAGAATTTTTTTTATTCCATTCTAGAAGGATAGCTCATGCTAGGTGTAGGAAATCTATTTATTTTAGGGAGAAATTTCAGAGGAGTGTGTTTATTTTTCTCGCTAGGTACATTTTTTTTTTTAAAGTTAGCATTCTCCTTGGTGAAGTATTCCAAAGAATGAAGTTTATTTCTGTTGGGTGAGCTGATGAGGTGGAAAGGAGACAGCCTGTCACTTTGCATGCACCAGGAGCTGTGCATGTTCCCACTCCAAGATGGTCATGCTGGAGGACATGGCAGAGGGGCTAGGGACTTTATTTTGGGGTAGGAAGTGGTGCAGGACAGATTTCTATTGCTCTCTGGAGTTGGCAACAGAAATTACTGTCTGAGCCACTGGTACTGGATGTGGGGAAAGTTAAAAGGGCATGGGGACTACTGGGAAGAAAGTAATGATATTAAATATGCTTGTCCATTTATACCTTTAATCCAAGTGCATGGTATCATTGCCACCAAGGTGAGTTGATCAACCATGGACCCTGGAAAGGCTGTAAAGTAGGTTGAAAAGGCTGCTGACAGTTTTTACTATATTGATTTAAGAATACCTCCTTCCTGGGGAAAAAGGCATATAGGTCACAGGAAACTCCAGTTATATCTTGTGTCTAAAGAACTAAAAAATGAAAGCAAGACCATCATTTTTTATTCGTTGATACATAGCTATCTGAGAGCAGAGAAGACACTCTCTGATTCATTGTCTCTCATCCCATGCCTAGCCTTAGAGCCATGTATGAGGTAGGACATCAGGAAATGCTGGACAGGTTAATTTCGTGTGTGTTCTACTTAAGTATGGAGAAGATAGATTCTCACAGGTGTTGCCAGGTGGTATAGTGTGACAGTTAATGTTGCAGGCACTGGAGTCAGACTCTGTATTCCAAGCTTGGTTCTGCTATTTAATAGCTGTGGAAACTCCTCAACTATAAAATGAAGATAATAATAGCATCTACCTTTTAATACATTTATGAGGATTAAATGCATTATTGTATGTAAAGTGGATATAGTAAATGCTACAAAAGTGATAGCTGTTAGCAGCAGTAATATTTATCTTTTTGAGAGCTGTTCTTAGCATTAGGTCTTGACGCAAAGTAGAAACTTGAAAATGTTTAATGAATGAATTCTGCATGGATTTATTTCACTTAACCTTTGGAGGGCATGTTCAAAGCAGGGATTGTCCACGAGGGTGGTAAATGTTTCTAAAGCATGCTATACACCTGAGAAATTTCCATGGATTTTATGACCAAGTGGTTTCACACCTTACCGTGTTCAAATCTGCTAATTTGTAACTGGTGGCCTTTAAAAAAAGTTCCTCTTGGACAGTGCACTCTGGCCCAGATACTGTGCTTTTCCCATGGTCTTCTCAACCTGCAGACCAGGAGATTCCCTCGGGTGCCTATGCCACCAGGGCCCTGGGTTTCAAGCACAAACTGGGCAGCCCTTTGGGTAGACACCGAGCTAACTGCAGGAGGTTTTTTCCATACTCCAGTGGCACCTGGAACATCAGTGAGAGAGAACCATTCACTACCCTGGAAAGGGGGCTAAGTGGTCTAGTTCAGTGGATCCCACCCCGACAGAGCCCAGCAAGCTAAAATCCACTGGCTTGAAATTCTTGCTGCCAGCACAGCAGTCTGAAGTTGACCTGGGATGCTCAAGCCTGGTGGCAGGAGGGGCATCCGTCATTACTGAGGCTTGAGTAGGTGGTTTTCCCCTAACAGTGTAAACAAAGTGGCCTGGATGTTCAAACTGGGCGGAGCCCACTGCAGCTCAGAAAAGCCACTGTAAGCAGACTTCCTCTCTAGATTCCTCCTCTCTGGGCAGGGCATCTCTGAAAGAAAGGCAGCAGACCAAGTCAGGGGCTTATAGATAAAACTTCCATCTTCCTGGGACAGATCACCTCGGGGAAGGGACAGCTGTGGGCACAGCTTCAGCAGATTTAAACTTTCCTGCCTGCTGGCTCTGAAGAGAGCAGCAGATCTACCAGCACAGTGCTTGAGCTTTGCTAAGGAACAGACTGCCTCCTCAACTGGGTCCCTGACCCCCATGCCTCCTGACTGGGAGACACCTCCCAGCAGGGGTCGACAGACATCTCATGCAGGAGAGCGGCTGGCATCTGGTGAGTGCCCCTCTGGGATGAAGCTTCCAGAGGAAGGAACAGGCAGCAATCTTTGCTGTTCTGCAGCCTCCACTGGTGATACCCAGGCAAACAGGGTCTGGAGCGGACCTCCAGCAAATTCCAGCAGACCTGCAGCAGAGGGGCCTGACTGTTAGAAGGAAAACTAGCAAACAAAGCAATAGCATCAACATCAACAAAAAGGACATCCACACAGAAAGCCCATCCAAAGGTCATGAACATCAAAGACCAATGGTAGATAAATCCACGAAGATGAGGAAAAAACCAGTGCAAAAAGGCTGAAAATTCCAAAAACCAGAATGCCTCTTCTCTTTCAAAGGATCACAACTCCTTGCCAGCAACGGAACAAAACTGGATGGAGAATGAGTTTGACGAGTTGACAGAAGTAGGCCTCAAAAGATGGGCAATAACAGACTCCTCCGAGCTAAAGGAGCATGTTCTAACACAATGCAAGGAAGACTAAGAACCTTGAAAAAAGGTTAGATGAATTGCTAACTAGAATAACCAGTTTGGAGAAGAACATA
Organism: Homo sapiens; assembly: GCF_000001405.40. Lineage (NCBI taxonomy): Eukaryota > Metazoa > Chordata > Mammalia > Primates > Hominidae > Homo > Homo sapiens. Next base: position 68,846,373 of record NC_000003.12, on the reverse strand, counting down.
AATGACCTGATGGAGCTGAAAAACACAGCACAAGAACTTCCTGAAGCGTACACAAGTATCAATAGCTGAATCAATCAAGCAGAAGAAAGGATATCAGAGATTGAAGATCAACTTAATGAAATAGAGCATGAAGACAAGATTAGAGGAAAAAGAGTGAAAAGGAACGAACAAAGCCTCCAAGAAATCTGGGACTATGTGAGAAGAACAAATCTACGTTTGATTGGTGTACCTGAAAGTGACAGGGTGAATGGAACCAAGCTGGAAAACACTCTTCAGAATATTATCCAGGAGAACTTCCCCAACCTAGCAAGACAGGCCACATTCAAATTCAGGAAATACAGAGAACACCACAAAGATACTCCTCAAGACGACCAACCCCAAGACACGTAATTGCCAGATTGACCAAGGTTGAAATGAAGGAAAAAATGTTAAGAGCATCCAGAGAGAAAGGTCGGGTTACCCACAAAGGGAAGACCATCAGACTAACAGCGGATCTCTCAGCAGAAACCCTACAATCCAGAAGAGAGTGGGGGCCAATATTCAACATCCTTAAAAGAATTTTCAACCCAGAATTTCACATCCAGCCAAACTAAGCTTCATAAGTGAAGGAGAAATGAAATCCTTTACAGACAAGCAAATGCTGAGAGATTTTATCACCACCAGGCCAGCCTTATAAGAGCTCCTGAAGGAAGCACTAAACATGGAAAGGAAAAACTGGTACCAGCCGCTGCATAAACATGCCAAATTGTAAAGACCATTGACACTATGAAGAAACTGCATCAACTAATGGGCAAAATAACCAGCTAGCATCATAATGACAGCATCAAATTCACACATAACAATATTAACCTTAAATGTAAATGGGCTAAAGGCCCCAATTAAAAGACAAAGACTGGCAAATTGGATAAAGAGTCAAGACCCATTGTTGTGCTGTATTCAGGAGACCCATCTCATGTGCAAAGGTTCAAAGGCTCAAAATAGGCTCAAAATAAAGGAATGGAAGAATACTTACCAAGTAAATGGAAAGCAAAAAAAAAGTAGGGGTTGCAATACTAGTCTCTGATAAAACAGACTTTAAACCAACAAAGATTAAAAAAAACACAAGGGCATTACATAATGGTAAAGGGATCAATGCAACAAGAAAAGCTAATTATCCTAAATATATATGAACCCACTGCAGGAACACCCAGATCCATAAAGCAGTTCTTAGAGACCTACAAAGAGACTTAGACTCCCACACAATAACAGCGGGAGACTTTAACACCCCACTGTCAATTTAGATTAACGAGACAACATTAACAAGGATATTCAGAACTTGAACTCAGCTCTGGACCAAGCGGACCTAGTAGATCTCTACAGAACGCTCCTCCCCAAATCAGCAGAATACACATTCTTCTCAGCACCACATTGCACTTATTCTAAAATTGATCACACAATTGGAAGTGAAACACTCCTCAGTAAATGCAAAAGAATGGAAATCATAACAAACATTCTCTCAGACCACAGTGCAATCAAATTAGAACTCAGGATTAAGAAACTCACTCAAAACCACGCAAATGCATGGAAACTGAACAGCCTGCTCCTGAATCACTCCTGGGTAAATAACAAAATTAAGGCAGAAATAAACAAGTTCTTTGAAACCGATGGGAACAAAGACACAACATTCCAGAATCTCTGGGACACAGCTAAAGCGATGTTCAGAGGGAAATTTATACCACTAAGTGCCCACAGGGGAAGGTAGGAAAGATCTAAAATCGACACCTAACATCACAATTAAAAGAACTAGAGAAGCGAGAGCAAACACATTCAAAAGCTAGCAGAAGGCAAGAAATAACTAAGATCAGAGCAGAACTGAAGGAGATAGAGACATGAAAAACCCTTCAAAAAAGTAGTGAATCCAGGAGCTGTTTTTTTTTTAAAGATTAACAAAATAGATAGACTACTAGCCAGACTAATAAAGAAGAAAAGAGGGAAGAATCAAATAGACACAATAAAAAGTGATAAAGGGGATATCACCACTGATCCCACAGAAATATAAACTACCATCAGAGAATACTATAAACACCTCTATGCAAATAAACTAGAAAATCTAGAAGAAATGGATAAATTCCTGGACACATACACCCTCCCAAGACTAAAACAGGAAGAAGTCGAATCCCTGAATAGACCAATAACAAGTTCTGAAATTGAGGCAGGAATTAATAGCCTACCAACCAAAAAAAGCTCAGGACCAGATGGATTCACTGCCAAATTCTACCAGAGGTACAAAGAGGAGCTGATACCATTCCTTCTGAAACTATTCCAAAAAATAGAAAAAGAGGGACTCCTCCCTAACTCATTTCATGAGGCCAGTGTCATCCTGATACCAAAACCTGGCAGAGACACAACAAAAAAAGAAAATTTCAGGCCATTATCCCTGATGGACACCGATGCGAAAATCCTCAATAAAATACTGGCAAACCAAATCCAGCAGCACATCAAAAAGCTAATTCACCACAATCAAGTTGGCTTCATCCCTGGGATGCAAGGCTGATTCAACATATGAAAATAAATAACTGTAATCCATCACTTAAACAGAACCAATGACAAAAACCACATGATTATCTCAATAGATGCAGAAAAGGCCTTTGATAAAATTCAACAGCACTTCGTGCTAAAAACTCTCAGTAAACTAGGTATTGGTGGACCGTATCTCAAAATAATAAGAGCTATTTATGACAGACCCACAGCCAATATCATGCTGAATGGCAAAACGTGGAAGCATTCCCCTTGAAAACTCGCACAAGACAGGGATGCCCTCTCTCACCACTCCTATTCAACATAATATAGGAAGTTCTGGCTGGGGCAATCAGGCAAGAGAAAGAAATAAAGGGTATTCAAATAGGGAGAAAGGAAGTCAGATTGTCTTTGCAGATGACATGATTGTCTATTTAGAAAACCCCATTGTCTCAGCCTAAAATCTCCTTAAGCTGATAATTCAGTAAAGTCTGAGGATACAAAATCAATGTGCAAAAATCACAGGCATTACTATACACCAATAATAGACAGAGAGCCAAATCATGAGTGAACTCCCATTCACAATTGCCTCAAAGGGAATAAAATACCTAGGAATATAACTTACAAGGGATGTGAAGGACGTCCTCATGGGGAACTACAAACCACTGCTCAAGGAAATAAGTGAGGACACAAATGGGAAAACATTCCATGCTCATGGATAGGAAGAATCAATATTGTGAAAATGGCCATACTGCCCAAAGTAATTATAGATTCAACGCTATCCCCAACAAACCACCATTGACTTTCTTCACAGAATTAGAAAAAAGTACTTGAAATTTTATATGGAACTGAAAAAGAGCCCATATAGCCAAGACAATCCTAAGTGAAAAGAACGAAGCTGGAGGCATCATGCTACCTGACTTCAAACTACACTCCAAGGCTACAGTAACCAAAACAGCATGGTAATGGTACCAAAGCAGATACATAGACCAATGAAACAGAACAGAGGCCTCAGAAATAACGCCAAACCCTCTGATCTTTGACAAACTTGACAAAAATAAGCAGTGGGGAAAGGATTCCCTATTTAATAAATGGTGTTGGGAGAACTGGCTAGCCATATGGAGAAAACTGAAACTGGACCCCTTCCTTACACTTTACACAAAAATTAACTCAAGATGGATTAAAGACTTAAACATAAGACCTAAAACCGTAAAAACCCTAGAAGAAAACCTAGGCAATACTACTCAGGACATAGGCATGGACAAAGAATTCATGGCTAAAACACCAAAAGCAATGGCAACAAAAGCCAAAATTGACAAATCGGATCTAAATAAACTAAAAAGCTTCTGCACAGGAAAGGAAACTATCATCAGAGTGAATAGGCAACCTACAGAATGGGAGAAAATTTTTGCAATCCATCCACCTGACAAAGGGCTAATATCCAGAATCCACAAAGAGCTTAAACAAATTTACAAGAATAAAACAACTCCATCAAAGAGTGGGTGAAGGATATGTACAGACAGTTCTCAAAAGAAGACATTGATGTGGCCAGCAAACATATGAAAAAAAGCTCATCATTACTGGCCATTAGAGAAATGCAAATCAAAACCGCAGTGAGGTACCATCTCCTACCAGTTAGAATGGTGATCATTAAAAAGTCAGGAAACAACAGATGCTGGAGGGGATGTGGAGAAATAGGAAGGCTTTTACACTGTTGGTGGGAGTGTAAATTAGTTCAACTACTGTGGAAGACAGTGTGGCAATTCCTCAAGGATCTAGAACCAGAAATACCATTTGACCCAGCAGTCCCATTACTGTGTATATACCCAAAGGATTATAAATCATTCTACTATAAGGACACATGCACACGTATGTTTCTTGTGGCACTATTCACAATAGCAAAGACTTGGAACCAACCCAAATACTCATCAATGATAGACTGGATTAAGAAAATATGGCACATATACACCATGGAATACTATGCAGCCATAAAAATGGATGAGTTCATGTCCTTTGCAGGGATATGGATGAAGCTGGAAACCATCATTCTCAGCAAAATATCACAAGGACGAATAACCAAACACTGCATGTTCTCACTCATAAGTGGGAGTTGAACAATGAGAACACACGGACACAGGGAGGGGAACATCACACACAAGGGCCTGTCAGGGGGTTGGGGGGTAGGGGAGGGATAGTATTGGAGAAATATCTAATATAGATGATGGGTTCATGGGTGCAGCAAACCACCATGGCACGTGTAAACCTATGTAACAGATCGCACATGCATCCCAGAACTTAAAGTATAATTAAAAAAAAATCAGAAAAAAAGTTCCTCTTAAACCCCTCTAGTAAATCAACTGGAGGTGACAGTGTATGAATTGTGTAGGGTGATAGTCACGCATTGTGATTTAGTTGTGGGTCAGGTGGCCTTGTCCTGTCAGGAAAGAAGGTAAGAACAGTGCCAGCCAATTGTGAAACCACAGGGACTTAATGCAAATTAAAAGTTTTGTGGAGAATGTGTGTGGATTTTATTTTTTTTTATTTTTTTTTTTTTTGAGACGGAGTCTCGCTCTGTCGCCCAGGCTGGAGTGCAGTGGCGGGATCTCGGCTCACTGCAAGCTCCGCCTCCCGGGTTCACGCCATTCTCCTGCCTCAGCCTCCCAAGTAGCTGGGACTACAGGCGCGCGCCACTACGCCCGGCTAATTTTTTGTATTTTTAGTAGAGACGGGGTTTCACCGTTTTAGCCGGGATGGTCTCGATCTCCTGACCTCGTGATCCGCCCGCCTCGGCCTCCCAAAGTGCTGGGATTACATGGATTTTATTCTTTAATATCACCTTCTATTTAGCCTTGTAGAGGAAAGATGGAAGCCTTTTAATGATGTTAGATTTTTGCACAGATTATAGTGCTATCGTATTGGTAGCAGAGGTACAGAATGTGAGATAGGGTAAGTCCAGGGTTAGAAAGAAACTCCATTTAGTTCAGTATTACAGAAAATAATAGTAGCTGAAGCAAGAGTGGTTGGTTAGTCTAGCCATGGGCAAGCGCAGTAAGCCCAGTGTGGTCTTTGGCAGACATGGTGCTACCAAGGACAAATCACTAAGTGTTCCCCATGCATGAAGAGAGTTTACTGCTAAACCAGCTGTGGAACTGTACTTTTTCTATATGGGAGGGACCAGGGCTTTATTCCTTCTCCATGGCTATATTCTATATATGTGAATGTCATCAGCCAGCTTCTGTCTTTGGGTATTGAAGGAAACAACATAAGAGTTTTTATTTACCTTCTAAAGGCACGTGTTTGTATTTCTTAAGTATTTCTCAGGGAGACTACTTAAAAATGATTTTTCTAAAACTAGTAAGTGGGCTGGGCATTGTGGCTCACACCTGCAGTCCCAGCAATTTGGGAGGCTGAGGTGGGTAGATTGCTTGAGCTCAGAAGTTCGAGACTAGCCTGGGCAACATGGTGAAATGTATCTCACCATGTTGAGATACAAATACAAAAATTAGTTGGGCATGGTGGCACATGCCTGTGGTCCCAGTTATATGGAGGGGCTGAGGTGGGGGGATCACTTAAACCCAGGAGGTCGGGGCTGCAGTGAGCTGTGTTTGCACCACTGCACTAAAGCCTGAGCAGCAATGTGAGACCTTGTCATAAATCAATCAGTCATTCAATCATTCAACCAACCAACCAAAAGTGCCAACACCTTGATTTCTGTCCAGGGAATGCTCACTGACATAGCCCCATTTGCCATGGGGTCCTTGAGTCTCACCATCTCCATCTTTTCTGGTGACTTTAGCCTGAGGGAACAAAGGCATCTCTTTGGAGAGAAGACAGTGGCATAGACAGCTTCTCCCTGGAACCCAAGGGAGGTTAAGAGGAGGGCGTAAGACAGCCACATTTCTCTCTAAAGCTTTCTGCCTGTGTATTAAATCTGTCTGTGGCTAGTGCTTCATTTCCATGATAGACCCAGCAAGGGTCTCTCCCATTTTCCTCCTAGCCCAGTGCCTCTGTTCCTACTCCAGCAACTGCTCTGTCCTACCTCGGAAATTTCTAGCCAGTTTATCAAGTTGCTCTTGTTACGCTTTCCCCTTTAGCTGTATCCTCAGAGACCCAGCACCTCCTTTGCAACAAACTTCTGTAGTGAAGGATCAACTCATCTCAAAGTTAACTCCTCTAATGGATTAAGAAGAGGTTGGAAAGCAGAGCTCCAGGCCATATGTCAGGGAAAAGAGGAATTTGAATGATTTTTTAAGAGACAGGTTTACGTTTCTCAGTGTGAAAAGGTTGTGAATTGCATCCGGGTGTTAGTGAAGTTTGAGAAGATGCTGACTTTTCCAGTACCTGTTGGAATCTTTCTCATTTACATCATGTAGTCAGAGGGTCATACCTGCCTTGACTACAATATTTGGGGGACTGCAGGCCATTTTATTGTGAATTACTTTTGTTTGTTCATTGTTGTTGTTTTGGACATTATTTCTAATGTGCTCAAATGGTGTTAACACTATTCCCCATATAATAATGTAACTTGAGAAAGTCTTGCTGTATCTGAAACCAGAGTGCTCGTTTACTCACTTCATTCAGGTCTTTGCTTAAATGTCACCTTCTTTGGCTACCCTCTGTTAAAAGTTCTCTCCTATCATTTTTTATGCCCTTACTATTTTCCTTTGTAGGACACAATTGCTCCCCATTTTACAGCATTTATTTTCTTATTATATGTGTCCCTCTGCTAGAATATAATCTCCACATAGGCAGGGAATTTTTGTTGTTGTTGTTTTTCTTTGAGACAAGGTCTCGCTCTGTCTCCCAGGCTGGAGTGCAGTGGCATAATCATGGCTCATTGAAGCCTCCACCTCCTAGGCTCAAGTGATTCTCCCACCTCAGCCTCCTGGGTAGCTGGGACTACAGGTGCGCCTCACCATACCTGGCTAATTTTTGTCTTTTTTTGTGGAGACGGGGTTTCACCATGTTGCCCAGGCTGGTCTCAAACTCCTGGGCTCAAGCGATCTACCTGCCTTGGCCTCCCAAAGTGCTGGGATTAGAGGCATGAGCCACTGCGCCTGGCAGGCAGGGACTTTTGTCTGTTTTATTCCCTGCTGTGTCCCTGTCACCCTGAATAGGGATTGGCAAACTATGACCCACAGGCTTAATCTGGCCTATGGTATGTCTTTTTCATAACTGAGAATGAAGAATGATTTTTACATTTTTAAAGGGTTAACAAAGGGGTAAAAAACCTGAGAGAATAATATGTGACAAAAACTATACATGGCCCGCAAACCCTAAAATATTTACTGTCTGGCCCTTCACAGAAAATGTCTGCTGACCCCTGACCTAGAACAGTGCCTGGCTGTTGAGCAGGTTCTCACGAAATACTTGTCAAATGAAAGAGAATGCTGCTTGGGCCACTCAATTTTGTATTCTACAAGGGTTATTTTTCATTTCTTAGATCCTTGCTCTGTCTAGAATGATGCTTCAAAAACATTTGGTGTTCAATAATTTCTTGAATAAGGAAATGAAAACATACAAATGTATTCTTGACATTAAAAATAATAATTGTGGTAAAGTATTTTTGGTAGCTCAGTTAGCGCACTTAATTAACATCTAGCCATGGAGGCACCATGAATCATTACTGTACAAAATTTCAGTTAGACAGGAAGAATGAGTTCAATAGAGCTATTTTATTAGGTTGGTGCAAAAGTTATTGGGTTTTTTGCTGTTACTTTCTATGGTAAAAACTGCAATACTTTTGCACCAACCTAATACAACATAGTTGTGACTATATTAACTATAGTCATACAGTGACTATAGTTATTAATAATATATTGTATACTTGAAAATTGCTGAGAGTAGATTTTAAGTGTTCTCATCACAAAATGATAAGTATGTGAGGCAATGCATATGTTAATTAGCTTGATTTAGAGATTCCACGATGTATACATTTTTCAAAACATAATGTTGTATACCATAGATATAGTTGAATTTTTCAATTAAAAAAGAATTAAATAATAAAAAACAGATCCTGAACTAAAAAAAACACAAACCAAAACAAAAAAGTCATTAATATAAACTATTGCTGACAAATCTCCCATTGATATTTTATATATCCAAAAGAAAAACATTGATAATGATGAACATGCAGAATATTTCTTAACCTTTGTCCCAATCCTAGAGTATATATAAGTGTACTTTTTAAAAATAATATTTCTAAAGTGATATCCTAGGGTCACTTGTGTTTGAATTTCCTTTGGGTATTTGTTTTAAAAATGTGGAATCTTTGACCCCCACCTCTGATTCATTGAATCAGAATCACTGGAGTGGGGGGCGGGTGCCAGGAGTTTATATTTTTAGAAAGCCCCATATGTGATTCTGATGTTTACTAAGTTGGAAAACAATCATTATTCTGAACTTAGCTATTGGCTGGAGTGGAAGGAAGGGGAGGGTTGAAATTGACCATATTGATGTAGTAGAGCAAGATCACTTACGTCCTCATGGGCACACTTTGTGGCAGTGTTTCTTGGGCTTCCAGAGATCATATGTGTCACACCTGGGTATCTTGTTAAAATGTTGATTCTGATTCAGGTCTGGAGTGGGGCCTCAGATTCTGCAGTTCCAACAGGCCAGCTGGGTGATGCTGATGATGCCTGTTCTTGGACATCATTTAGCATAGCAAGAGATTAGAGCCAGAGTTGGTAAATTTTATTTCTTCAAGGGGTCACATAGTAAAATTGTTAGGCTTTGAGGGCCATACAGCCTCTGTTGCAATTATTCAACTCTGCCACTGTAGTGCGAAAGCAGCCGCAGATGATACATAAATGAATGGGTGTGCTTGTGTCCCAGTCACACTTTATTTACTCAAACAAATGGCCAGTTGGATTTGGCCTGTGGGCCATAATTTGTCAATTCCTGTGTTAGAGAACTATACCGATTATCATCACTGTTCTCAGAGTTATCAATCATTTTCCACATGACAGGTAATTTCCTGGGTACTTTATTTCATTCATTCAAATCCTAGGAGAATACACAAAACTAAAGATCTGGGAGCAAGCATAGTCAAGACTTGAACCCTGGTAGCATAGTCAGGACTTGAACCCTGACCCCTGGACTCCAATCTGAGTGTTTTCTCGCTATACAAAGTGGGTTCCAAATTAGTAATAAATCTTACTATTGTAAATAAATTTTCTGTTGAAAGACTATTGAAATGTAACTTCCATGAGAACAACGATTTTTATGTTTAGTTCTCTCTGGATTTCTACTACCTATAAGAGTTCCTGGAATGTAGTAGGTGCTTAATAAACATATATTGAATGAATGGTTATTTTATGATTTCTGACTTCTACTAATAGCATTTTTCTACAAAAAGATTTCAGAGTAAAGTAATATAACCAATGATACAGTTTAGTGACCCTTAGAGGAAGTTCTAGAAGCCAGACTTTCCTACACACAGGCTTCTTCATAGTCAGCAGTTCACTTAACTGTTTGATAAGTACCATTTGTAGGGACATAAATGTTACTTGTGGTTTCAAACAGCTATTATCCCCTGTTAATTTTGAGCCACCACTCTCTTCTCAGCATTTGGAGTAAAGCTGTGGTTTGGCAAACAATCCTGGTGACAGGCGGAATTGAGGATTATTCCTGAGGCAAGAGAATCCAGCAAAAACCCCATCTCCTTGTGATGGGGAGTTCCTCCAAAACAGAACCAATATTCAATTCTTACATCACCCACCAGAAAACATAAGGGGCCCGAAGCGGGAGATTGGGTATTATACCTTCTTCTTTCTTCTCTGTAGTTTCTCATTTTAGAATACTTCATGAGATTGAAAAACTGAAATCCACAGATCTAGCTGGGGTAGGTTTCTTTGTAATAATATTGCATATAATGAGAAAATACACTGTAATTTGCGCACAGTTCTTCAACACAAAGTGAAAGGGCAATTTGGTAGGTGTGTTTGAAACATCACACATAATTTTAAAGAGGGATATGTGAAGATGACAAGTAAAATGGCAGCCCTGAAGTGAAATTATCTAGAGGAAGGAGGCTGCAGAAAGGCTGAAGTTGGCATTTGATGCTTGGGAACTAAGAAAGCACATCTGCTGCAGCTACACAAAGACTCATTTGAGGAGTCTTACAGATTTCTTCATCATTTCTAAGCATTCTTGCCCCCAGTGACCTAATTATGTCACCTGTAAGCTGCACAACTTTGTACTTTACTTTGTATGCATGTTAGACAGCCACATGGCATCTGGGCTTTGCAGTGAAAATTTTCACAAAAACATCTTTCTCTGCTCCACTTGAGCAACTAACCCGACTAGTTTACCTTAGATGGAGAAATCATAACTTTACAATTTTGGGGTTTATTTATTCATGGCATGTATTATTTATTATGCCTTCTAGAAGCCAGCTAACAAGGAAGAAATGCATTTGTTTTTATCATATACTTCTACGTCGTTCATTCATTCAGCAAATATTTGAATACTGACTGTGCATCAGGTACATACTGTTCTTTTTCTGCGGAAACATTTTGCCCTCAAGGAGCTCTTAGTGATAGTGAGTGGAGGCAGACAGTGAACAAAGAGAAAAAAGTAAATGTCAGATGGTGATTAGTTCTGAGGAGAAAAATAACACAGAGTCAAGGAATTGAGGGAGCAAGGTGGGTGTAGGGGAGTTTGCTATTTCAAATAAGGTCACCAGGGAAGGCCTTACTAAGCAGATGCTATTTGGATAAAGACTAAAGATAACTGGGGGCCAGGTGTTCCAGGTGGTGGACACAGCAGGTGCAGAGGCCATGAGAGAGGAGGGAAAGGAGTAGGTGATAAGGCCAGAGTGTTAAGTGGAGTGAATACTGCACTTCCCACCCCTGCATGTGTAGGCCATTGTGAAGATTTTGGCTTCTATCCTGAGTAGGATGACCATATATTAGAGGGTTTTGAGCAGAGGGAGACAGAATCTGACCTACACTTTACATAGGAGGGCAAGAGCAGAAACAGAGACTCATTGGGAGGTTTTGAAAGTAATCCTGTCAGGAAGTGAGGGTGGGTTGGAAAAAGGGAATAGCAGCAGAGGCAGTAAGAATGGAGTAGACTGTGAAAATGTTGTGAAATGGAGCCAGTGCCATTCTGCTGACAGATGGGGTGGAGAGTGTAAGAGAAAGAGGGGAATCAAGGAGGATGCCCGTCTTTTTGGCTTGAGCAACCAGAAAGAAGGGGTTGTTGTTTCTGAGATGAGGAGGTGTATGGGAGGAATAGGTGTGGGAGGTGAAAGAGGAAATCAGAAGTTTGATTTGGGATATGTTGGGTTGAAATGCATATTAGCTATCCAAATGGAGATGTCAAAAAAGATATAAGATGGTAAAGATCAAGTAGGAGGATACAGAAGATGGTGATGATGATGATGATAGTAATAGCTGTTAGTATTTTGTATCGATTGTTTGGGTTTTATGAGCACAGTAAATGACACTCTTTTCTATATCTGAGTTTACAACCAACAGATAAATTAACAAAAAAGTTATATAGATAGCTGAAATTTCAGCTGTATAATTGATAATAGGAGGAGTAGAGACCATGGCTTTGGGTATGTGGGAAAGTGGACTTGGTCATTCTACCAGGCATGGCTAAAGCAGTTATTTTCAGGATGTCCTTAGCAGGGTAGGTTCTTTACTACATGGAACAGAACAGATCAAAATGTTAGCCTCTGCTTAAGTAGGCAGACCCTAAAAGGGATCCTTCCAGGGAATGATCTTTGAATGCTAGGTTCCTTTTCTCCAAACTTGCCAATCAACCAGTTATGTAAGTCATTCCTCTTACTTTACGGAGGGGCTCCTGAGGTTTGGGGAGAGAAGTCAGGGTGAGCATCAACTCTGGCTAATGGAGCATGAAGAGTTGGGAATATGTGTCTGCCTCTCCCCTCCAACTGAGTGTTAGGGGCTTTACACTAATTCTTTCACTGAATCTTCACATTTTGGTCAACACTTTACAGTTGAGGCAACTGAAACTTAGAGCAATTTCCTAAGATCTTCTAACTTGGAGTGGTAAGAGCATAGTATGCCTTTGACACTGGCCTCATGTTCCTCTGCTATATTTTATGAAACAATAAACTGAAAGGGGTGATCAGTTCATTTATTCATTTTTAAAACTTATCCATGAAAGTGTTTGTTGTGGATAGGGGGCTAAGAGTGGATGTCAGTTAAGAAAAACTTTTATTTAAAGTTATAAAAAGAAAATGATTCTTCCAACCAAATTAACTATTTACATGCTATTTAAGTTAAAAAAGACTATTGACTGTTCATTCTTATTTGACTTATTTTTAGAAAAACTTGTTTTTCTTACCTTTTATCCCTAAGTGCCTAAATGCTTTAGGTAGTCAAAATAATCTTTATATTGGTCCTTTTATTGAAGCTCCTCAGACATGCTACAATAAAGTTAAGTGTTGTATTTCACATAAGCTCCATTTTCATGCATGGAAGATTCTAGACTCTGGCTGTACGTACACTGAATCTGCATTCTGTGGTGCTTTGAGGAATAGGTAACTTTCTTTAAAATAGAAATTTATTATAGTCGCTTCCGAGATGGCTGAATAGGAACAGCTCCAGTCTATAGCTTCCAGCGAGATTGACACAGAAGATGGGTGATTTCTGCATTTCCAACTGAGGTATCAGTGGGACTGGTTGGATAGTGGATGCAGCCCACAGAAGGCAAGCTTAAGCAGGGTGGGGTGTTGCCTCACCCAGGTGCAAAGGGTTGGGGGATTTCCCTTTCCTAGCCAAGGGAAGCTGTGAGTGACTATACCTGGAGGAATGGTACACTCTGCCCAAATACTATGCTTTTCCCATGGTCTTTGCAACAGGCAGACCAGGAGGTTCCCTCCTGTGCCTGGCTTGGCACGTCCCATGCCCATGGAGCCTTGCTCGCTGGTAGCACAGCAGTCTGAGATTGACCTGGGATGCTGGAGATGGGCGGGGGAAGGGGCGTCCACCCTTGCTGAGGCTTGAGTAGGCGGTTGTATGTTCACAGAGTAAACAAAGTGTCGGGGAAGCTTGAACTGGGCAGAGCCCACTGCAGCTCAGCAAGGCCTACTGCCTCTCTAGATTCCGCCTCTGGAGGCAGGGCATATCTGAACAAAAGGCAGCAGACAGCTTCCGCAGACTTAAACGTCACTGCCTGACAGCTCTGAAGAGAGCAGTGTTTCTCCCAGCATGGCATTCAAGCTCTGATAATGGACAGACTGCCTCCTCAAGTGGGTCCCTGACCCCCATGTAGCCTGACTGGGAGACACCTCCCAATAGGGGCTGACAGATCCTCATACAGGTGGGTGCCCCTCTGGGATGAAGCTTCCAGAGGAAGGATCAGGTAGCAATATTTGCTTTTCTGCAGCCTCTGCTGGTGATACCCAGGCAAACACGGTCTGGAGTGGACCTCCAGCAAACTCCAACAGATCTGCAGTTGAGGGGCTTCTCTCTTAGAAGGAAAACTAACAAACAGAAAGGAGTAGCATCAACATCAACAAAAAAGGACATCCACACCAAAACCCCATCTGTAGGTCACCAACATCAAAGACCAAAGGTAGATAAAACCGCAAAGATGGGGAGAAACCAGAGCAGAGAGGCTGAAAATTCCAAAAACCAGAAGGCCTCTTTTCCTCCAAAGGAACACAGCTCCTCACCAGCAAGGGAACAAAACTGGACAGAGAATGAGTTTGACGAGTTGACAGAAGTAGGCTTCAGAAGGTGGGTAATAACAAGCTCTCCAAGCTAAAGGAGCATGTTCTAACCCATTGCAAGGAAGCTGAAAACCTTGAAAAAAGGTTAGACAAATGGCTAACTGGAATAACCAGTGTAGAGAAGAGCTTAAATGACCTGATGGAGGTGAAAACCACAGTACGAGAGCTTCGTGAAGCATACACAAGCTTCAGTAGCCAATTTGATCAAGGACAAGAAAGGCTATCAGTGATTGAAGATCAAATTAATGAAATAAAGTGAGAAGACAAGATTAAAGAAGAGTGAAAAGAAATGAACAAAGACTCCAAGAAATATGGGACTATGTGAGAAAAACAAATCTACATTTAATTGGTGTACCTGAAAGTGATGGGGAGAATGGAACCAAGCTGGAAAACACTCTTCAGGATATTATCCAGGAGAACTTCCCCAACCTAACAAGACAGGCCACATTCAAATTCAGGAAATACAGAGAACACCACAAAGATACTCCTCAAGACGAGCAACCCCAAGACATATAATTGCCAGATTCACCAAGGTTGAAATGAAGGAAAAAATGTTAAGGGCAGCCAGAGAGAAAGGTCGGGTTACCCACAAAGGGAAGCCCGTCAGACTAACAGCAGATCTGATTGCAGAAACCCTACAATCCAGAAGAGAGTGGGGGCCAATATTCAACATTCTTAAAAGAATTTCCAACCCAGAATTTCACATCCAGCCAAACTAAGCTTCATAAGTGAAGGAGAAATAAAATCCTTTACAGACAAGCAAATGCTCAGAGATTTTATCACCACCAGGCTTGCCTTACAAGAGCTCCTGAAGGAAGCACTAAACATGGAAAGGGACAACGGTACCAGCCACTGCAAAAACATGCCAAATAGTAAAGACCATCGACACTGTGAAGAAACTGCATCAATTAATGGGTGAAATTACCAGCTAGCATCATAATGACAGGATCAAATTCACACATAACAATATTAACCTTAAATGTAATGGGCTAAAGGCCCCAATTAAAAGACACAGACTGGCAAATTGGATAAAGAGTCAAGACTCATTGGTGTGCTGTATTCAGGAGACCAATCTCATATATAAAGACACACATAGGCTCAAAATAAAGAGGTGGAGGAAGATCTACCAAGCAAATGGAAAGCAGAAAAAAACAGGGGTTGCAATCCTGGTCTCTGATAAAACAGACTATAAACCAACAAAGATAAGAAGAGACAAAGAAGGCCATTACATGATGGTAAAGGGATCTATTCAACAAGAAGAGCTAACTATCCTAAATATATATGCACCCAATACAGGAACACCCAGATTCATAAAGCAAGTCCTTAGAGACCTACAAAGAGACTTAGACTCCCACACAATAATAATGGGAGACTTTAACACCTCACTGTCAATATTAGACAGATCAACGAGACAGAAAATTAACAAGGATATTCAAGACATGAACTCAGCTCTGGACGAAGTGGACCTAGTAGACCTCTACAGAACTCTCCACCCCAAATCAACGGAATATACATTCTTCTCAGCACTACATCTCACTTATTCCAAAAGTGACCACATAATTGGAAGCAAAACACTCTTCAGCAAATGTAAAAGAACAGAAATCACAACAAACTGTCTCTCAGACCACAGTGCAATCAAATTAGAACTCAGCATTAAAAAACTCACTCAAAACTGCACAACTACATGGAAAGTGAACAATCTGCTCCTGAATGACTACTGGGTAAATAACGAAATGAAGGCAGAAATAAAGGTGTTCTTTGAAACCAATGAGAACAAAGACACAATGTACCAGAATCTCTGGAACACATTTACAGCAGTATGTTGAGGGAAATTTATAGCACTAAATGCCCACAAGAGAAAGCAGGAAAGATCTAAAATTGACACCCTAACATCACAATTAAAAGAACTAGAGAAGCAAGAGCAAACAAATTCAAAAGCTAGCAGAAGACAAGAAATAACTAAGATCAGAGCAGAACTGAAGGAGATAGAGACACAAAAAAACCTTCAAATAATCAATGAATCCAGGAGCTGGTTTTTTGAAAAGATCTACAAAATTGATAGACCGTTAGCAAGACTAATAAAGAAGAAAAGAGAGAAGAATCAAGTAGACGCAATAAAACCTGAAAAAAGGGATATCACCACTGATACCACAGAAACACAAACTACCATCAGAGAATACTATAAACACCTCTATGCAAATAAACTAGAAAATCTAGAAGAAATGGATAAATTCCTCGACACATACACCCTCCCAAGACTAAACCAGGAAGAAGTTGAATCTCTGAATAGACCAACAACAGGCTCTGAAATTGAGGCAATAATTAATACCCTACCAACCAAAAAAAGTCCAGGACCGGACAGATTCAAGCTGAATTCTACCAGAGGTACAAAGATGACCAGGTACCATTCCTTGTGAAACTATTTCAATCAATAGAAAAAGAGGGAATCCTCCCTAACTAATTTTTTGAGGCCAGCATCATCCTGATACCAAAGCCTGGCAGAGACCCAACAGAAAAAGAGAATTTTATACCAATATCCTTGATGAACATCGATGCGAAAATCCGCCATAAAATACTGGCAAACCGAATCCAGCAGCACATCAAGAAACTTATCCACCAGATCAAGTTGGCTTCATCCCTGGGATGCAAGGCTGGTTCAACATACGCAAATCAATAAACGTAATCCATCACATAAACAGAACCGATGACAAAAACCACATGATTATTTCAATAGATGCAGAAAAGCCCTTTGACAAAATTCAACAGCCTTTCATGCTAAAAACTGTCAATAAACCAGGTATTGATGGAACGTATCTCAAAATGATAAGAGCTCTTTTCACACCACCATTTATTAAATAGGGAATCCTTTCCCCATTTCTTGTTTTTTGTCAGGTTTGTCAAAGATCAGATGGTTGTGGATGTGTGGTGTTATTTCTGAGGCCTCTGTCCTGTTCCATTGGTCTATATATCTGTTTTGGTACTAGTACCATGCTGTTTTGGTTACTGTAGCCTTGTAGTATAGTTTGAAGTCAGGTAGCATGATGCCTCCAGCTTTGTTCTTTTTGCTTAGAATTGTCTTGGCTATACAGGCTCTTTTTTGGTTCCATATGAACTTTAAAGTAGTTTTTTCCAATTCTGTGAAGCCAATCACAATATCATACTGCCAATATCATACTGAATGGGCAAAATGGATTGCATTCCCTTTGAAAACCAGCACAGGACATGGATGCCCTCTCTCACCACTCCTAGTCAACATAGTATTGGAGGTTCTGGCCAGGGTAATCAGGCCAGAGAAAGAAATAAAGCATATTCAATTAGGAAAAGAGGAAGTCAAATTGTCTCTGTTTGCACATGACACGATTGTATATTTAGAAAACCCCATCGTCTCAGCCCAAAATCTCCTTAAGCTGATA
Organism: Homo sapiens; assembly: GCF_000001405.40. Taxonomy (NCBI): domain Eukaryota; kingdom Metazoa; phylum Chordata; class Mammalia; order Primates; family Hominidae; genus Homo; species Homo sapiens. Next base: position 68,828,754 of record NC_000003.12, on the reverse strand, counting down.
AGCAACTTCAGCAGAGTCTCAGGATACAAAATCAATGTGCAAAAATCACAAGCATTCCTGTACACCAATAATAGACAAAGAGAGAGCCAAATCATGAGTGAACTCCCATTCACAATTGCCTCAAAGAGAATAAAATACCTAGGAATCCAAATTACAAGGGATGTGAAGGACCTCTTCAAAGATAACTACAAACCATTGCTCAATGAAATAAAAGAGGACCCAAACAAATGGAAGAACATTCCATGCTCACGGATAGGAAGAATCCTTATCGTGGAAATGGCCATACTGCCCAAGGTAATTTATAGATTCAGTGCTATTCCCATCAAGCTACCACTGACTTACTTCACAGAATTGGAAAAAACTACTTTAAAGTTCACATGGAACCAAAAAAGACCCTGTATAGGCAAGACAATTCTTAGCCAAAAGAACAAAGCTGGAGGCATTATGCTACCTGACTTCAAACTATACTACAAGGCTACAGTAACCGAAACAGCATGGTACTGGTACCAAAACAGAGATATAGACCAATGGAACAGAACAGAGGCCTCAGAAATAACACCATGCATCCACAACCATCTGATCTTTGACAAACCTGACAAAAAACAAGAAATGGGGAAAGGATTCCCTATTTAATAAATGCTGGTGTGAAAACTAGCCATATGTAGAAAGCTGAAACTATCCCTTTCTTACATCTTACACAAAAATTAACTCAAGATGGATTAAAGACTTAAATGGAAGACCTAAAACCACAAAAACTCTAGAAGAAAACCTAGGAAATACCATTCAGGACATAGGCATGGGCAAGGACTTCATGACTAAAACACCAAAAGCAATGGCAACAAAAGCCAAACTTGACAAATGGGATCTAATTAAACCAAAGAGCTTCTGCACAGGAAAAGAAACTATCATCAGAGTGAACAGGCAACCTACAGAATGGGAGAACATTTTTGCAATCTGCTCATCTGACAAGGGCTAATATCCAGAATCTACAAAGAACTTAAACAAATTTAAAAGAAAAAAACAACCCCGTTAAAAAGTGGGCAAGGGATATGAACAGACACTTTTCAAAAAAAGACATTTATGCAGCCAACAAACATATGAAAAAAGGCTCATCATCACTGGCCATTAGAGAAATGCAAATCAAAACCACAATGAGATACCATCTCTTGCCAGTTAGAATGGCGATCATTAAAAAGTCAGGAAACAACAGATGCTGGAGAGGATGTGGAGAAATAGGAAGGCTTTTACACTGTTGGCGGGAGTGTAAATTAGTTCAGCCATTGTGGAAGACAGTGTGGCAATTCCTCAAGGATCTAGAACCAGAAATACCATTTGACCCGACAGTCCCATTACTGTGTATATATCCAAAGGATTATAAATAATTCTACTATAAAGACATATGCACACATATGTTTCTTGTGGCACTATTCATAATAGCAAAGACTTGGAACCAACCCAAATGTCCATCAATAATAGACTGGATAAAGAAAATGTGGCACATACACGCCATGAAATACTATGCAGCCATAAAAAAGGATGAGTTCATGTTTTTTGCAGGGACATGGATGAAGCTGGAAACCATGATTCTCAGCAAAATATCACAAGGACAGAAAACCAAACACTACATATTCTCAGTTATAAGTGGGAGCTGAATAATGAGAACACATGGACACAGAGAGAGGAACATTACACACAGGGGCCTGTTGGGGGGTGGGGGGCTGGGGGAGGGATAGCGTTAGGAGAAATACCTAATGTAAATGAGGAGTTGGTGGGTGCAGCAAACCAACACGGCACATGTATAGCTATGTAAAAAACCTGCATGTTGTGCACATGTACCCTAGTACTTAAAGTATAATAATAAAAATACAGAAATTTTTTGAAATTATACAAGACCTGTTATTTCTTCTCATATCTGATTGTTATAATATTCCTGAGTAAGAAAGAGGTTGGAGTAGAAGGGTATTAAAGTTTCAGAAGGAATGTGGGTTCTCCTCATTCTTGAGCCTCCTTCCATTGTTTATAATACTATTTTGTGCCTCCTCTTTCCCTTCCTTGCCAGATAATCCTTTCTGCCTACTATTCTACCCTCAAATTCAGAGGAACATTTATGCATGCTCACTTATATTATTTTACTTATTTTGCATAATATCTTTCTGAGTTAACCTTTTTTTTTTTTTTTTTTGAGGCAGAGTCTCGCTCTGTTGCCCAGGCTGGAGTGCGGTGGCGCGATCTCGGCTCACTGCAAGCTCTGCCTCCCGGGTTCACGCCATTCTCCTGCCTCAGCCTCCCAAGCAGCTGGGACTACAGGCTCCCGCCACCATGCCGAGCCAATTTTTTTGTATTTTTAGTAGAGACAGATTTCACCGTGTTAGCCAGGATGGTCTCGATCGGCTGACCTTATGATCTGCCTGCCTCGGCCTCCCAAAGTGTTGGGATTACAGGCGTGAGCCACCATGGCCGGCCCTGAGTAAACCTTCTTATTATCCCTTTTTATGCATGAGAAATCTTGGTGTAATCAAATAGCTATGGTTACATAGGTAGTGGCAGAGGTGGCTTCTCAAATCTGGGCCTTCCGACTGCAGGTCCAGTGTTCTTAGGGCATCTTCTCCCTTCGGAGCAAATAAAACTTTCCTGCCCTATGCCATGATTTCCAGCCTCTGTGCTTTTTAATTTTTATTTAATGCTTAACAACCCTCCCTCACCTTGCAAAACTCACTTCATTATCTAGAGCTCTGCAGCATCCTTGCTTGTTGTGAGGGTCCTCCTAGTTTGGCTTCTTTTATTATGAAAAACCTCATTGTGATGTTGACCTTTGGCCTGGGTAACTGACAGTGTTGCTCTCTGCCTGAATCATGTTTGAACTGATGAAGTTTTACTTATTCCCTCTTCACATCCCTTAGGTTATAAACTGTTTGAGAGGAGGGATAGACACCTTTTTGTGTCTTCAATAGAATCCAAGATGGAGCCTTGCATAGAAGGGCAGAATGGTCACAGATTTGACCTGAGATATGCTTTGGAAGGCCTCACAGATAGGGAAAAGCTGTCCTTTCAAAGGTTTCATTTTCATTCTTATGAGTTATGCTGGACACTAGGTTTATTAAAGAGTAAAGGAACTGCTCAGTGAGCCTCTCCTTTTTATTCTCCCTATCCTGAAATGTGTTCATTAAGGTAAGGTTAATACTGGATAAATAAAAATAAAATTCAGTGACTGCACACACTCTAGTGAAGGCCCCAGAAAGCCATTAAAGAAACTGTTACTTTGCTTTTGTAATAGTGCTGTAATGAACATACACGTGCATGTATCTTTATAATAGAATAATTTATATTCCTTTGGGTGTATACCCAGTAATGAGATTGGAGTCAACCCAAATGCCCATCAATGATAGACTGGATAAAGAAAATGTAGTACATATACATTATGGAATACTTTGCAGCATAAAAAGGACTGAGATCATGTCCTTTGCAGGGATGTGGATGGAGCTGGAGGTCATTATCCTCAGCAAACTAACACAGGAACAGAAAAACCAAACACTGCATGTTCTCACTTATAAGTGGGAGATGAACAATGAGAAGAGATGGACACAGGGAGGTGATCATCACATGCTGGGGCCTGTGAGGCAGCACGGAGAGGGAAACCCTCAAGAAAAATAGCAAATGTATGCTGGGCTTAATACTTAGGTGATGGGATGGTCTATGCAGCAAACCACCATGGCACATGTTTACCTATGTAACAAACCTGCATATCCTGTACATGTACCCCAGAACTTAATAAAAATTAAAAAAGCATTAAACTTTGCACCCAAGAGGTAAGTGAGAGTTGACCAAGCAAGCATCGGACAGCGAGTTGAGAAATTAAAGGGTAAGAAAATCCCGTACGCGTAAAATGCCCGATTCATAGTAGGTACTTAAAAGTAGCTGCCGTTAGAGTCAGGTAGCTAAAATGACTGAATCCTAGTTCTGCCCCTTGCTGCCTGCATGACCTTGAATTCTGAAGTCAGAGCTTCAAAATTGTCATCTGTGAGCCTGAAGATATTTCCAAAAACATTGCATTCTGTGTCACATAAAGCTGAATTTCTGGTATTTAGTGTGTGGTAGGCAGAATAATGGTCCCTTAAGGAGATGCACATTCGAATCCTTGGAACCTATGAGCATGTTTACCTTACATGGTGAAAAGGGCTTTGCAGATGTAATGAAGGATCTTGAGATGGGGAAATGATCCTAGATTATGTAAATGGACACACTGTCATCACCAAGGTCCTTTTACATGAAAGGAGGAGGCAGGAGAGGTGGAATCAGAGAGGAGATATGATGATGGAAACGGAGGTCGGAGTGATGTACTTTTACGATGGAACAGGGCCACAGCCAAGCAACATGGGCAGCCTGTTTCAGAAGCTGGGAAAGGCGAAGAAATAATTTTCCCTTAGGGCCTCCAGAAGGCAGGCAGCCCTGTGGACACCTTGAGGTTAGCCCAGTTAAACCCATTTTGGACTTGTGACATGTAGAACCATCATAAATTTACATCATTTTTAAGCCACTAAATTTGTGGTAACTTGTTATAGCAGTAATAGAAAAAATTATAGGAAGTATTCACAAATGATCTATGTTGTCGTTACGATTTTTTAAAAAATAACTTAGGGCAGTTATTTAGCCTCTCCAGCTTTCAGCTTCCTTCCTGGTACTTGGGTATGATCACTGTGGCATACCACTGGGGTTCTTTCTCTGAGTCATGGATCCCTTTGGCAGGATGGTGAAGCTGATGGACCCTTCTCATAATTATGTTTATAAAATAAAATCAGAAATAGGACAGAAGAGACCAATTATATTGAAATAAAATGATCAGATATTAAATACAAGTGTGATAGAGTAATATTTGTACTTTATTAACACATTTAAAAAGATCTTGTATATGTACCACATTTTCCTTATACGGTCTATCATTGTTGGGCATACTATGCAGCCATAAAAAGGAATAAGATAATGTCCTTTGTAGGGACGTGAATGAAGCTGGAAGCCATTATCCTCAGCAAACTAACACAGGAACAGAAAACCAAACACTGCATGTCCTCACTTTATAAGTGGGAGCTGAACAATGAGAACACATGGACACAGGGAGGGGAACAACATACACTGGGGCCTTTTGGAGGGTGGGGTTTGGGGAGTGATAGCATTAGGAAAATTAGCTAATGTATACTGGGCTTAATACCTAGGTGATGGGTTGATAGGTGTAGTGAACCACCAGGGCACATGTTTACCTATGTAACAAACCTGTATGTCCTGCACATGTACCCCAGAACTAAAAATAAAAATTAAAAAAATCTTGTAGCAGGCCTCAAAACTACCATAATTTGAAGTAGTGATGAGCATTCAATGACACTTCAACATATCTGCAATAACTGAGATGTGAGATGAAGAATGTATTCGATTTCTTTTGATGACAAGTTTGTGGGTACTGCTAATACTACTGCATTTTAGTGCTTGTATTCATCGTTGAAAGAAATGTTAGATTTTGTTGGAGGTTAATGAAATAAAGATGTAATTTTTTATCTCATCCAAGTTCAGCACCCCATTTCCCCAAATTCTGTCGACCCCTTCAAGCCTGAAGACCTCAGGTTTGAATCCTGGGCAGGGGCATTGTGAAAAGACCACCAGAAATCATGGTGAAACCTGAAGATCTTGATACTTATATTAAGAGTCAAGGTTGGTATTCTATAAATCATTAGGGGTTGAATGGGCAATAGGACTGTTAGGAAGAGGAAATGACTGCTCCTATTCATTTGGGAAATGCCAAAGCCATTCTTTTAAACCCAACTGAGTTTATTTGCGCTTCATAGTTTGGAATGTTATTTGTAAAGCAGACTTACCAGGATAGATGAGTTAGCAAATAAACAATTTTAGAGTAGAATTGAGAGTGGTGAAGGTAAAATTAATTCCATCTTAGAATGCATTAACACAATGAAAGAAATGGCATGATAAGAATTTTAGCAGCCAGGCGCAGTGGCTCATGCCTACAATCCTGGCACTTTGGGAGGCTGAGGCGGGTGGATGGCTTGAGTTCAGGAGCTGGAAACCAGCCTCCCTGAAACATGGTTAAACTCCATCTCTACAAAAGACAAAAATTAACTGGGCATGGTGGCACTCCTCAGTGGTCCAGGCTACTCGGGAGGCCGAGGTGGAAGGATCGCTTAAGCCCAGGGAGGTCAAGGCTGCAATGAGCTATGATTGCACCCCTGCACTTTAGCCTGGGTGACAAAGTGTGACTTTATCTCAGAGAGAGAGAGAAAAAAAGAATTTTAGCAATGTTGCCTCTTGGAGGTAATTTTGGATAAAAAAGAGTGGATAAGTCAAATTTCTTGTCCAGGAGTGAATAAGAAAAAAGGCCAAGTAGATTGTGCTGGCCATTGTCACTCAGCAGGACACACAACTGAGCTTCAATCAGAGTTCATAATAGAGTAGCTTATTGGAGAGCATATCAAATAGCTCATTTGGTGAAATTTAGGCTTATATCTGGCTTATGGCATTGCACATAGTAGGCATCCAAATGCTCGTTAAATTGTTTTGACTCAATAACAGTTTATATCCCATTCACTGTTTGGGTTACATTTTTTTTAAAAAAGTCAATATTTGTTTTCACTGGATAATTCAGAAAGACAGCTGTGGCAGCCACAAGTAAACAAGTAGCTCTTCACAGCTGTCCACACCTGCCATATAAAAAGAGCAAGCATAATACATTTTTATTTTGTTAACATGAGGCTCAATAGGATTGCAAAATTAATACCGGTAGAGATTTTCTACAGGCGGTTTCCATTGCAGAATTACCGGAGAAGCATTTGCAAATACCTTTTTAAGTGATGGATTTGGCAGCACAGTCTTTAAATAGAAGACAGAGAGCTGCTAGTTACTTATCATGGTTTAAATATGTCAATATTTTCTCATTTTTCTTTGAATAAAAAGTAACATAAGGGTAAAACACCTGAAAGAAGTATAGTACTTGGGAATGCACCCTTCAGGCTTCACTCTTTATGGCAAGGTTGAAAATCCAGGGTAGCAGTGGTGTTTATTGCCAAGGTAGTGCCTTGAAGAACTCATATAATTCACAAAGCGTATCATTCAGGACTTGTTTTCTCTTAAAAAAAAAAAAAGCACACTTTGGGAGGCCGAGGCGGGTGGATCACGAGGTCAGGAGATCGAGACCATCCTGGCTAACACGGTGAAACCCCGTCTCTACTAAAAATACAAAAAATTAGCCGGGCGAGGTGGCGGGCGCCTGTAGTCCCAGCTACTCGGGAGGCTGAGGCAGGAGAATGGCGTGAACCCCAGGGGGTGGAGCCTGCAGTGAGCCGAGATTGCGCCACTGCACTCCAGCCTGGGCGACAGCGAGACTCCGTCTCAAAAAAAAAAAAAAAAAAAAAAAAAAAAAAAAAAAAAAAAGCAGGGAGGTTGTCTACATAGTGTATAAATCTACAGCCATCATATCTTATTGTTGTTTTGATGCTGTGTTTATATCTTAGGATTATCTCTAATAGCTGTGAGTCCTCACTGAAATTAACAGCGTGGTATATTTTGGCAGTGGTTCAAAAGTTATTGATTTTTGGTTATGTTTTTCAGCATCACTGAATGTATGGAAGACATTATTATAGAATTTGTAAAAGATTTTAACCTGGGAGTATTGGCTGTTAAAACACACAGCACATTAGTGACTAAAATGATTTACAGAATGCATTTCCATACTACTAAGTCCGTGGGTATTTGTACACTACATCATTTGGTACCACCTTGTGGTACAGCATAAACACAGTTTGTAATTCCTTTGGTTTACCAATTTCGAAACAAAATTCTTTGCATTTTCTAAAATTATGGTGTATTTACATTTTTAAAATTTTGTGCATAACATGAGACTTTAATAATTTTTTTAATTGACAAGTAAAAGTCATAGGTATTTATGGTGTACAAATGATGTTTTGATATAGCTATACATTGTGGAGAGGCTAAATCAAGCTATGTAACATAGGTATTCCCTCACATATTTACCATTTTTTTGTGATGAGAACACTTAACATCATTTCTCTTAGCAATTTTCTTTTTCTTTTTTGAAACAGGGTCTTGTTCTGCTGCCCAGCTTGGAGTACAGTGGTGCTATCATGGCTCACTGCAGCCTTGACCTCCTAGGTTCAAGTAATCCTTCCAAGTAGATGGAATTATAGGCACATGCCATCATGCCCAGCTAATTTTTTATTTTTTTTTTGGTAGGATGAGGTTTCACTATGTTGTTCAGGCTGCTCTCAAACTCCTGGTCTCAAATTCCCCTGCCTCAACCTCCCAAAGTGCTGAGATTGCAGGCGTCAGCTACCGTGCCCAGCCTAGCAATTTTTAAGTCTGTAATATATCGTTATTAACTGTAGCCACCATGATGTGCAGTAGATCACTTGAACTTATTCTCCCTGAAATTTTATGTCATTTGACAAATATCTTATCTCTCAGCCTCTGGCAAGCTCCATTTTACTCCCTGTTTCTATGAGTTCAACATTTTTAGATTCCACAAGTAACTGAGGTCATACAATATTTGTCTTTTTGCGCCTGACTTACTTCACTTAACATAATGTCCTCCAGGTTCATCTGTGTTATTCCAAATGACATGATTTTCTTCTTTTGTAAGGCTGAATAGTATTGCATTGTGTATATATGCCACATTTTCTTTATTCCTTCATTCATTTATGTACACTTAGGTTGATTTCATATCTTGGTTATTGTGAATAGTGCTGCAATGAATGTGGGAGTACAGGTATCTCTCTGACATACTGGTTTCATATTCTTTGGATGCATATCTGGTAGTGGGATGGCTAAATCATGGTAGTTCTATTTTTAATTTTGTCAAAGGAATGTCGTACTGTTTTCCATAATGGCTTTATTAATTTACATCCCCACCAACAGTGTGTAAGCGTTCCCTTTTCTCTGCATCCTCACCAACACTTAGCCTTTGTCTTTTTGATAATAGCCGTCCTAACTGGTGTGAAGGGATATCTTACTGTGGCTTTAATTTACATTTCTGTGATGATTAATGATGGTGAGAATGACTTGTCAGCCATTTATATGAGAAATATCTATTCAGGTCCTTGGACTGTTTAAAAAAATCAGGCTTATAGGTTTTCTTACTATTGAGTTGTTTGAGTTCTTATATATTTTGGTTATTAGCTCCCTGTCTGGTTCTTGTTTTGCAAATACAATCCATGAGTTGTCTCTTCCTTCAGAACAATAGAGGCCATAGATGACAAATACCCAAACTCAATGGTGAAAGGTTGAAAGCTTTTCCTCTAAGATTAGAAACAAGATAAGGAGGCCCACACTTACTGCTTTCACTCAACATAATACTGGAGTTGTAGACAGAGCAGTTAGACAAGACAAAGAAACACAGGCATCCTTGTTTTATTGCACTTTGCTTTGTTGTGCTTTGCAGATGCTTTTTTTTTTTTTTTTTTTTTTTTTAATTAAAGACAGGGTCTCACTCTGTCACCCAGGCAGGTGTGCAGTAGTGCAATTTCAGCTCACTGCAACCTCCGCCTCCAGGCTCAAGTGGTTCTCCCACCTCAGCCTTCAGATAGCTGGGACTGCAGGTTTGTGTCACCATGCCAGCTGATTTTTGCAGTTTTTGTAGAGATGGGCTTTCGCCATGTTGCCCAGGCTGGTCTTGAGCTCCTGACTTTGAGTGATCCACCTGCCTTGGCCTCCCAAAATGCTGGGATTGTAGGCATATGAGCCACCACACCCAGCCTAAATATTGCAATTTTTACAAATTAAAGTTTTGTGGCAACCCTATGTCCAGCAAGTCTATCAGTGCCATTTTTCCAGCAGCATGTGCTTATTTCATGTATCTATGTCCCATTTGGGTAATTCTCATAATATTTCAAACTTTTCATTATTATGATTATCTGTTATGGTGATCTGTGATCAGTGATCTTTGACATTACTATTGTAATTGTTTTGGGGTACACCATGCACTGTGCCCAGGTAAGATGGTGAACTTATTTGATGAGTATTGTGTGTTTTCTGATTACTCCACTGACCAGCCGTTCTCCCATCTCTCTCACCCTCCTTAGGCCTTCCTATTCCCTGAGACACAATAATATTACAATTAGGCCACTTGATAACCCTACATTGGCTCCTAAGTCTTCAAGTGAAAGGAAGAGTCACATGTGTCTCCTTTTGAATCAAAAGCTACAGGTGATAAAGCTTAGTGAGAAAGGCATTTTGAAATACGCTGGGATATGCTGAAAGCTAGGCCTCTTGCACCAAACAGTGAAGTTGTGGATGCAAGGGAAAAATTCTTGAAGGAAATTAACAGTGCCATACCAGTGAACACATGAATGATTTCTTTTTGAAGCAAAACAGCCTTATTGAAGATATGGAGAAAGTTTAATCTGGATAGATCAAACCAGCCTCAACACTCTAGTAACATGCTTAATCCAAAGCAAACCCCTAACTCTCTTAAGTTCTTTGAAGGCTGAAGGTAGGTGAGGAAGCTCCAGAAGAGAAGTTGGAAGGTAGCAGAGGTTTGAGGATTAAAGAAAGAAGCCATTTCCATAACATGAAAACTGCAGGATGAAGTAGCCAAGTGCTGATATAGAAGCTGCAGGAAGTTATCCAGAAGATCTAGCTAAGATCATTGATGAAAGTGGCTACGCTACACAATAGATTTTCAAGGGAGGCAAAACAGACTTCTATTGGAAGAAAATGCCATCTAGGACTTTCCTAGCTAGAAAGTAGTCACTGCTAGGCTCCAAAGCTTCAAAGAACAGGCTGACTCTCTTGTTAGAGGAAATGCAGGTGACTTTAAGTTGAACCCAGTGCTCATTTACAACCCTGAAAATCCTAGGGCCCTCAGAGTTATGCTAAGTCTACTCTGCCTATGAGTAGAGCCAGGATGACAGCACATATCTTTATAGTATGGTTTTCTGAGTATTTTAAGCCCATTGTTGAGAACTACTGCCCAGAAAAAAAAGAGATTCCTTTTCAAATATTACTGCTCATTGACAATGCCCCTGGTCACCCAACAGGCCTGATGGAGATGTACAAGGAGATTAATGTTGTTTTCATGCTTGCTAATACAACAACCATTCTGCAGTCCATGGACCAAGGAATAATTTCAACTTACAAGTCTTATTACTTAAGAAATACATTTCCTAGCATTATAGCTGCTTTATATAGTTATTTTCTCTGATGGATCTAGCCAAAGGAAATTGAAAACCTTCTGGAAATGATTCACCATTCTAGATACCACTAAGAACATTCATGATTTATGGGAGGAGGTCAAAAGATCAACATTAACAGGAGTTGGCAGGAAGTTGATTCCAGCTCTCATGGATGACTATGAGGAATTTGAGACTTCTGTGGAGGAAGTAACTGCAGATGTAGTAGAAATAGCAAGAGAGTTAGAAGTAGAGTCTGAAGATGTTACTGAATTTCTGTAATCTTATGATAAAATTAGCGGATGAGGGGTTGCTTCTTACGGATGAACAAAGAAAGTAGTTTCCTGAGATGGAATTTTGTGAAGATTCTGTGAACATTGTTGAAATGACAATAAAGGATTTAGTATATTACATAAATTTATTTGATAAAACGCAGGGTTTGAGAGAATTGACTTCAGTTTTGAAAGTTCTGTGGATAAGATGTTTTCAAACAGCATCACATGCTACAGAGAAATCTTTCATGAAAGAGTTAATTGATGCATCAAACCTCATTATTGTCTTACTTTAAGAAATTGCCACAGCCACCCCAGCCTTTGACAACCACAACTTTGATCAGTCAGCAGCCACCAATATCAAGGCAAGACCTTCCACCAGCATAAAGATTATGACATATTGAAGGCTCAAATTATTGTTAGCATTTTTTAGCAATAATGTGTTTTTCAGTTAAGTGTTTTAGACATAAAGTTATTGAATAGACTACAGTAGAATATAAACATAACTTTTATATGCACGGGGAAATAAAAACTGTGTGACTTGCTTTCTTGCAACATTTGCTCTATTCTGGTGGTCTGAAACTGAACTTGCAATATCTCAGAGATACGCCTGTAAAAGGTACCCAAGTCAGAAAGGAAGAAGTTAAATGGTCTCTGTTGGCAGATCACATGATATTATATATGAAAAACCCTGAGGATTCCATAAAAACTATTAGAACTAATAAATGAATTCAGTAAAGTTGCATAATCAAAATCAACATACAAAAATCAGCATTTCTGTACAGTAGCAACACATCGGAAAAGAAATCAAGAAAACAATCCCATTTATAGTAGCTACAAAAAATATATAAGGATAAATTTACTCAAGTACATAAACGATTTTTCAACTGGAAACTACAAAACACTGATGAAAGAATTTGAAGAAGTGGCAAATAAATGGAAAGATATCCCATGCTCATGGATTGGAAGAATTACTATTTTTTTTTAATTATACATTAAGTTTTAGGGTACATGTGCACAACGTGCAGGTTTGTTACATATGTATACATGTGCCATGTTGGTGTGCTGCACCCATTAACTCGTCACTTAACATTAGGTATATCTCCTAATGCTATCCCTCCTCCCTCCCCCCACTCCACAACAGGCCCCGGTGTGTGATGTTCCCCTTCCTGTGTCCATGTGTTCTCATTGTTCAAGTCCCACCTATGAGTTAGAACATGCGGTGTTTGGTTTTTTGTCCTTGTGATAGTTTGCTGAGAATGATGGTTTCCAGCTACATATATGTCCCTACAAAGGACATGAACGCATCCTTTTTTATGGCTGCATAGTGTCCCATGGTGTATATGTGCCACATTTTCTTAATCCAGTCTATCATTGTTGGACATTTGGGTTGGTTCGAAGTCTTTGGTATTGTGAATAGTGCCACAATAAACATATGTGTGCATGTGTCTTTATAGCAGCATGATTTTATAGTCCTTTGGGTATATACCCAGTAATGGGATTGCTGGGTCAAATGGTATTTCTAGTTCTAGATTCTTGAGGAATCGCCACACTGACTTCCACAATGGTTGAACTAGTTTGCAGTCCCACCAACAGTGTAAAAGTGTTCCTATTTCTCCACATCCTCTCCAGCACCTGTTGTTTCCTGACTTTTTAATGATTGCCATTCTAACTGGTGTGAGATGGCATCTCGTTGTGGTTTTGATTTGCATTTCTCCGATGGCCAGTGATAATGAACATTTTTTCATGCGTCTTTTGGCTGCATAAATGTCTTCTTTTGAGAAGTGTCTGTTCATATCCTTTGCCCACTTTTTGATGGGGTTGTTTGTTTTTTTCTTGTAAATTTGTTTGAGTTTATTGTAGATTCTGGATATTAGCCCTTTGTCAGATGAGTAGATTGCAAAAATTTTCTCCCATTCTGTACGCTGCCTGTTCACTCTGATGGTAGTTTCTTTTGCTGTGCAGAAGCTCTTTACTTTAATGAGATCCCATTTGTCAATTTTGGCTTTTGTTGCCATTGCTTTGGTGTTTTAGACATGAAGTCCTTGCCCATGCCTATGTCCTGAATGGTATTGCCTAGGTTTTCTTCTAGGGTTTTTATGGTTTTAGGTCTAACATTTAAGTCTTTAATCCATCCTGAATTAATTTTTATATAAGATGTAAGGAAGGGATCCAGTTTCAGCTTTCTACATATGGCTAGCCAGGTTTCCCAGCACCATTTATTAAATAGAGAATCCTTTCCCCATTTCTTGTTTTTGTCAGGTTTGTCAAAGATCAGATAGTTATAGATATGTGGCATTATTTTTGAGGCCTCGGTTCTGTTCCATTGGTCTATATCTCTGTTTTGGTACCTGCACCATGCTGTTTTGGTTACTGTAGCCTTGTAGTATAGTTTGAAGTCAGGTAGTGTGATGCCTCCAGCTTTGTTCTTTTGGCTTAGGATTGACTTGGCAATGCGGGCTGTTTTTGGGTTCCATATGAACTTTAAAGTAGTTTTTTCCAATTCTGTGAAGAAAGTCATTGGTAGCTTGATGGGTATGGCGTTGAATCTATAAATTACCTTGGGCAGTATGGCCATTTTCACGATACTGATTCTTCCTACCCATGAGCATGGAATGTTCTTCCATGTGTTTGTATCCTCTTTTATTTCATTGAGCAGTGGTTTGTAGTTCTCCTTGAAGAGGTCCTTCACATTCCTTGTAAGTTGGATTCCTAGGTATTTTATTCTCTTTGAGGCGATTGTGAATGGGAGTTCACTCATGATTTGGCTGTCTGTCTGTTATTGGTGTATAAGAATGCTTGTGATTTTTGCACACTGATTTTGTATCCTGAGACTTTGCTGAAGTTGCCTATCAGCTTAAGGAGATTTTGGGCTGAGACAATGGCGTTTTCTAGATATACAATCATGTCATCTGCAAACAGGGACAATTTGACTTCCTCTTTTCCTAATTGAATACCCTTTATTTCCTTCTCCTGCCTGATTGCCCTGGCCAGAACTTCCAACACTATGTTGACCAGGAGTGGTGAGAGAGGCCATCCCTGTCTTGTACCAGTTTTCAAAGGGAATGCTTCCCATTTTTGCCCATTCAGTATGATATTGGCTGTGGGTTTGTCATAGATAGCTGTTATTATTTTGAGATACATCCCATCAATACCTAATTTATTGAGAGTTTTTAGCGTGAAGGGTTGTTGAATTTTGTCAAAGGCCTTTTCTGCGTCTGTTGAGATAATCATGTGGTTTTTGTCTTTGGTTCTATTTATATGCTGGATTACATTTATTGATTTGCGTATGTTGAACCAGCCTTGCATCCCAGGGATGAAGCCAACTTGATCATGGTGGATAAGGTTTTTGATGTGCTGCTGGATTCGGTTTGCCAGTATTTTATTGAGGATTTTTGCCTCGATGTTCATCAGTGATATTGGTCTAAAATTCTCTTTTTTTGTTGTGTCTCTGCCAGGCTTTGGTATCAGGATGATGCTGTCCTCATAAAATGAGTTAGGGAGGATTCCCTCTTTTTCTATTGATTGGAATAGTTTCAGAAGGAATGGTACCAGTTCCTCCTTGTACCTCTGGTAGAATTCGGCTGTGAATCCATCTGGTCCTGGACTTTTTTTGGTTGGTAAGCTATTAATTATTGCCTCAATTTCAGAGCCTTTTGTTGATCTATTCAGACATTCAACTTCTTCCTGGTTTAGTCTTGGGAGGGTGTACGTGTTGAGGAATTTATCCATTTCTTCTAGATTTTCTAGTTTATTTGCATAGAGGTGTTTATACTATTCTCTGATGGTAGTTTGTATTTCTGTGGGATCGGTGGTGGTATCCTGTTATCATTTTTTATTGTGTCTATTTGATTCTTCTCTTTTCTTCTTTATTAGTCTTGCTAGTGGTCTATCAATTTTGTTCTTTTCAAAAAACCAGCTCCTGGATTCATTGAGTTTTTGAAGGGTTCTCTGTGTCTCTGTCTCCTTCAGTTCTGCTCTCATAGTTATTTCTTGCCTTCTGCTAGCTTTTGAATGTGTTTGCTCTTGCTTCTCTAGTTCTTTTAATTGTGATGTTAGGGTGTCAATTTTAGATCTTTCCTGCTTCTCTTTTGGGCATTTAGTGCTATAAATTTCCCTCTACACACTGCTTTGAATGTGTCCCAGAGATTCTGGTATGTTGTGTCTTTGTTCTCGTCGGTTTCAAAGAACATCTTTATTTCTGCCTTCATTTCGTTATGTACCCAGTAGTCACTCAGGAGCAGGTTGTTCAGTTTCCATGTAGTTGAGCGGTTTTGAGTGAGTTTCTTAATCCTGAGTTCTAGTTTGATTGCACTGTGGTCTGAGAGACAGTTTGTTATAATTTCTGTTCTTTTACATTTGCTGAGGAGTACTTTACTTCCAAGTATGTGGTCAATTTTGGAATAGGTGTGGTGTGGTGCTGAAAAGAATGTATATTCTGTTGATTTGGGGTGGAGAGTTCTGTAGACGTCTATTAGGTCTGCTTGGTGCAGAGCTGAGTTCAATTCCTGGGTATCCTTCTTAACTTTCGGTCTTGTTGATCTGTCTAATGTTGACAGCCGGGTGTTAAAGTCTCCCATTATTATTGTGTGGCAGTCTAAATCTCTTTCTAGGTCTCTAAGGACTTGCTTTATGAATCTGGGTGCTCCTGTATTGGGTGCATATATATTTAGGATAGTTAGCTCTTCTTGTTAAATTGATCCCTTTACCATTATGTAATGGCCTTCTTTGTCTCTTCTTATTTTTGTTGGTTTAAAGTCTGTTTTATCAGAGACTAGGATTGCAACCCCTGCCTTCTTTTGTTTTCCATTTGCTTGGTAGATCTTCCTCCATCCTTTTATTTTGAGCCTATATGTGTCTCTGTGTGTGAGATGGATTTCCTGAATACAGCACACTGATGGGTCTTGACTCTTGATCCAATTTGCCAGTCTGTGTCTTTTAATTGGAGCATTTAGCCCACTTACATTTAAGGTTAATATTGTTATGTGTGAATTTGATCCTGTCATTTTGATGTTAGCTGGTTATTTTGCTCGTTAGTTGATGCAGTTTCTTCCTTGCCTCAATGGTCTTTACAAGTTGGCATGTTTTTGCAGTAGCTGGTACCTGTTGTCCCTTTCCATGTTTAGTGCTTCTTTCAGGAGCTCTTTTAGCACAGGCCTGGTGGTGACAGAATCTCTCAGCATTTGCTTATCTGTAAAGGATTTCATTTCTTCTTCACTTATGAAGCTTAGTTTGGCTGGATATGAAATTCTGGGTTGAAAATTCTTTTCTTTAAGAATGTTGAATATTGGCCCCCACTCTCTTCTGGCTTGTAGAGTTTCTGCTGAGAGATCCGCTGTTAGTCTGATGGGCTTCCCTTTGTGGGTAACCCGACCTTTCTCTCTGGCTGCCCTTAACATTTTTTCCTTCATTTCAACTTTGGTGAATCTGACAATTGTGTGTCTTGGAGTTGCTCTTCTCAAGGAGTATCTTTGTGGTGTTCTCTGTATTTCCTGAATTTGAATGTTGGCCTGCCTTGGTAGATTGGGAAAGTTCTCCTGCGTAATATCCTGCAGAATGTTTTCCAACTTGGTTCCATTCTCCCCGTCACTTTCAGATACACCAATCAGACATAGATTTGG
This sequence comes from Homo sapiens, assembly GCF_000001405.40. NCBI lineage: Eukaryota > Metazoa > Chordata > Mammalia > Primates > Hominidae > Homo > Homo sapiens. The sequence goes on along the minus strand of NC_000003.12, from coordinate 68,811,681 downwards.
TCTTTTCACATAGTCCCATATTTCTTGGAGGCTTTGTTCATTTCTTTTTATTCTTTTTTCTCTAAACTTCTCTTCTCGCTTCATTTCATTCTTTTGATCTTCCATCACTGATACCCTTTCTTCCAGTTGATTGAATTGGCTACTAAGGCTTGTGCATTCATCATGTAGTTCTCGTGCCATGGTTTTCAGCTCCATCAGGTCCTTTAAGGACTTCTCTGCATTGGTTATTCTAGTTATCCATTCTTCTAATTTTGTTTTCAAGGTTTTCAACTTCTTTGCCATGGGTTCGAACTTACTCCTTTAGCTCAGAGTAGTTTGATCATCTGAAGCCTTCTTGTCTCAGCTTGTCGAAGTCATTCTCTGTCCAGCTTTGTTCCGTTGCTGGTGAGGAGCTGCGTTCCTTTGGAGGAGGAGAGGTACTCTGATTTTTAGAGTTTCCAGTTTTTCTGCTCTGTTTTTTCCCCATCTTTGTGGTATTATCTACCCTTTGGTCTTTGATGATGGTGACCGACAGATGGGGTTTTGGTGTGGATGTCCTTTCTGTTTGTTAGTTTTCCTTCTAACAGTCAGGACCCTCAGCTGCAGGTCTGTTGGAGTTTGCTGGAGGTCCACTCCAGACCCTGTTTGCCTGGGTATCAGCAGCGGAGGCTGCAGAACAGTGGATATTGGTGAACAGCAAATGTTGCAGCCTGATTGTTCCTCTGGAAGTTTTGTCTCAGAGGAGTACCTGGCCGTGTGAGGTGTCAGACTGCCCCTACTGGGGGTTGCCTCCCAGTTAGGCTACTCGGGGATTAGGGACCCACTTGAGGTTGCAGTCTGTCCGTTCTCAGATATCCAGCTGTGTGCTGGGAGAACCACTACTCTCTTCAAAGCTGTGAGACAGGGACATTTAAGTCTGCAGAGTTTTCTGCTGCCTTTTGTTTGGCTATGCCCTGCCCCCAGAGGTGGAGTCTGCAGAGGCAGACAGTCCTCCTTGAGCTGCGGTGGGCTCCACCCAGTTCGAGCTTCCTGGCTGCTTTGTTTACCTACTCAAGCCTCGGCAATGGTGGGCGCCCCTCCCCCAGCCTCACTGCCACCTTGCAGTTTGATCTCAGACTGCTGTGCTAGCAATGAGTGAGGCTCTGTGGGCATAGGACCCTCAGAGCCAGGCGCAGGATATAATCTTCTGGTCTGCTGTTTGCTAAGACCGTTGGAAAAGTGCAGTATTAGGGTGGGAGTGACCCGATTTTCCAGATGCCGTCTGTCACCCCTTTCTTTGACTAGGAAAGGGAATTCCCTGATGCCTTGTGCTTCCCAGGTGAGGTGATGTCTTGCCCTGCTTCGGCTCATGCTTGGTGCGCTGCATCCACTGTCTTGCACCCACTGTCCGACACTCCCCAGTGAGATGAACCCATTACCTCAGTTGGAAATGCAGAAATCACCCATCTTCTGCGTCTCTCATGCTGGGAGCTGTAGACTGGAGCCAAGATGGCCGAATAGGAACAGCTCCAGAATTACTATTGTTGAAATGTCCACATTACCCAAAGCAATGTACAGATTCCATGCATTCCTTATCAAATTCCAATCACATTTTTTATAGAGGTAGGAAAAAAGAATTCTAAAATTCATGTGGAACCACAAAAGACCCTGAATAGTCAAAGCAATCTTGAACAAAAAGAACAAAGCCAGAGGCATCATGATTAGAAAATCTGTTACCCGATTTGAAAATCTGCTACAAGCAAGTAATTAAACAACCTGGTACTGGCGTAAAAACAGATACATAGACCAAGGGGACAGAATAAAGTGCCCAGAAATAAATCCACACATTTACGGACCAATGATTTTTGACAAAGGTGCCAAAACACAATGCCAACACACAGTGGGGAAAGGGCAATCTCTCAATAAATGGTGCTGGGAGAACTGGGTATCCACATGCAGAAGGATGAAATTAGATTCTCGTCTCACACCATGTACAAAAATCAACTCAAAATGCAGTTAAAGATAAGACTATGAAACCATAAAACTGCTAGAAGAAAAAACGGGGAAAAGCTTTATGACACTGATCTGGGCAATAATTTTTTTTGGCTGTGATCCCAGAGCACTGGCAACAAAAGAAAAAATAGAAAAAGGAGATTACATCAAACTAGAGAACTTCTGCACGGCAAAAAAAAAAAAAAAAAAAATCAACATAGTGGAGACATTAATAATATTTTAGATTTCACTATTTAAAATTTGCATATTTCAAAACTAAAAAAAATCACAAACAAATCATATTGGCAACCAATTATATTTCTAGACAAGTAACTATTCCCATACTGTTATAGTGAACTTTAATGTTCAAGTTATTTTGTTATACTGGAATTTCATTGCACTGGTAAACCAAATTTAAAAACTGGTGGCTTCAATGAAACATTTATTTTGATTGATTCTGTGCTTTCATTGTTTTGATCTGTACTTTAAAATGTGTAAGCTCACTTCTATCATCATATTTGAGTAGAATACCTGTAAATGGATTGTTGCTAACCATGAAACTTGCACTGTGTTCTAGGGTAAAAGGGCATTCCTTGAAAGCAATTGTTAACTATGAAGTTGATTTGATTATTACAGATTTTAATTTTATTTGAAAATATTTGTTGCTCCTCCCTTCTCTGCCTCATTGACATGTTTGATCATGTGAGTTGCTTTAACAAATGAAATCTGAGTGGAAGTGACATGTGTACCTCCTGGACAAAAGTGTAAAGTTAGTGGGGGTTTCTATGTTCTTTTCCTACTATCATGATAAGCAGCAATGTTCCAGGTAAAGCCTACTCCCTTGATTTGTGTACTAGAATGAGGATGACATGGAGCCAGAAACATGGCTCATTTTCAGTAGACATTTGACATTAAGTCAGAAGTAAACCCTTGTTGTGAGCCATTGATATTTTGGGCTTTTTTGTTATTGCAGTGTAACTTAACCTATTCTGACTGCTGTGCCACACTTAATTGTTATCTCTAGGTTTTTAGAGGAAGAAATGCTCACTAAGGGTGTGTGTTTGTGGAAATTGAACTGAACCATAAAGGAAAGTCTAGAGTTTAGAGTATTAGAGATAAGAATGGAATTTGTCATGGGGAAATCAGAGAAGTCAAAGGTATGAAGATAGAATTTGGGACTGCTCATAACATATTAGGAAAAAAAGTAGGCTATGGTGGCTCATTCAGAGGGTTTAAGAAGGCAGTAGATTATTTTTTTAAGGTAGGTTGGGTCTAGATAGTCAACACTTGAAGATAATTTGGAAATTTGGAAAGCTTTTGCATAAGATGAAGACATTAGTACTGCTTCATTCTAGGACAACTGTTATGATAGAAGGATGGATTAGAGAGGTCATGAGACAGGAGACAAAGGATGCTTTCAATTGCTGGACTCAGGTGGGACGGTTGAGGGCCCAGGACCAGCTGGAAACTGCCAGTGGAAGGGTCATTTTTAGGGGCTTGCTCATGTATGTGAACAATTCTGTCTTGTGAGACTCTGCTTTCCTGTGTGTTCCTTCCTCTCTACTCTGACTAGTAACTTAACCCCTTTCTTTTCTTTTCTATCTTAGTGATTTTCAACTTCATCAAACCCCACCCCATTTTTTTCTAATAAACATTTTGTAGCACTTCCTTTACTGTTCTGTGCTAAATTTTACACATAATATAATCTATATACATATGTTAAACACCCTTCCAATATAATGCTCTACTGTATTATAAGGGAGACACAAAAGAAGACACATACAATAATCTGTAGCTCAATATGTAGATGCTCTGGCATGACAACACCAGAGGACATATTGTTGTTACCAGATACTTGCAATTATATGTCAAATCTTTGTGAATGACACAGCTTCAAATGCAGCTCAGCAAAGGTGTGTTAGGTTGGTGAACTTAATACAAAGCAATCTTATGTAGGTGATGCAGCTACATGAAATGGTGAGTGTCTCTTGATAAAGCTCTGAACAAAACAACTCTCTGGATTGACATAATGGCACTCCTAACTTTAATAGACAGTGATTTCTAACACTATATAAACATACTTTGTATTCAGGTGCAAAGTCAAGTCAGGATCTAAGCTCTTATAATTACAAGTGTGTTTTTGCCTATGTGAATGCCCTGCAGATCATTAAGAGTAGTGAAGATTTTGGGATGATTCTTCATTTTGCAGGACTCCAGGAGCATTGTAAGATATCAAATGTCATTGTCTACCCAATTCTTGTGACAAGCTACAATGCCCCATGTTTCAAAAATGTCTACTTGTGGCCAGTCTGGCTTGGATTTGGGAATTATTGTTCTTCATCATTGCTTCCGCTGCGTGGTAATATCAGCTTGCCTATGCCTTAACAAGGCCTCACTGTCCTCCCTAGAGATAGACAGACATGAACTATCAGCTTCAGCTTCTATTGCTAATTGCCTTTGTCTTTTGATAATCTTTGTTCAAATTCTAAGCACTGGAAGAGGATAAACCCAACATGGTGAGGTTTTGTTTTGATTTTGTTTTTGAAATTTCAGGCACATGATTCAAGTCACTAGCCAGCCTGTGGATTAGCTGCCCTAGACCGATCAGCTGAGGCAAACAAGGGGCAGGATTGCAGAGAAAAGGAGTTAGCATGCTTCATGCTGGACATGTCTGATATGCTTAGTTATTCATGTTCATCAGCAAAGTAGAAGTGCATTGGCAGGACTTCATTTGGTTCATTCTCCTATTTCCAGCTCCTAGACTAGTTTCTGGTACATGTTAGCACTCAGTAAATGCCTTAGGCCTTTCAGGATGCTGTAACAGAATACCATATACCGAGTGGCTTGACAGAAATTCATTTCTCACAGTTCTGGAGCCTGGAAGCCAAGATTAGGTTCTAGCATGGTCAGATTTTAGGTGGCAGACTGCAGACTTCTTGTTTTTTTCTCATGGTAGAGAGTAGAGAAGGGAAAGCAAGTTCAATCATGACTCCTATAAGGGCACTGATTGCATTCATGAGGACTCTATCCTCATGACCTCATCTAATTCTAATTACCTCCCAGAAGTCCTACCTTCTACCACCATCATATTGCAGGGGCTAGGGTTTCAACATATGAATTGTGGGGGATGTAAAGATTTAGTCCATTACAGTAAACAACTATTGAATGAATGTTGGTGATATTTGTGTATCATTGCTATCTTATATACTCTTGGCCAACTCTTGTATGTAAAAGAGTTAGGGTAAAAACTTTTATTACAAAAGGCTTAATAGAGTATATAATATATGACATAAATATGTAACATAGAATGATAAACTAAATGGCTTGGGCTTACTTGTACTTCCTCAGAAATGTCATTTGAATTAAAACATTTTTCTTGTTTGTTGCTTTTGACAGTTTTTAAAGCAGGCAATTAGAATGTGTGGAAACTGCTAAAAGACTGTCTCTTCTTCTATCTACTAGTAAATTTGAGGAAAACTATTTTTTCTCCTTACTTAACAAGAAAATGCCATGTCACAGACTTCGGGGAAAGTATTATTTTTTTTTCTGTTTCCTGACTACTGAGGCATAAACTATAAAATGAAATACTGCCCAAGTCCTTGGCATATTGCTTTTTACAGTGTTCACAATGTTGTCAGGTACTTAAAGTCACACAAATTCAAGACCCACCTTTTGTACTCAAATTGTTGTTTTTGAGTTATTTTCTGATAATTTATTTTTTTATTTTAATTTTTTTCTTCTCTGGTTTTGTACTTTTTAAAAAAAATTTTGTTATTATTATACTTTAAGTTTTAGGGTACATGTGCACAATGTGCAGGTTTGTTACGTATGTATACATGTGCCATGTTGGTATGCTGCACCCATTAACTCGTCATTTAGCATTAGGTATATCTCCTAATACTATCCCCCTCTCCTCCCCCCACCCCACAACAGTCCCCAGAGTGTGATGTTCCCCTTCCTGTGTCCATGTGTTCTCATTGTTCAATTCCCACCTATGAGTGAGAACACGCGGTGTTTGGTTTTTTGTCCTTGTGATAGTTTGCTGAGAATGATGGTTTCCAGTTTCATCCATGTCCCTATAAAGGACAGGAACTCACCATTTTTTATGGCTGCATAGTGTTCCATGGTGTATATGTGCCACATTTTCTTAATCCAGTCTATCGTTGTTGGACATTTGGGTTGGTTCCAAGTCTTTGCTATTGTGAATAGTGCCGCAATAAACATACGTGTGCATGTGTCTTTATAGCAGCATGATTTTATAGTCCTTTGGGTATATACCCAGTAATGGGATGGCTGGGTCAAATGGTATTTCTAGTTCTAGATCCTTGAGGAATCACCACAGTGACTTCCACAATGGTTGAACTAGTTTGCAGTCCCACCAACAGTGTAAAAGTGTTCCTATTTCTCCACATCCTCTCCAGCATCTGTTGTTTCCTGACTTTTTAATGATCGCCATTCTAACTGGTGTGAGATGGTATCTCATTGTGGTTTTGATTTGCATTTCTCTGATGGCCAGTGATGATGAGCATTTTTTCATGTGTATTTTGGCTGTGTAAATGTCTTCTTTTGAGAAGTGTCTGTTCATATCCTTTGCCCACTTTTTGATGGGGTTGTTTGTTTTTTTCCTGTAAATTTGTTTGAGTTCATTGTAGATTCTGGATATTAGCCCTTTGTCAGATGAGTAGGTTGTGAAAATTTTCTCCCATTTTGTAGGTTGCCTGTTCACCCTGATAGTAGTTTCTTTTGCTGTGCAGAAGCTCTTTAGTTTAATTAGATCCTATTTGTCAATTTTGGCTTTTGTTGCCATTGCTTTTGGTGGTTTAGACATGAAGTCCTTGCCCATGCCTATGTCCTGAATGGTATTGCCTAGGTTTTCTTCCAGGGTTTTTATGGTTTTAGGTCTAACATGTAAGTCTTTAATCCATCTTGAATTAATTTTTGTATAAGGTGTAAGGAAGGGATCCAGTTTCAGCTTTCTACACATGGCTAGCCAGGTTTCCCAGCACCATTTATTAAATAGGGAATCCTTTCCCCATTGCTTGTTTTTCTCAGGTTTGTCAAAGATCAGATAGTTGTAGATAGGAGGCATTATTTCTGAGGCCTCTGTTCTCTTCCATTGATCTATATCTCTGTTTTGGTACCAGTACCATGCTGTTTTGGTTACTATAGCCTTGTAGTATAGTTTGAAGTCAGGTAGCGTGATGCTGCCTCCAGCTTTGTTCTTTTGGCTTAGGATTGACTTGGCAGTGTGGGCTCTTTTTTGGTTCTATATGAACTTTAAAGTAGTTTTTTCCAATTCTGTGAAGAAAGTCATTGGTAGCTTGATGGGGATGGCATTGAATCTATAAATTACCTTGGGCAGTATGACCATTTTCACGATGTTGATTTTTCCTGCCCATGAGCATGGAATGTTCTTCCATTTGTTTGTATCCTCTTTTATTTCATTGAGCAGTGGTTTATGTTGTTTTATGTGTAACTGATACCTTTTATATAATGATTTATTCAGAGATGCTTTAAAAGTGTGGATTGGTGATTTACTTTTATGTTTTCCTTAAGGGGTTGAATTGAATTCATGATGTTTCGTGGAGCAGTGGGTTACACCTTGTTTCTTACTATGGTTTAATTATATAAAGTTTGAAAAATAGACTGGGCATGATGGCTCACACCTATAATCCTAGCACTTTGGGAGGCTGAGGCAGGTGGATCACCTGAGGTCAGGAGTTCGAGACCAGCCTAGCCAACATGGAGAAACCCCATCTCTACTAAAAATACAAAAATTAGCCAGGTGTGGTGGCACATGCCTGTAATCCCAGGCAAGAGAATCACTTGAACCTGGGAGGTGGAGGTTGCCGTGAGCCGAGATCACACCACTGCCCTCCAGCCTAGGTGACAGAGCAAGACTCTGTCTCACAAAAAAAAAAAAAAAAAAAAAAAGAATCAGAGATGTAGAGACCCTTAAAGGCCCTGAGCCTCTTGAGGGCAGAAATCTTATTTGGTAGGGCTTTAGGAAGACAATGAGTCACATCCCTGTTTTTTTTTTTTCCCACTTACTGAAGCTATTGAAAAACAAACACAGGGTCAGAGAGGAATCAAAACTTCAGTTTCACCACTGGTTAAACTGGGTTAGAGAACGAGAATCAACCCTTGAGCCTAGATGGACTTCTTAGTACTTCCCTCCCTGCCTTGAGTTTTCTCCTTGGGACTTACACATGGCAAAACAGGCCCCTATGAACGATCATGTCTGATCATGGCTTTCATCATGTCCCTTGAACAAAGCAAGGCCACATAAACACAGCAACTGGGAATAAATCAGCCTTGCCCAGGACAGAATTAAGGACCAGTGGATGTCGGACTCTTGTCATTTCACCAATCAAATCAAATCTCCCTCTTCCCATTTGAAGGAGCAAGTGGAACCAGGCAGCAGTTTCAAACCCATTCTGTAGAAACACAAAGAAAGAGGAATTGTTCTCTTTAAATTATTCATCTATTTATTTCTCATTATCTAGCACAGAACATAATAAGCATTAACAAATAGATAGATGGCTCTCACATGTATTTATTTACTGAAGCCTGGTAACTACAAAATAATAACTGGCTGTAGTGGATAGAAAATGAGCTACGTTTGTAATTTGGCAACGAAGGACATTTTCAGTAGAGATCATTTTGGATGGCATTTCAGGTACTGAATTAGGAAGAAGGGAACAAGGGAAAAAAAGCTAGAACAAACCGTCTTCTGAGAGTTCTCTCTTGGATTGTACAGCTCAGCATCCCTGTAAGCTTGGATTTTGACAGCAAATTGCCAAAGAAGAAAGCAATCAAAGCTCCACTTCAAGTTCTATATTGTGAAAATGTGGTAATTTAATTGAAAGGCCAACTTCCTAACCACGTAACCTTTAAAAAACAGGGTTGCTATATGCATTAATTCTACATGGAGAAGCTAAGGTGATTTCTCGGATGTTCTATGCTTAGAAATGTTACTGTGCGGTGGAAAGATTCTCATTTCTCTATATGTGTCAGACAGTTCTCTGTGTGCTCTGTGTTGTTCAGCACTATTGTGTTTTGGCTGCTCTTCAAAGCAGAGTACTTCTAGGGCTTACATATTTATGATAACTTCAGGCCATCTGCCGCTCAACTACTATCAGAGAATGAAGAACAATTTTCAACTTCAACAAAGCCATACTCACCATACCAAAGCACTTCTTATAGTATTTATCTTCTAGTGCACTAAATTTTGGTGTTCTAAACTCATGTTGAAACTTGGTACTTTTTTTTTTTTTAACAATTATCCTTCCTGCCAACCCCCCTTCCCCTAAAGAAATCAACATGCTACCTTTTATTTCTGGGCCTATGATCAAGGTTCTAAAGATGACAGATTGATTTTGACCTTCTGATTTAGCATGTAAATTAGGATACTTGAATTAGAATGCTCCATATTTTCTTCCAGTTTGTGTGTAATGCCAACAGATTGGTATGAATCAAAATGGAACACTTAGAAAAAGATACCATTTATAAAATGTCAATTAGAGATGGCAAAACTGCATATGAAAGTTAGCTAACTGGTGATATCAATTGGAATAGTTTTTCCTATTGCTTAATACCACCATTATTATTTTGTAACAGAGTAAAAATTTAATGTAACCTCCATTTTGTTATTTTGAAAAACTTTGTGAACATAGATGTGTATTAATATTGCTTTGCTGCATTTACTTGGAAGAAAAATCTGAAGATACGAGTGGCTGGCTTGCATCTTGTACCACACTGTAGATTGCTGGATTCTGGAAAAAAAAATACATCGAATTTTGTGTAAATTATTTGAATGATTAGGGGACAAGTTCAAAATTCAAATTAATGGATTTTTTTCCACCTATAAATAGGCTTTCTTAATTATCTTGATCAGAGGTTGGTAAACTTTGATCAAATCTGGCCCACTGTATCTTTTTGTAGGGCACATGAGCTGAGAATAATCTTGACATTTTTAAGTGGTCATTTTTAAAATGATTGTACCAATATAACAGCCTTGATTTTGCAGTTTGGCCTCTAAAGCCTAAAATATTTACTGTTCGGTCTTTTAAGAAAAGGTTCACTAACCCTTGAGCCAGATTATGGTGATAAGACCTAAATGAATTGCCACGATAGATGTGTAGTAGGTAAAAATGCCTTTCTGGGTGACATTCATGTTGTGTCAACAGATATTTGTAGTAAGAAAAGCAAAAGCACCACTGCAATTTGTGCTGTGTGTGGAAATGCTTTAAGAACTGAGAAGCTACTTAATCCCAGCTTTTTATGTTAGCCACTGAAGAGCCATCTGGTGGAAAAGAGATTTGGGTGGTTCTTAACCTGGACCTATATATTTCCCCCAAAGGCTGTAGCAAAATTCACAGGGATTCTAGAGCTAGTTCAAAGCTATGATGGCCAGTTAGACAAAGACAGAATAAAACAGGAATGCATCAGCAAAACAATAATCCCTTCCGATATTTTGGCCCAGGGGGACGTGGATGAGAGTTTCACTTGGAAACCTACATGTCTATGACCATCAGAAAAGCAATATTTATTAAATCTTTTATCTCTATAAAAATAAAACAAATAGCCCTGGCATGGTGGGTACACTTTCTTGGGATTTAAATCCAGAAGAAGTCTGGCTGTGAAATTCTGGAGTCTGGAGGGAGTCATGCAAGTTAATGATGGGCTTTTTCATCCAGGCATCTCTTGGCCATTCAACACTTGAAAGCCTAACTAGCTTTGGAGCAGTCAAAGGGGTGGCATCTTCTCTCTTCTCAAATTCCTGCCTCTTGCCCACAGCTTTGGTGACAAAGCTGATGTCCCATCATTTTGATCTCATAGCTTTGCCTTTTCCTTAGCCTCATTTTCAGTTCCCTGTCTTGTTAATAAAGATTCCAGCTCAGTTCTTCAAGTGCTTCGGTTCTTATTAAATTTGTGGAATATGCACACGTAGAAGAACTTGACTTTCTTTTCTCCTAAGTTTTGACAAGCTTTCAAACGTGCCTTAATGAAATTCTTCAAGAGTGGCCTCCCCATTCTGGTGCCAGTCCCTGGCGAGCTGAGAAGCAAGTGTGGAGCAGACCAGTTGGGGAGTTGAGTGTGGATAGGAAGGCAGAGAACTCACACTCTCTAAGTTGGGGCAGTTGCTTGGCCACTCTGTGGCTCAGTTTCCTTCATAAGCAAAATTGAGGGGCTGGGTAACGTCCACTCCATGGTTCTATCTGTTTCGACAAGTTTGATTCTGTAAGTGACTGGGATAGAATCCCTGTAAGAAAATGTGTTTTATACTCAGATTGTTGTTGTGCTCACTGGGGTTCAGGGTCAGCACCGTTATTCTGTATTAATTTCCTACTGCTGTTGTAACAGATGATCACAAACTGAGTTGCTCAAAACAACACAAATTTATCATCTCATAGTGCTGGATTATTGGCAGGGCTGGTTCCTTCTGGATGCTCTAGGGCAGTGGTTCCCAACATTTTTGGCACCAGAGAGTAGTTTTGTGAAAGACATTTTTTTCATGGACTGGGGAATGGAAGGATGGTTTTGGGATAATTCAAGTGCATTACATTTATTGTGCACTTTATTTCTGTTATTATGTTGTAATATATAATGAAATAATTATACAACTCACCATAATGCAGAATCAGTAAGAGTCTTGAGCTTATCTTCCTGCAATTAGTCCCATTTGGGGGCAATGGGAGACAGTAACAAATCATTAGGCATTAGATTCTCATAAGGAGCGGCAACCTAGATCCCCCACATGTGCGGTTCACAATAGGATTCACACTTCTGTGAGAATCTAATGCTGCTGCTCATCTGACAGGAGGCGGAGCTCAGGCTGTAATGTGAGTGATGGGGAGCGGCTGTAAATACAGATGAAGCTTTGCTAACTCACTGGCCACTTACTTCCTGCTGTGCAGCCTGGTTCCTAACAAGCCACAGACAGGCACTGGTCCATGGCCCAGGGGTTGGAGACACGATCTCTTTGCCCCTTTCAGGTTCTAGAGGCTATCTTCATTCCTTAGCACGTGGCCTCTCATCACTTTGCCTTTTCTCCTTCTGCTTCCTTTGTCACATTGCCTTCTTCCTGACTGATCCTCCTGCCTCTTCCTATAAGGAGCTATGGGATTAAATTGGGACCACGTGGCTAACCAGGGATAGCTTCCCCATTTTTGGCTCCTTGATTTAATCACAACTGCAAAGCCTCTTTTACCAGGTGCTATGGTCTGAATGTTTGTGGATCCCTCAAAATTCATGTGTTGAAATCCTAACCCCCAAGGTGGTGGTATTAAGAGGTGGGGTCTTTGGGAGGTGATTCGGTCATGAGGGCAGGGGCCTCATCAGTGGGATGAGTACCCTTATGAAAGGGACTGCAGAGCTAGTCTCTTCCACCATATGAGGACAGAGAGAGGGCTTTGTTCCAGGACCAGGAATCAGGGCCTCTGCAGACACGTTGATCTTGGACTTCCCAGCCTCCAGAACTGTAAGAAATAAATGTTTGTTGTTTATAAGCCACTCAAATTATGATATATTGTTACAGCAGCCTGAATGGACTAAGATACCAGGTAAGACAACACATTCATAAGATTCTGGGAATTAGGACGTGAACATCTTGAGGGAGGGGGGACATTATTCTGTCTACCACAAACTCCTGATGCTTTGCTGCTCAAAAACTCTTCAGTGGCTCCCTGTCACCTAGAAAGTAAAGCATTTTTCAAGGTATGTCTTTCTTTTAACATAAAACAAACCAGGACTACAATAAAACAGATTGCAGTTTCCTTTTCATCTTAATTTACCAGTGACATATTTAAACTTAATTGCAATGACCACGCTGAAATTTAAATTTGCATATTTTATTTTTTCTTGTTCCTTTTAAATTTTGTATGACTCAATTTTACTAGTTCTGCTTCTCTTAAAAAAGTTAGTTGATGGTTTTATCTTGTATGTAGTTTTATTTTAGTAAAAAACAGTTTTACAAGTTTTAACAAGAATTCAAACATAGCTCAACTCCGAATATATCATAAACCACTGAATTGTACACTTTGACTTAATTGTATGGTATATGAATTATATCCCAAGCTGTTATTCACACATTTATATGAATCTAAACAACAAATGATTTTATATTTTTGTGCTCTTGATGGTGTGCATACCCCAAATGAGCAATGTCCCTTGAATGCAACTAAATGTTCAACAGCTGCCATGCATGAAGCTGGAACATATCCCTCTTATAAAAATTAAGTCCAGATTCCAGATACATTTCTAATAGGGTTCTACTTATTACTTCTGGTTATTTTAATTTTGTTTGCACTTACATTGTCAAAACATCATACTTTTGAAAAAATTGATGGCTCATAATTTTGTTGAAGAGAGGAAGCCATTTTCTTTGCTCCATAATTACAAGACACTTATATTTTTAGATTTATAAACACCAATTAACATGATAAATTGGGTGAATATTTTTCATTTCTGCATTATCTCTTCCCCTGCATTCACCTTTGTACACACCAGCTGACTTCAGCATATCTCCATTTACCAATTGCATCAAGTAAATTTTGGTACCTAGGTATCATAAAAGAGGAAAGAATATTGCCATGCCACCTTTTAATAAAAACAGGATCGTCTAGGTTTTTCTTGTGAGATACTGTGTGATGAAATCCTTGATGGTGAATGACAGCTGGATGAAGATATACCTATATTATATTCTTTTTGAGAAATATGTTGTTCATTCATCACCTATTTCATTAAACATTTAAAAAATTGTAGTGAAATGCACAAAGCATAGAATTTACCATTTTACCAATTTTTAAGTGTATAGTACGGTGGCATTATGTATACTCACATCGCTGTGCT